>NC_000016.10:30062522-30377729 GCF_000001405.40 Homo sapiens
TCCGTCTCAAAAAAAAAAAAAAAAAAGTACAAAAAATGAGCCGAGCACGGTGGTTCATGCCTGTAATCCCAGCACTTTGGGAGGCCAAGGCGGGCAGATACCTGAGGTCAGGAATTCAAGACCAGCCTGGTCAACATAGCGAAACCCTGTCTCTACTAAAAATACAAAATTAGCCAAGTGTGGTGGCACATGCCTGTAATCCCACCTACTTGGGAGGCTGAGGCAGGAGAACCGCTTGAATCCAGAGGTGGAAGTTGCAGTGAGTGGAGATCACGCCATTGTGCTCCAGCCTGGGCAACAGGAGTGAAACTCCATCTCGGAAAAAAAAAAAAAAAAATGGCCGGGCACAGTTGCTCACTCCTTTAATCTTAGCACTTTGGGAGGCTGAGGCAGGTGGATCATCTGAGGCCAGGAGTTCCGAGACCAGCCTGACCAACATGGTGAAACCCCCATCTCTACTACAAATACAAAAATTAGCTGGGTGTGGTGGCTCACGCCTGTAGTTCAGCTACTCAGAAGGCTGAGGCAGAACTACTTGAACCCAGGAGGTGGAGGTTGCAGTGAGCCAAGATCGCACCATTGCACTCCACCCTGGGCAACAGAGTGAGACCCTGTCTCAAAAAAAAAAAAAAAATTAAAAATAGGTAAATTGCCATTTTCAAAGATACCTGTAAAGATTTTTAAAATCATTCATGAATGCGGTCTGTTCGTTGCACAGAGTAGATGCTCAAAAATGGTGAATGAGACCCTCTATTTTGGTCTCATGCTGAAGAAGTCCATAAAGCCCACAAGTCATTTTCATGATGGACAGAAAAATGTGTGTGCTTTCTCTGTCTACTGCCTCAACTGCACAGACCCCGGGACTGTAGCAGAACCATCTTTTGAGCTTGACACCGGGAGGCCCAAATTCTAGCACGGGACCCAGGGCCAGTTGCTCTCTGGTCCTCAGTCTCCTCACCCATAAAATGGGAAGGAGAGAACCCTGAATCATTGCTTCTAGCTTCTGAACTCAGTTGTTCAGAACAAGGACTCACTGCTGATTTTTCAACAGCACAGGGAATTGCACTGTTCCTGGGAATGATGGACAGTACCCTCTGTTCCACTGGGCAAGTGAGATTTCCCAGGCCTCTCTGTTCCCTTCTCCCCTTAGAGAGCAACAGACGTGGCCCCATCCCACCTCCCTCAACCCTCTCTCTCCTCCCTCAGGACTGGGCACCTCGCTGCCCCCGCTGCTGCCCACTCTGCGACTGTGCCTGTACGTGCCAGCTCCCCGACTGCCAGAGCCTCAACTGTCTCTGCTTCGAGATCAAGCTCCGATGAGGACCCAGGGCCCCTGCCCTCTGGGGAGCGGCCAGCCCCCAGGGCCCATGTGCCCTCCTCCCTGAAGAGCCTTTCCCCACGCCACTGGAACCACAGATGGCCTGCCGAGCACCCAGGCCTGGGAACTGGAAGTGGCAGCGCAGGGCCTGGCTCCCTGCAGGGCAGGACTCTTGGCCGGCTGGACGGCAGCTCCTCTGGAGGGCCAGAAAAGAGAGGGGCTAGTGCTCGGGCAGGTGCCCTGGCTTCCCTTCCCCTCCACACGTCAACGATTCTATTTGAAGTTGGGCAGGGGGGTGGCGCTGCTCACCACACACAAGTGTTATAGGAGGAGTCTGGCCCTTGAGTACCGGGTACGCAGGGGTGCCTCAACCACACTCCGTCCACGGACTCTCCGTTATTTTAGGAGGTGAGTGTAGTGCCAGTATCTACTCTCCTTCTTAAAAAAAACCAGGGCTCCAGAGAATCAGAACAGCCACCATCACCGCAGGGAGTCAAGGGAGGAGGGAGATTAGAGAAGGAGCCAGGGAGGGTGGCAGGGAGGCCACGTGATCCGAGTCCCCTCACCCCTTTCCTTCCCACAGGTCCCTGGCCAAAGATTTATTTCTCTTGACAACCAAGGGCCTCCGTCTGGATTTCCAAGGAAGAATTTCCTCTGAAGCACCGGTGAGTGGGCAGGGGCTCCCTCCCCATCAATAGGGCCGACCCAAGTCTTCCTCCCCCTTCCCCCATGCCGGGCCCCACGATAGTGTGAATGTCAGGGGCTTCAGGTTTCCCTAAATATAGGTCCCTGCCAGAGGATCCGTGGCGGGAAAAGGGCAGGGGTCATTAGAGAAGATCGGGGACACATGTGGGGCGGGCAGGAGCTGCCTTATAACCAGCCCGGGAACCCCTAGCTCACTCGCTGCTGACCAGGCTCTGCCGGCTCCTTCGGCCTCGCCGCAGGTGGGCCCCTTGCAGGACCGGGCCGGGGTGGGGATGGGGTTGGGGTTGGGCCAACAGGGTCCAGATGGGGTCCAGGTGAGGAGGGGAGATTTGGACGATAGGAGCAGGGGGCTCAGCATCTGGGAGGCAGATCAGTTCGGGGACGGATTTTCTTTTGGAGAAGGAAGTCAGGCTCAAGGAAGACGTTTGGCAGGAACTGTGACCCCGCATGCCAGAGGCCGAGCAGCGGCCGGTGCATAGCCGCGCATTCTGGTTTTCTGTGGCGCAGAGGACTACCAGCCTGGCTGCGGCGGCCCGGCGGAGAGCGCGCACGCATGCGCGACCCAGCCCGGCCTGCCAGCCTGGAACTCGGATGGGGAGGTCTCGCCTCCGCGCGCCGCTAGTTCCGCCGCCTTCTCGCGCTCCCTGCGTGTCCTCTCGATGCCCTTTCCTCCGCCTCCCTTACGCCTGGGCCAGTGACAGGGTGTCGGCTCCGCGCCGATTCAGCCCGCGGGCGAGGCAGGCTAACGCACGACTGCGCGATGTGGCCCCTATGGTGACACGCGCTGCAGCCGCGAAGACCGGAAGCTGGGGCGGCCCCGGGCCGCGCGCGCTGGGCCTGGGAGGCGAAACTCAGCTTCCTTCGTTTCCGACTTTTCCATCCGCGTCCTCCACTTCCCCGTTCCGCCCTCCCCCATTGCCAACATTCTGGCTGAGTCACGGCGCCCCAGAGCGCGCCAGGCTGGGGGAAAGGAGCAGAAGGGAGGGCCCTAGCGACCCGCGGGATGTGGTCCGAGTCACGTCCGAGGGGGGTGGGGAGGGATCGTGTTCTCGGCGCCCGCCCCTTCCTAGCGCGGCCTCTGGGCTGCGCCTCTCGGGGGCGGCCCGTAGCCCAGTCCGTCGCCTGCCATTGGACGCCGCCCGCTCCTCGTAAAGGAAAAAGCTCGGCGGAGGGCGGAGTGGTGCCTTTAAAAGGCCGGGCGCCGCCTTCCGCCTGCCCGCCTCCTGCGCCGCCCCTTCCGAGGCTAAATCGGCTGCGTTCCTCTCGGAACGCGCCGCAGAAGGGGTCCTGGTGACGAGTCCCGCGTTCTCTCCTTGAATCCACTCGCCAGCCCGCCGCCCTCTGCCGCCGCACCCTGCACACCCGCCCCTCTCCTGTGCCAGGTGAGCGCCCCTCTTCACGTGCGGGGACCAGGGACCGTGGAGAGGGATCTTGGGGGCAGTGGCGGGTTGGGCGTCCGCGTGGAGGCCTCCCCCATCCCATGCCAGCGTCTCCCCACTACCAGGCACACACAGGCTCCCCGGCCCCTCCAGCCTGAGGTCCTCTAACTGCGCAATGCAGCGGCTGCGCGCGCTGAGTCATGGCGGGGGAGGAAGCCGGACGAGATGAAGGACCATTCTCCCCCTTTTCTTGCAGGGACCCCTGTGGCAAAGGATTAGGGCCCCTTAGCCCTGGCGGGGATCCTAAGAGGCAGTGAGGGGTGGGGGCCGGCCCATGTACAGCCCCAGGGTTCTCGCAAGTGGGAGCTTGGTTTCTGTCCTGGGAAACGGGGCGCCCTTCGCGAGGAGGGAAACCCCTCCGCGGTGCTTGATGCCCCCTTAACACTTTCCCTGTCTCTCCTTATCGGGCGACCTTGATTCTGAGCCCGGAACAGCTGCAGCCATGCGAAGCGACGGGAGCATTTTTCAGGGGAAGGCGCTTGCTCCTCCACGTTCTTGCCCCGTAGGAACAGTGACGATGGCAAAGCTTACCGCTTTCCTCGCCTCGGGCTAGGGCTTGTTCCGCCGCCCTTTCCTGGGCTTCTCCTTGCTCTCTTATATTTTTCCTAATGCCCCTTTCCTACCACCCGCCCCCTCCCTTGTGGGGAAAAGCCTGACCTTGGGATGTCCTTGAAGCCTTGGAGCCCGGGCCAGCCCTGGGATCTTGAGGGGATTGGAAGGAACACCCCAGTGGCAGTCAGAAGAGCTGGGTTCTAATCTCAGATCTGGCTCCGGGGTTGCTGTGTGGCTTGAAGCACAGACCTTTCCCATATCTGGGCCCTTTCCCACGAGGGTGTTGGGCCCTCTGCTTGATTCACGATCTTTACATTCTAAAATACTCCGGTTCGGTTTTGTTTTCAGGCAAGGTGACCCCATGGCAAGGCGCAAGCCAGAAGGGTCCAGCTTCAACATGACCCACCTGTCCATGGCTATGGCCTTTTCCTTTCCCCCAGTTGCCAGTGGGCAACTCCACCCTCAGCTGGGCAACACCCAGCACCAGACAGAGTTAGGAAAGGTACAGGGGCAGGCCTAGCAAAGGGAAGTTGGGCGTAAGAGAGAGCTGGGGACCAGAAGTGCCCCAGGGCCTGCTGGGTGTGGGGCAGGGGAGGTAGGGAACATTTCCCTGACCTCCAGGAGAGGGGCCCTGGTCATCGGGAGATGATGGGAAACCCTAGCTAACTAGTCCTTCCCCTCTGTTTCCTGTATCCAGGAACTTGCTACTACCAGCACCATGCCCTACCAATATCCAGCACTGACCCCGGAGCAGAAGAAGGAGCTGTCTGACATCGCTCACCGCATCGTGGCACCTGGCAAGGGCATCCTGGCTGCAGATGAGTCCACTGGTGCGGGCAGGAGACAGAATGGGTGGAGGGTGCAGGGTTGGGAGTGGCAGGCTGATCCCCTAATTCCCATGTGACACTCCCAGGGAGCATTGCCAAGCGGCTGCAGTCCATTGGCACCGAGAACACCGAGGAGAACCGGCGCTTCTACCGCCAGCTGCTGCTGACAGCTGACGACCGCGTGAACCCCTGCATTGGGGGTGTCATCCTCTTCCATGAGACACTCTACCAGAAGGCGGATGATGGGCGTCCCTTCCCCCAAGTTATCAAATCCAAGGGCGGTGTTGTGGGCATCAAGGTAAGGGGAGGGCCTCCGGACGTGAGGTTTGAGATGGAAGTGGAGGAAGGAAATCCAGGTTAGTGAGGCAGGGAATGAATGCTGGATTGGTGGCCTAGAGACTTGCATGGAGCCTGCTTCAGGCTTAGGGCATTTACTCGACATTTTTAATCCTCACAATTCTGAGAGAACAGTATCATTCCCACTTTACACATGAAAATCTCAGAAGCTCAGGGAAGTGAAGTGTTTTGCTCAGAGTAAGTGGCAGAGCCCCAGTCTGACACCCAATTCACTCAACATTTCTGTTGTCAAATAACATCCCAGTGTATCCTGTCTCAGAGGATTGTTACTAAGTGAACTAAGTGAAAATATTTTAATTTAATTGTAACTAAGTATTTGAGTAACTAAACATTTTAAGTAAATTTTTTTTTTTTTTTTTTTTGAGATGGAGTCTCGCTGTCTCCCAGGCTGGAGTGCAGTGGTGCGATCTCTTGGCTCACTGCAAGTTCCGCCTCCCAGGTTCACGCCATTCTCCTGCCTCAGCCTCCCGAGTAGCTGGGACTACAGGCGCCCGCCACCACCCGGCTAATTTTTTTTGTATTTTTAGTAGACACTGGGTTTCACCATGTTAGCCAGGATGGTCTCGATCTCCTGATCTCGTGATCTGCCCACCTCGGCCTCCCAAAGTGCTGGGATTACAGGCGTGAGCCACCATGCCCGGCTTAAGTAACTAAATATTTTAATTGTAACTAAGTGAAAATATTTGCCAGCCCTGAGATGCAGTTTAAGGGATTAAGTAAATGTGGGGGAAGACTGGGGCTAAAGAAGAGGAAAGAGGGGCACGCCCAGCTACCTAGGAGGCTGAGGCGGGAGGATCACTTGAGTCCAGGAAGTGGAGGCTTCAGTGAGCTGAGATTCCACCACTGTACTCCAGCCGGGGCGACAGTGGAAAGGGTGCTAGAGGTCATTTCCTGTGTCTTAATGTTGTTACCCTGACCCCAACAGGTAGACAAGGGCGTGGTCCCCCTGGCAGGGACAAATGGCGAGACTACCACCCAAGGTGAGAACTGTTTGATTCTCTGCCCTACGAACCCAACCAGAGCAGGTTTGGGTGCTGGGAGGAGTGGAAACCACATGCCCCTCCCCACCGTGCTCTGACCCCTTCCTCTTCTCTTAGGGTTGGATGGGCTGTCTGAGCGCTGTGCCCAGTACAAGAAGGACGGAGCTGACTTCGCCAAGTGGCGTTGTGTGCTGAAGATTGGGGAACACACCCCCTCAGCCCTCGCCATCATGGAAAATGCCAATGTTCTGGCCCGTTATGCCAGTATCTGCCAGCAGGTGGGCCTGCAGGTCCTCAATAGGCAACCTCCTACCTCATTTGGTTCCAGTGTTGTTAATTTGCCTATTACCTGCCATGATGCCTACCTCCCCAAAAGCAAGCATTAGCTTTGGCCCGTGGAGGACACTCAAGGGCTGTTGAAGGCAGAGGGGCCAAGGAGGGATGGTGGGTGGATCTGAGGCGGCTCTTGTCTCCTGTAATCTGAGGGCTTTGAAGCCTGAGTCCCTGGCATCATCAAGATACGGTCTTGACCAGTGGCTGTGGAGAGATGTAGGTGGGACTCTGGGTTAGGAGGCCTCACAGTGACCCTGTCCCTCGCCCTGCAGAATGGCATTGTGCCCATCGTGGAGCCTGAGATCCTCCCTGATGGGGACCATGACTTGAAGCGCTGCCAGTATGTGACCGAGAAGGTAAATGGCTACCTGCCTGACCAGTGCAAGGTGGCTGGCCGGGGACCCTGGGGCTAACCCCTATCCTCTCCTCCACCCCACTACCCACCGTGCGCCTGCTCTGCTCCAGGTGCTGGCTGCTGTCTACAAGGCTCTGAGTGACCACCACATCTACCTGGAAGGCACCTTGCTGAAGCCCAACATGGTCACCCCAGGCCATGCTTGCACTCAGAAGTTTTCTCATGAGGAGATTGCCATGGCGACCGTCACAGCGCTGCGCCGCACAGTGCCCCCCGCTGTCACTGGTGAGGCCCACACTCATCTTGATCTCTATGCAGTAGATAAGCTCCACCCACAACCCTATGCCCATTTGGACGGATTTCCATGGCAACTTCCACCAGCTCCTGCCAGCTTCCTGGGTCTCTGACCACAGCCCCTCTCGCCTCACCCCTGCTCTACAGGGATCACCTTCCTGTCTGGAGGCCAGAGTGAGGAGGAGGCGTCCATCAACCTCAATGCCATTAACAAGTGCCCCCTGCTGAAGCCCTGGGCCCTGACCTTCTCCTACGGCCGAGCCCTGCAGGCCTCTGCCCTGAAGGCCTGGGGCGGGAAGAAGGAGAACCTGAAGGCTGCGCAGGAGGAGTATGTCAAGCGAGCCCTGGTAAGGATAGGCAGGAGGTGGGCAGGGTGCCTGGGTGGATGGGACTCGGAGAAGAGCCCTTCTCACTCCACCCCTCTCCCTGCTTAGGCCAACAGCCTTGCCTGTCAAGGAAAGTACACTCCGAGCGGTCAGGCTGGGGCTGCTGCCAGCGAGTCCCTCTTCGTCTCTAACCACGCCTATTAAGCGGAGGTGTTCCCAGGCTGCCCCCAACACTCCAGGCCCTGCCCCCTCCCACTCTTGAAGAGGAGGCCGCCTCCTCGGGGCTCCAGGCTGGCTTGCCCGCGCTCTTTCTTCCCTCGTGACAGTGGTGTGTGGTGTCGTCTGTGAATGCTAAGTCCATCACCCTTTCCGGCACACTGCCAAATAAACAGCTATTTAAGGGGGAGTCGGCCGTCCGTGTCTTGTGGTGTCTAATGCAGGGGAGGGCCTGGGGAGGTAGCAGAGCCCAGAAGAAGAAAGAGCCCCTGTTCTCTGTTTTTTCTGGGCAGAAAAGGAGTGAAAGGTGGAAGGACCTTCCTGCTCTGTTTTATACTTGGCCAGGGCTTCAAGAAAGGCTGAGAGCTTGTGACATTTTCTTCCAGCCACTGCAGGCTCTGCCCCTTCACCTAACAGCATAAGATAGGGCTAACAGTTGGGGAGTATGGTTGTAACTGCTCATGTCTTAGGAGGCTTCAGCCTCAGCACTTTTAGGTCCAGAACTCAAGGGGGGCAGAAGACCCCTGTGACAAAAACCCACTAACTAGCTCATGAGTGACATGAGCCAGGCAACATAATGGGTGTTTTATATGAGTAGATGCTGTTATTTTTAATTTATACCTAAGGCTCTTTTGCCCAAGATTGAACTGTTTCTTGGTGGAAAGGATTATCAATGCATATCTCTTTTTTTTTTTTTTTTGAGACAATCTCACTCTGTCACCCAGACTGGAGTACAGTGGCACGATCTTGGCTCACTGCAACCTCTGCCTCCTGGGCTCAAGCGATTGTCCTGCCTCAGCCTCCCAAGTAGCTGGGATTACAGGCTCACGCCACTATCGCCTGGCTAATCTTTGTGTTTTTTAGTAGAGGTGGAGTTTCATCACATTGGCCAGGCTAGTCTCCAACTCCTGACCTCACATGGTTCCTCCACCTCAGCCTCCCATAGTGCTGAGATGATAGGCGTGAGCCACTGCGCCCAGCCAATGCTTATCTCCTTAATCTACACTATTGAGTTTTCTGTTTTCCCATCTTTTTTTTTTTTTCTTTTTGAGACAGTTTCGCTCTTGTTGCCCAGGATGGAGTGCAATGGCACGGTCTCTGCTCACTGCAACCTCCCCCTCCCGGGTTCAAGTGATTCTCCTGCCTCAGCCTCCACAGTAGCTGGGATTACAGGCGCAAGCCACCACACCCGGCTAATTTTTTATTTTTAGTAGAGACGAGGTTTCGCCATGTTGGCCAGGCTGGTCTCGAACTCCTGACCTCAGGTAATCCGCCTGCCTCAGCCTCCCAAAGTGCTGGGATGATAGGCGTGACTGCGCCTGGCCTGTTTTCCCATTTTAACAGGAGATGGAATTAGAGAGGGCTTCTTAGTCTCCTTTGGGCTGTGGAATCCCATAAAAACCTTGAATTGTTTCCAATACCCCCTTGGTAATGCAGATACAGAAGTTAAGCTGTAGAGCTCAGGCTCCAGGTGAAGAACTGTGTCTCTGTAGCTGCTGCTTTCCATGAAGCTAGAATGAGCGTGCCATGCCATTACTTTGAGCCTTTCCCCAATGACCCAGGCTGGGGTGTACAGTAACTACATCAGCTCTCTGGACCTAGAGAATCTCTGCAGTGATTCAGGTAGAACGGAGTTACCTAGAACCTTCTAGGAGTATAAAAACTTGGTCCTAGGCCGGGTGCGGTGGCTGACGCCTATAATCCCATCATTTTGGGAGACCAAGGTGGGCGGATCATGAGGTCAGGAGTTTGAGACCAGCCTGGACAACATAGTGAAACCTTGTGTCTACTAAAAATACAAAAATTAGCCGGGCATAGTGGCGCACACCTGTAGTTTCAACTACTTGGGAGGCGGAGGCAGGAGAATTGCTTGAACCCAGGAGGCAGAGGTAATGGTGAGCCGAGATTGTGCCACTGCACTCCAGCCTAGGCAACAGAGCCAGACTCCGTCCCAAAAAATAAAAATAAAACTTGGTCCTTCCCTTTTCTGCTTATTTTGCTTTTATTGCTTACATCTAAAACAAAACCAATCACTATTATCCCTCTAAACTTTGGATTAATTTGTCTGCCTAGCTCATTCAACTCTGGGAAACAAACACTGAAGTAAAGCAAATAAAAATTGAAGGTCGGTAGAAGATGGCAAAGGGGGCATTCCAAAAGGGAACATGTGCAGAGTCTCAGAGACTGGAGAGATTGTTTAAAGATCAATAGTTTCAGCCGGGCACGGTGGCTCACAACTGTAATCCTAGCACTTT
The DNA here is from genome assembly GCF_000001405.40 of Homo sapiens. Taxonomy (NCBI): domain Eukaryota; kingdom Metazoa; phylum Chordata; class Mammalia; order Primates; family Hominidae; genus Homo; species Homo sapiens. The sequence continues at coordinate 30,072,480 of NC_000016.10, forward strand.
GGGAGGCTAAGTCCGGCGGATCACGAGGTCAGGAGTTCAAGACCAGCCTAGCCAATGTGGTGAAACCCCCGTCTCCACTAATAATACAAAAATTAGCTGGGCATGGTGGCGCGCGCCTGTAGTCCCAGCTACTCGGGAGACTGAGGCAAGAAGAGTCGCTTGAATCTAGGAGGTGGAGGTTGCGCTGAGCCAAGATTGTGCCACCACACTCCATCCTGGGCAACAGAGCGAGACTCCGTCTCAAAAAAAAAAAAATAAAAAAGACTAGAGAAGCAGAGAACGTCATATACCAGTTTGGGGGATTTGGACTTTTATTTATTTATTTATTTTGAGACGAAGTCTCGCTCTGTAGCCCAGGCCGGAGGGCAGTGGCACGATCTGGGCTCACTGCAACCTCTGCCTCCCGGGTTCAAACCGATTATCCTGCCTCAGCCTCTCCAGAGTAGCTGGGATTACAGGTGCACGCTACTGCACCCGGCTAATTTTTTGTATTTTTAGTAGAGACGGGGTTTCACCATGTTGGCCAGGCTGGTCTTGAACCCCCAATCTCAGGTAATCCGCCTGCCTTGGCCTCCCAAAGTGCTAAGATTACAGGCGTGAGCCACCATGCCTGGCCTGGACCTCTTAATTTTATGATAATCTGAGTTCCCGAAAGAGTAATTGATAGAAAAAAAAACTACACCTGAGGACACAACTTTCTGAGTTCAAATTTCTTTTTTTTTGAGACAGCATTTCACTCTGTTGTCCAAGCTGGAGTGCGGTGTCACAATTTCGGCTCACTGCAACCCCCGCCTCCTGGGTTCAAGCGATTCTCCTGCCTCAGCCTCCCAGGTAGCTGGGACTACAAGCGCATCACCAAACCTAATTATTATTATTTTTTATTTTTTAGGATAGACAGGGTTTCACCATGTTGGTCAGGCTGATCTTGAATTCCTGACCTCAGGTGATCCACCTGCCTCGGCTGCCCAAAGTGCTGGGATTACAGGTGTGAGCCACCACACACAGCCAGGTTCAAATTTCTTTCTTTTTTTTTTTTGAGACAGAGTCTCGCTCTGTTGCCCAGGCTGGAGTCCAGTGACGCAATCTTGGCTCGCTGCACGCTCTGCCTCCTGGGTTCACGCCATTCTCCTGCCTCAGCCTCCCAAGTAGCTGGGACTACAGGCGCCCGCCACCACGCCCAGCTATTTTTTTGTATTTTTAGTAGAGACGGGGTTTCACTATGTTAGCCAGGATGGTCTCGATCTCCTGATCTCGTGATCCGCCCGCCTCAGCCTCCCAAAGTGCTGGGATTACAGGCGTCAGCCACCGCGCCCAGCCCAAGTTTCTTATTCTTTTTGTTTATAGACTGGGTCTCACTCTGTTGCCCAGCCTGGTCTTGAACTCCTGGGCTTAAGTGATTCGCCTCGGCCTCCCAAAGTGCTGGGATTACATGCTTGAGCCACCACACCTAGCCCCGGATTCAAATTTCAGTGTAACATCCCCAATCCACTGTTATACAAGCAATGAACAAGTTATTTAACCCCTCTGAGCCAGTTTCCTCCTCTTAAAAAAGGCACAAAACTTAATAGAAAGCAACTAAGAAGCCAGGCACGGTGGCTCAAGCTGGTAATCCCAGCACTTTCCGAGGCCGAGGAGAGTGGATCACCTGAGGTCAGGAGTTCGAGACCAGCCTGACCAAAATGGTGAAACCCCGTCTCTATTAAAAATGCAAAAATTAGCTGGGCGTGGTGACGGGTGCTTGTAATCCCAGCTACTCAGGTGGCTGAGGCAGGAGAATTGCTTGAACCCAGGAGGCGGAGGTTGCGGTTTGCCAAAATCGCTCCACTGCACTCCCGCCTGGGCGACAAGAGCAAGGAAGGCTCTGTCTTAAAAAAATAAATAAATGAAAATACAAAAATTAGCCAGGCGTCGTGGCACATGCCTGTAATCCCAGCTACTTGGGAGGCTGAGGCAGGAGAATCGCTTGAACCTGGGAGGCGGAGGTTGCAGTGAGCCGAGATTGTGCCACTGCACTCCAGTCGGGGTGAAAAAGCAAGACTCCGTCTCAAAAAAAAAAAAAAAAAAAAAAAAAGAGGCCGGGCACGGTGGTACACGCCTGTGGTACAGCACTTTGGGAGGCTGAGGCAGGTGGATCATGAGGTCAGGAGATCGAGACCATCCTGGCTAACACGGTGAAACCCCGTCTCCACTAAAAAATACAAAAAAATTAGCCGGGCCTGGTGGCGGGCGCCTGTAGTCCCAGCTATTCAGGAGGCAGAGGCAAGAGAATGGCGTGAACCCGGGAGGCGGAGCTTGCAGTGAGCCGAGATGGCGCCACTGGACTGCAGCCTGGGCGACAGAGCGAGAGAGTGAGACTCTGTCTCAAAAAGAAAAACGGAAGCAACTAAGAAATGTCAAGAGTGCCATTTTGGAATCAGAGAAGTCATGCTGACTGAGGCACAGGCTTGGCGTGGGAAAAGTGGACTCCAATCTGTTAACTTCTGAAGTTGTCCACGGCAAATATTTCTCTGACGGCACAGGAAGAGATCTGAACTTGGCTTCCCTCATCCATTGAACAAGTATTAACAAGTATCTATATATGCCTACCGTGCCAGGCCTTATTCTAACCACTGGGGCTGCAATATTTAAAAAGACAAAGTTGGATCCTCCAAGGACTGTGGTGGGGAAGGCTGACAAAACAAGTAACAAAAATGTGTAACATTAAAAAAAAAGTGTAATGTTAAAAAAAAAAAGTGTAATAAAGTTACAAAGCCTAGCCCCAGCTCGGCTTGTTTCCCTAGCTGAAATGGGGGATGGCCGGGCGCGGTGGCTCACGCCTGTAATCCCAGCACTTTGGGAGGCCCGAGGCGGGAAGATAGCTTGTGCCCAGGAGTTCGAGGTCACAGTGACCTATGATAGCCCCACCGACTCCAGCCTGAGCGATAGAGCGAGACCCTGTCTCTAATTTAGAAAAAAGAAAGTTGTGGCCGGGCGCGGTGGCTCACGCCTGTAATCCCAGCACTTTGGGAGGCCGAAGGGTGGTGGTGGGTGGGGGCGCGGATCACCTGAGGTAGGGAGTTAGAGACCAGCCTGACCAACATGGAGAAACCCCGTCTCTATTAAAAATACAAAATTAGCCCAGCGTGGTAGCGCATGCCTGTAATCCCAGCTACTCAGGAGGCTGAGGCAGGAGAATTGCTGGAACCCGGGAGGCGGAAGTTGCGGTGAGCCGAGTTCGTGCCATTGCACCCCGGCCTGGGCAACAGCAAAACTCCGTCTCAAAAAAAGAAAAGACAGTTGTTTAAACATTTTTATGAAATGATATGGGAGGGGACTGGTCTAGGGTTTCTAATAGCCTCCACATCGCCCAGCGGCAGAGCCCACAAAACTGCCACTGGCCGCCACCGGGTTCCTCCACCTCCTTCCCGATCTCAGGCTGGAGAAGTGGTGCAGGGGTCGCTGCGAAAGGAGAGGAGCGTGTATGACGCCACATCCGGCGCGCGGCGGAACTGGCCTCCTTTGCTTCCGCGGCGGGGCCGGAAGTAGGAGCGGCGGCGGCGGCGGCGGCGGCGGTCGAAAGCGGAGTGAAAGAGGGAGGCAGGGAGCCGGAGAGCCGGAACCGGAGTCGCAGCGGCGGTAATAGTGCGAGACTCCTCTAAGTCACCGTCCTTAGCGCGGGACCGCGGGGTTCGACGGGAGTTAGCGGGGGTGCGGCCAGGCCGTTGGACGCCGGGGGGTCCTGGGGCCGATGTGAGGGGAGGCGGGGGTGGGGGAGCCGGGCCGGCTCTAGAATCGAGTTGTCCGCTCCGAGCCCCGGACGGACACTGATCCGCGGGCTCGTCTTGGCCTTTCCCAGGAGACCCCTGTGCGGTGCGGAGGGGGCGGCGGCCCCGACTCTGACCCGCGCCGGGGGTGGGCCATGGCGGAGATCAGCGACCTGGACCGGCAGATCGAGCAGCTGCGTCGCTGCGAGCTCATCAAGGAGAGCGAAGTCAAGGCCCTGTGCGCTAAGGCCAGGTGAGCTCGTTGGCCCTGGGGAAGGGAGGCCAAGCCGCCGCCCACGGGTTCTGGCCTGGGGCAAACCCAACTGAGAACTTTGGGCTTGCCTCGTTCTGGAAGCTTTCCCAGAGAGGAGCAGGATGGAGCCGCTGCCCTCGAGGAAAAGCTAGCCTGCTCGGGGAAGACAGAGTGGATAAAGACACTTAAAGTTTATTAGACGATGTGTTTCCAGTGGAGTAAGAGTGTTACATAAAGTACTTAGGAAACTCAAGGAAACAAGTCCATCTGTCGGGGGACGGAAGCTTGTTGGAGGGGGGCCGAACTGTGGGAGAGGCCTCGAATAAGGAGGTGGTAAAAGAGTCAGCCAAAAACCAAAAGTTTAAGACAGGAAAGTTAAAGACCCTGTGATTTATAAAAGTCTTCTAATTACAACAACCCTTAAAGATTGGTGGTATTGTACTCATTTTACAGGTGGGAACTTTCATGTTCAAAGTTACCCACAAGTAAGGAATGGGGTCTGAAGCCAGCTCTTAGTGTCCTGTCCTTTTTCAGGCCATAATGCAAAAAGGTGGAGTTGGATCATTCACGTTCAGGGTGGGAGCCTGAGAAATCGTAGCAAGTAAGCCAGGGTAGAATTAAGCACGATAGGGAGGCCAGTTCAGAGTTCTGTGGGAAGTAGGATGATGTAGTGGTTAAGGCTCTAGGTTTTGCAGTGTGAGATGGCTCTAGGTTTGAATCTGAACTCTGCCGCTTTCTAGCTGTGTTAGTAATCTTAAGTGTCTTTATTTGTAAAGCAGAATTAATAGTACTTAATAAGATGATTGTGAAGATTCAGTGAGTTGGTGCTGGAGATGAGGTTAGCACAGTGTTTTGGTACAGCATACGTGCTTGATAATCACCAGGTATTCTATTTCTTTTGGAAGAGGGCAATAATGAGATGGGCTAAAGCCATCAGGGAGGGCTTTTGAGTGGAGGTAGGCCTTGAAGGATGAAGATAATTTGGCTAGCTGATGGAGGCAGGGCCAGTGAGGGAAGGGCATTCCAAGCAGGACGAATGTAACAGTGGAGGCCCTGAGATGCGTGGGGAACAGTCAGGGGTTTAATTACCTGCCTCCTCTGGGGAACTGTGTGATTGTGGCTTCTACCAGGCTGGAGAATTGTGGCAGAAGAGCCCACAGAATTACCCTACGTTTATTGAACAGTAAACATTGGCCTTTACAGGGCCACTATTTGGCCTGGCCCGGTACTGGCAAAAAACTTCTATCCATCTCTTCCCCCCAGCAATCCTATGAGGTTGGAATCATTTGCTGCATTTTATCGAATAGGAAGCCATGACTCGTAGAGGTCTGGTGACTTAACTGAGGTCACCCACTGAGGACGTGGCAGAGCTGGGTCCTGAATCTGTGGCCCTCAGGCTCTTTGCCTGGCCCTGCCTCACATAGACTACCTGCAGCCAGACAGGGCCTGTGAGGGGATGATGAGCAGGGTCGGCCTCTTTTTCGCCACCTGTCTGTGGCTTTTCTCTTTTGCCAGCTGACCAGACCAGCCCCATGGTGTTTTTAGTTGTCCCCTTTCCCTCAGTCCTGATTGGCATTTTTAGGAACTTAAACCTGTTGTTGCCTGGCACTATTCTTTAACCTCGAAGTATTGTCTCCCTCACGGGCCCTGGATCAGTGTGGTGGTGATGGTAGACAAAGCTTAGATAGCATGCTGGAGTTTGCAGAATAGCAGGAAGTCGTATATTCAGTCTCCATGGCTCCTTGCAACAGCCTAAGGAATACGCAGGGTGGGCTGAGTACTTAGCCCCATTTCATAGCAGAGGAAACTGAGCCTTTGAGTAGATAATGTCTTGCCCAACATCACGCAGCTAGTCGGAGGGGAAGTTAGTTTTGCATCCAGGTCTTTGACTGTGCTCCGTGGTCACTGAGAGCCAGGCAGAGGCATTTAGATTTTGATGTGGGGTGTGAGGCAGCAGGAAGCCATGGAAGGCTGAGGGGTGGAGGGTCCTGCCCAGTTGAAACTGAGTGGAACTAGGAGGTACTAGGCCAAGGCCTGAGTTGGCCGCTGTTGTCCCAGGCTCAGTCTGAAGCAGGGCCATCTCTGATACCTGGTTATGGCCTCCTGGGGACCCATCAGAGACCCAGGCTGAGGCTGGTGGTGTCAAGAGCACCAGCTTGCCTAGAGGGCACAGACATGCAGATGAAACCAGTGGAAGCACAGAGGTCCGCAGTGTCTGAGCTGAAATTGCTGCTACTAGAAATATTAGCACAGTAGGAGAGCTGAGCTTTTGAATCAGGTGGTCTTCAGTATGAATCTTTGCCTTGTCACCTAGAAGCAATATGACCCTCGTCAAGTCACTTTCTGATTTTTTGAAGTGATAATGACATGCAGTTGAGAGTCCGGGTATCCGGGCACAGGGCCTGCTGCGCTGGTAGCCGTTACTGCAGGCAGGTCCTGATAGGGCTGGGGAAGTGCTGCAAGTGGCAGAACTGGGGCTGGAATCTGGGCCTGATTCCCAGGCCACACTGGGGTTGCGCTGGCACTGAGGGGGGCTTTGCAGAGAGCACGGGCCCTGCATGTGACCTCCCTGGGCTTCAGGTTTTCACTCAGGGTCTGTGGAAGGGGCTGGCATAAATTCTCAGGAAATTGGGCTTCTGGGTTCCAATTTAGCCACTCTCCAGCTTGGTGACCTTGACCCTCCCGCTTTTCTGTAAGCTTTGGTTTCTTTTTTTCTTTTTTTTTTTTTTTGAGACAGAGTTTTGCTGTTGTTGCCCAGGCTGGAGTGCCAGTGGCCTGATCTTGGCTCACTGCAACCTCCACCTCCTAGGTTCAAGTGATTCTCCTACCTCAGCCTCCCAAGTAGCTGGGATTACAGGCACGCGCCACCATGCCCAGCTAATTTTTGTATATTTACTAGAGACGGGGTTTCACCATGTTGGCCAGGATGGTCTCAATCTCTTGACCTCATGATCTGCCTGCCTTGGCTTCCCAAAGTGCTGGGATTACAGGCATGAGCCACCGCGCCCGGCCTAGCTTCGGTTTCTTTACTGTTACGTGAGGCTGAAGAGAACCTCCCCAGTCTGTTGGAAAGGTCACTATGAGCAGTTGATGGGGAAGGATGTTCAGCACAAGAAGCAGTGCAGGTGGGAGAGTCCGGGTACTGATGTGGCCTCTTGGACCACCGCCAGTGCTGCCTTCTGTTCCCAGAAAGCCAGGGCAGACCTCCTTCGTGCTGCCTCTGCCATACAGAGCAAGGGGCATAAGTGAATCCTCCTGTCCACTGAGCTCAGGAAACTCATTCTAAGGGAAGAGATTGGCAGAAAGAGGGGGGCCAGGCGAGTTGGGCCTCCCACATCAGAATATCTTGATAAAGAGTCAGACCCCAGAGCCAGGCTTCCCTGGTTCATATCCCACCTGTGTCACTGGCACCAAGCCAGCCTCCTTCCCTGCTTCAATTTCTTCATCTGTGTACCGGGAATCATCATAGTACCTGCCTGCCAAGCTCTTAATAACATTTGTGGCACACAGTATGAGCTCGAATGTTCACTGCTGCTATTACCAGGCAAAATTTGGAAATACAGTGTTGCTTAAATTGGGTATCTATAGGCTGGGTGCAGTGGCTCACATCTGTAATCCCAGCACTTTGGGAGGCAAAGGTGGGTAGATCACTTGAGGTCAGGAGTTCGAGACCAGCCTGGGCAACATAGTGAAATCTCGACTCTACTAAAAATACAAAAATTAGCTGGGCGTGGTGGTACATGCTTCTAATCCCAGCTACTCGGGAGGTTGAGGCAGGAGAATCACTTGACCCAGGAAGCAGAGGTTTGCAGTGAGCAAAGATGGCGCCACTGCACTCCAGACTGGGCAATGGAGCCAGACTCTGTCTCAAAAAAAAAAAAAAAAAAAAAAAATTGGGTGTCTTACCTGGCAAAGTGATTTCATCTCCTGCTCACTCAAGTAGAAGTAGACTGCACTGCAAGGAGAAATAAAAAATATTTAAGTCCTCATAGTCATAAAGAAATACTGAACACATGGCAAGAGCACCTCACTTTTTTTTTTTTTTTTTTGAGATGAAGTCTTGCTCTGTCGCCCAGGCTGGAGTGCAGTGGCGCGATCTTAGCTCACTGCAGCCCCCACCTCCCAGGTTCAAGCGATTCTCCTGCCTCAGCCTCCCAAGTAGCTGGGATTACAGGCACGCGCCACCACGCCTGGCTAATTTTTGTATATTTAGTAGAGACAGGGTTTCACCATGTTAGTCAGGCTGGTCTCAAACTCCTGACCTCGTGATCTGCCCACCCTGGCATCCCAAAGTGCTGGGATTACAGGCATGAGCCACCGCACCTGGCCAAGAGCGCATCACTTTGAAGGCGCATCCACTGTGGGCCTGCCCTGGGCACCTACCCTTGTGTCTGGATAGCCTGGGAGAAGGGCTCTGTGATTGGCCAAGGGTGACTTAAGCTCTGCTGTGGAGAGGATGGGGAGACCCGCCTCCCAGGAGTGAGTCCTGGATGCGGAAGAGGGAGCGGCAGGGGGAGTCAGGGCTGGAAAAGTCCCAGCCTGCTCAGAAGGCCTGGAACGCTGGGATAAGAGGTTGGACTTTGTCCTTTTGGCAGCAGGGGGCCACGGAAGGGTGTTGCATGCTGAAGGGCCGTGGTCAGCCTGTTTTGGGGAGACTGTACGCTTCACTCCTGCCCCCTGGAGCTTCCAGGACTGCCTCATATCCTCCCCTCCCCCCAAAAAAGGTCAGGAATTGGGCTGGGCTGGCCTGGCTGTGGTGACCCTGGTCTTCTCCTGTCTCCAGAGAGATCTTGGTAGAGGAGAGCAACGTGCAGAGGGTGGACTCGCCAGTCACAGTGAGTACCTGCTGTCCCTGCAGAGCCAGGCCTGGTCTTTCAGGCACATGAAGTTTCCTCTTCATCTTGGGGGCTCTATAAGCCCAACCCTAAGCTCTTTTATCTGTCCTTTCCCTCACCTTCAACGGAGCACTGCTAAAAGAAGTGGGGGTTGCTGTGCACGTTGGCTCACACCTGTGATCCCAGCATTTTGGGAGGGCAAGGTGGGCACATCACTTGAGGTTAGGAGTTCGAGACCAGCCTGGCCAACATGGTGAAACCGTTTCTACTAAAAATACAAAAATTAGCCACGCGTGGTGGCACGTGCCTGTAATCCCAGCTACTTGGGAGGCTGAGGCAGGAGAATCGCTTGAACCCCAGAGTTGGAGATTGCAGTGAGCTGAGATCAGGCCACTGCACTCCAGCCTGGGTGACAGAGGGAGACTCCGTCTCAAAAAAAAACAAAAAAAAACAAAAAAAACAGGCCGGGCGCGGCGGCTCACGCCTGTAATCCCAGCACTTTGGGAGGCCGAGGCAGGTGGATCATGAGGTCAGGAGATCGAGACCATCCTGGCTAACATGGTGAAACCCCATCTCTACTAAAAATACAAAAAAATTAGCCAGGTGTGGTGGTGGACACCTGTAGTCCCAGCTACTCGGGAGGCTGAGGCAGGAGAATGACGTGAACCCAGGAGGCGGAGCTTGCAGTGAGCCGAGATCGCGCCACCGCACTCCAGGCTAGGCGACAGAGTGAGACTCCGTCTAAAAAAAAAAAAAAGAAAGGAAAGAAAAGAAAGGGGTTATGGGAAGGGACTTTGGATTTGTTAGTGGAGATTCTTGGCCAGGGCAGAAGGACTCCTATTTGGCGAGTGATTCTGCTCACATATCTCCAGGGCTCTGTGTTAGTAACTTGATTCTGGGTACTTTGTGGGGAGTAGAGAGAGGAAGGGGCCGGGACATCTACCTGGAAGGACTTAGTTCTAGCTCTTGCCTACAGAATAGTTGGTACTCAGCATAGGACAGTGGGTATGGTTCCAGACCAGACTGACTTGGGGTGGGAGAGGAGAATTTTGGTCCTAGGAAGTAGAAGTGCAGCCAAGAGTGATAAAGCTCACTAAAGCAGCGGGTGTTTGGAGGGTAGTCCCTGGCAACTCCCACTGCTTGAGTTCCAACCCCACTCTTCCTGTTCCCCAGGTGTGCGGCGACATCCATGGACAATTCTATGACCTCAAAGAGCTGTTCAGAGTAAGAGTGTGGCCAACACTGTGAAATGTAACGGGGGGATGACTGGAAGACCCCTGTAATTGAGGGTGGGAGCCTTAATTTGGGGCGTGGAGTGGGGGCAAGGGGCCCCAAGTTAGATGGGTGGTTGTGGAAGAAGGGCCTCCGCTGGACAGAAACAGGTAGGGGGTAGGGGACTGTTTACGACAGGGCAAAACTTTCTACTTCCCCACAGGTAGGTGGCGACGTCCCTGAGACCAACTACCTCTTCATGGGGGACTTTGTGGACCGTGGCTTCTATAGCGTCGAAACGTTCCTCCTGCTGCTGGCACTTAAGGTGGCAGTCCCCGGCTTCTGCACCCCCAACCTGGGCGACCTCGGGCCGGGCCTGTCTTAGTCCGTTCCGCCCTCATCTCCTATCGTGACCAGCCCCACCTTGGAGCTGTGTCACTGGTGATGGACCGATTCTGCTTTTGGGGGTGGTCAGAGACTTGATGGGGGTTGAGGCCAGCGGGGCAGCATTCTGGGAGGGGCAGAGGCTCACTGTTGCGAATGTGGCAGGTCATTGATGCCACTGGTGGGAGAGGCAGTGTGGGGCCAGATGACAAAGGGCCTGGGTGCCTTGCTAGGGACCCGGTCTGTGTCTGGTAGGTGAAAGAAGAGCCATTAGGTTCATAGTTGAGGGAATGGGTCAGCTTTACATTCTCTGGAGGGGTCGTGTGGGCCTGGGAGGTGGCTGATGCCACACGATTCAGGCAAGAGGTGCCAGGAGTGTGCTGGGCAGTGGTTGTGAGGATGGCAGGCTGGCGGGCACGAGGAGGTCAGAGAGGGATGTGTGGAGAGACCGTCTAGGCGCCAGCCCTGGCTTGGTGGCCACCCCCAGGTTCGCTATCCTGATCGCATCACACTGATCCGGGGCAACCATGAGAGTCGCCAGATCACGCAGGTCTATGGCTTCTACGATGAGTGCCTGCGCAAGTACGGCTCGGTGACTGTGTGGCGCTACTGCACTGAGATCTTTGACTACCTCAGCCTGTCAGCCATCATCGATGGCAAGGTAAGCCAGCCCAGGGCTCCATGGGACAGGGAGAGGAGGGGGGCTTCAGGCCTCAGCCCCGTCCTCTTTCCCTGCTCTCCCCTGTAGATCTTCTGCGTGCACGGGGGCCTCTCCCCCTCCATCCAGACCCTGGATCAGATTCGGACAATCGACCGAAAGCAAGAGGTGCCTCATGATGGGCCCATGTGTGACCTCCTCTGGTCTGACCCAGAAGGTGAGGGCATGTGGGCAGGGGCAGGCAGGGACAGCCAGGAGGGGTTGGGAAAGAGAGGGAGCAGGGCTGGTCTTCACTGTCACTCGTCCTCCACCTGCCAAATGGCTGGAACCCTGGAGGAGGAGCAGGGAGGCCTGCATGGCAGGTGCTTTGAGCACACAGTGGCTTGGGGCATGGCCCAGAGGGCTGTGGAGGACAACCAAGTCATGGCTCCCTGAAGTGAAGGGGCCTTAGAACATGACAGCAGCTTCTTCAGAGGTCAGAACCCCAGAATGGTAGCCCCCTGAGACCCCTCATTTTGTGGGTTTTCCACTAGTGTAGAGCAGAGCTGAGATTTAAAGTCAGGTCTTCTGAGGACCAGCCAGAGTTCCTGTTGTCACAGGCACACACGCACAGGCAGCCTCTGCTCCAGCGCAGACACACACACACATACACATAGCCTCTGCTCCATCACAGCCACACACACGCACACGAGGCCTCTGCTCCATCACAGCCACACACATACAGACACACACATGCAGACACACACATGCAGCCGCTGCTCCACAGTCACTCCGGACCTCCCTGTGACAACACAGGGTGCCCTTCTGTCTCTGGGAGTGCCCCTTTCACTCTTATGTGCTGTTTGGACGGGGATTGTATGATCACTGTGATTATGAGGGGGCCCCAGGCATTGGGCGTTCTTTCTCCTCTGGAGCTTATCTGCCCCTACATTTGCTGTCCTGGTCCCCGCCATCCCACAGACCATATTCAGGCCCCATGCTCTGGTCCCACGGGCCTCTGGTGGACTTGGGGAGGGGCCAGGCTGCTCACCCTCAAGGGGCAGCGCTGGCAGCCAGAGAAGCCTGAGGACATCCCTCTCCATCCCTCCCTTTCCGCATCAGACACCACAGGCTGGGGCGTGAGCCCCCGAGGAGCCGGCTACCTATTTGGCAGTGACGTGGTGGCCCAGTTCAACGCAGCCAATGACATTGACATGATCTGCCGTGCCCACCAACTGGTGATGGAAGGTTACAAGTGGCACTTCAATGAGACGGTGCTCACTGTGTGGTCGGCACCCAACTACTGCTACCGGTGAGCCGGCTGGGCCGGGCTGGGATGGGCGGGCATCTGAGCCGAGCTGCTCCTGACCCTGCTGCCCCGCCTTCCAGCTGTGGGAATGTGGCAGCCATCTTGGAGCTGGACGAGCATCTCCAGAAAGATTTCATCATCTTTGAGGCTGCTCCCCAAGAGACACGGGGCATCCCCTCCAAGAAGCCCGTGGCCGACTACTTCCTGTGACCCCGCCCGGCCCCTGCCCCCTCCAACCCTTCTGGCCCTCGCACCACTGTGACTCTGCCATCTTCCTCAGACGGAGGCTGGGCGTGGGGGGGGCTGTCCTGGCTCTGCTGTCCCCCAAGAGGGTGCTTCGAGGGTGAGGACTTCTCTGGAGAGGCCTGGAGACCTAGCTCCATGTTCCTCCTCCTCTCTCCCCACTTGAACCATGAAGTTTCCAATAATTTTTTTTTCTTTTTTTCCTTCTTTTTTCTGTTTGTTTTTAGATAAAAATTTTGAGAAAAAAAATGAAAAAATTCTAATAAAAGAAGAAAAATGGTTTTTGGGTTTGTGCCAGACTTGGTTGGGAATGCACAGGGTTGCTGGCCTGGGACCTGGGGTGGACGTCAGGGCCTTGACTGCCTCAGGGCCCCGACCTGCCAAGAGGGCCAGGCTCAGGCCAGTCAGCTTGCCCAGGGCCTCCAGGGGCCGCTGCCTGCTGGCTTCCCCAGCCCTAGGGAGAGGGCTCTGTTCTCATGGGCAGCCTTATCTTATTAACAGCATACACACACAGGCACACACAGAATCACAGGATTCTGATTTCTCCATTTTCCTGAAGAGGAGATGGGCCTAGAGGGCCAGTGGATTTTGTGCTAGGTCAGGCAGCTGGAAACACAGGTCTAGATCTGGGCCTGGGTCTCCTAGCAAAGCCTTTGCTCACCCAGCCCCGCCCAGGGCCAAACACAGGAGCCCAATGTTTCCTGAGCATGGATGGCTTTTGAGTTTTATTAACAAAAATACTCTGGTCCCAGAACAACAGACTGGTGTGGCCTGCACCAGTGTGTGTGGGGGGGTGGGGATTGAGCCCCTCCAGAGCCCATGGGGAGGCCTGGTAAGTGGGGATGCTGGTCTGTGGCCCCATTTGGCCAGGCAGAGCCCCTTCCATTCACACGGAGGTGAGAGCCGGGAAGGGGAAGCCGGCCCCAGCTGGACTCCCAGCAGCCTTGGTTAGGCTTTGAAGCCAGAGGGGGGTGGGAGTGAAATCAAGGTGTGAAGTTGAGGGGGTGGGTGGGCAGGCCCAAGGCGGCCATTTGGTGTGGGGGATGGGGCCGGTGGAGGTGAGGGGGCTCCAGGGCTGGGGGAAGGGAGCGGGAGGTTTGTGATGGAGGCAGAGGGGCCCAGCAGTGGTTCAGTACATGGGTTTGGAGCCCACATCCAGATAGCCCCCAGGCGCGGTGTATGGTAGAGGGAAGGGGCCCCCTTGGAGAAAGTGCGGGGCAAAGGGTACCGCCGGTGGAGCCGCTGGGTACCCGGAGCCCCCTGACCCGTGCGGCAGCTCCAGAAATGCAGCCGAGTAGGGGGCTGAGCGCCCGGAGTCTGGAGCCTCCGGGAAGCTGGGGCTCCTGACATGGAGAGAGGGATGTCAGAGCAGGGCAGAGGGACCCGCAGCCCCGCCTGGTCCCCTGTCCCACTCACCTGGTGGGAAGGTGACTGGGGGCCCCATGGAAAGCCGCAGGGTGCAGGAGGTAGGCCTCAGCACTGGGGCCACCACACAGAGGTGCCGGGGCAGCGGTGGCTTCCCCGGGGGCTGGGGCCTGTTCTGGATCTGATTCACGAATGTCTCCACCCAGGGTGGAGTCGCAGGGACCACCTGGTGTGTCTGGGGAGAGGGAAGGGAGAGGTTGGGCTAGGGAGGATCCCTGTCTCAGGCCTGGCCCCATCGCCATCGGGACTACACTCACCTCCGCTCCCATAGGCCTCTGTGGCTGCTGGCTCTGGGCCCCGCAGTTTCCTCTTCACACGGGCGTCTCGCTCCCTGGGGAACAGTGGTGGTGATGATGATGATGATGGTGATGGCCATGGTGATGGTAACAGTACTTACCCGGTGCCAGGCATTTCACCCTCCCAGGGACCCTGTCAGGTAGGGGCCATCATTATACCCATTTTATAGATGAAGAAACTGAAGGCCAGAAAATTAAATAACTAGAAAGTGGCAGAGCTGGAATTTTGTCCCTGCTCAAATTTGTCCATGCTTTCCTATTGTGTTTAGTATCAGTGGAAACTCCTTCCCAGTGGCAAGGCCAGGGCACAGTCTCACCTAGCTCATCTTTCTGCCCCATCTCCACTCTCAGCCTCTCTCTGGAATCCTCTTCTGTCCCCTCTTCACGGGCTGAACCTGTCCTTTTTCTTTTCATTTTTAAAATTTGAGATGGGGTCTTGCTATGTTGCCCAGGCTGGAGTGCAGTGGCACAGTCACAGGTCACAGCTCACTGCAGCCTCCAACTCCTGGGCTCAAGTGATCTTTCCATCTCAGCCTCCGAAAGTGCTGGGACTACAGGCATGAGCCACCAAACCTATCCTTGCCTCACTGCAAGCGCAAGTTCCTCAAGGAAGTCCTCCCTGACCTCCGAGAGCACACACCCCTCCCTCATAACATCCGTCACAGTTCTGCTTTTGCATTTGATGGAGTGACTCCTTGGTTCATGTCTGTCTCTTCTGACAAACTGGAAGCTACTTGAGGGCAGGGGCCAGCTCTGAGGTGCTGCACTTGGAACAGTTCCCACGGCCTTACGGAACCTTTACTGTCCGACATAACCTGGCTTCCCCTCCCCTGCCTGACTCTTAGTCACTCCACTGCAGCCACGCCACAGGCACAGCCCCACCTCAGGGCCTTTGCACGTGCTGTTCCCACTCCCTAGTGTGCTTTGCCAGATGCCCACCTGGCTCCCTCCCGTACTTCCTTCAGCTCTTTCTCAAGTGTCTTCTTCCCACTGAGGCCTTTCCAGGCCTCTTATCTAATACCTCACCCCAGTCCTTCCTATCTTTTCCTGGTTTATTTCTCTTCTCCTTTTTCTTTTTTTTCTTTTTTTTTTTTTTTTTGAGACAGAGTTTTCTTTTCTTTCTTTTTTTTTTTTTTTTTGAGAGGAAGTTTTGCTCGTGTTGCCTAGGCTGGAATGCAATGGCATGATCTCGACTCACTGCAACCTCCACCTCCTGGGTTCAAGAGATTCTCCTGCCTCAGCCTCCCAAGTAGTTGGGATTACAGGCGTTTGCCACCATGCCTGGCTAATTTTTGTATTTTTAGCAGAGACAGGGTTTCACCATGTTGGCAGGCTGGTCTCGAACTCCTGGCCTCAGGTGATCTGCCCGCCTCAGCCTCCCAGAGTGCTGGGATTACATGCGTGAGCCACCACACCTGGTCTCTCTTCTCTTTAGAATGGCTTCCTAACAGATGACATTTTATTTATTTCTCTTGTCTGCTTGTCTACTCTCCCCACTAGAAATCAGCTGCATGAGGGCCGGGGCTTTGGTTTGCTTTGTTTGTTTTATCTCCAGTGCCTGGAACTGTCCCTGGCACATAGCAGGTACTATATAAGTATTTGCTGAGTCAGTGAATGAATGTTTTCACTTACCACTGCATTTCTGATGTCCAGCACGGTGCCTGGCACACAGTGAGTGATTAATAAACATTTGTTGAATGCATGAACAAATGAATGAACAACTCCCACCTCTTACAGTTTCTGCCGTTCTCCCGGAAGCCTTTGGCAAAGGGATTGGCTGCAATCTTCAGTTGTGTGATCTGGGGACACACATGCAGGGTCAAAGCAACTGCGGTCTGGGCAGGGGGCCACCACCCCCTCAAGCAGGGTCACTCACCTGTGGGTTCTGGTAGGCTGTCACGGAGATGAATGTGGTCTCGGGGAAGCGGAAGGAGGCCATGCCCCCCCAGTGCTGGCTGCAGAGCTGGGCTGCCCGAACTAGGTGTATGCGGGGTTGGTACTTGTGCATGGAGTGCAGGATCAGCTGGGAGGGAGGAAATGGGAGTGATTCCCTGCCCTGCGCCTCACCCTTGGCCTCCCTTCCAGCACCCCCCAACCCTATCCTGGAGTCCCAGCCTGGGCCTCACGTGGCCGTGGGGGTCCAGCGTGCTGTTGGTGAGCTTGACACGATGGAAAGACACAGGCTGCCGCATCCAATGTGCACCAGTGGCAGGAGAGTCGGGGTGAATGTAGACACGGTCAGGCAGGCGGGGCTCTGCCTTGCCGCTGGGCTCCCAGCGCCGGCCCTGCCAGCGGTAGCGAGCCCCATCCACCGGAATCACATCCAGAAGAAACAAGTAGCGGGCCTCGGGGTCCAGGCCAGTGACTGACACTCGGCAGGCAGGGAACATGCGCCTGTGCAAGGGAGGGGACAGGAGAGGCCTGGAGCTACCCACTGGCCAGGGGTGGGCCCAGCACCAGTAACGGGACATAACAACGGGCTCCCCAGAGCTGTCAGAGAAACATCAAAGGAGGTGGAATTAGAACCCAGAGGGCAGGCTGGAGGCTGTGGCTCACACCTCTAATCCCTATACTTTGGGAGGCCAAGGTGGGAGGATCTCTTGAGTCAGGAATTCAAGACCAGCCTGGGCAACATAGAAAGACCCCATCTCTACAAAAAAATTAAAAAATTAGCCAGGCATGGTGGTGCACACTGATAGTCCCAGTTACTACAGAGGCTGAGGCGGGAGGGTCACTTGAGCCTGGGAAGTCAAGACTACAGTGAGCCACAATTGCACCACTGCACTCCAGCCTGGGCAACAGGGCAAGACACTGTCTCTGAAAAATGAAAAAGGGCCAGGCGCAGTGGCTCATGCCTGTAATCTCAGCACTTTAGGAAGCCGAGGTGGAAGGATCATGAGGTCAGAAGTTTGAGACCAGCCTGGCCAATATGGTGAAACACCGTCTCTACTAAAACTACAAAAATTAGCCGGGTGTGGTGGTGTGTGCCTATAGTCCCAGCTACTCGGGAGGCTGAGGCAGGAGAATCGCTTGAATCCAGGAAGCAGAGGTTGCGGTGAGCTGACGAGATCGTGCCACTACACTCTAGCCTGGGCAACAGAGCGAGACTCCATCTCAAAAAAAAAAAAAAAAAAAAAAAGAAGCCAGAGGGCGGAATCTTAGAGCTGGAAGGTTTTCTTGTCTCATTTTACATTTGGGGAAACAGGACAGACGGGTTAAGTGATCTGTCACACAGCAGGTTAGGAACAGAGCCATGACTCCTACCCCTCAAAGCCTATTTGCAGAAGCAGGGGTGACTAACTTTCTTGCTAGGAGCTTCCTGTCCCCACCCTCCTCTCCTCCCCTGATCTCCAGCACCAGAATCTGCAGCTCTTAGATGAATTTGCTTTAGAAAAAATATACCCTGCCTGCAGTAGGGCCGAGGACTTTCCATGCTAGGGCTTGAGTTCCTGCCCCAGCTAAAGACCTCATCTAAGGTCAAACACTGACCGTGTCCCTGCCTCTAGGGTGACCCTGGACCTAGTCATATACTGACTCCTATTCGAGTTGCATACTGATCCCGAATCCTGGCCAGATTTCCCTGATGCTGGTCAATGGGCTGGCCCTTGACCCCCTGTCCTTGTCTGGATGCTGGTCTAAGCCACACACTAACCTATAACCCAGAGGGACTTCCTGACCCTGCCCCAGACTGACCCATGACCCTTGCCATAGATTGGTCCCTAAACTCAGCCACAGACTCCACAGACTGGCCCTTAACCCTTGTCACAGAGTGACTCCTGATTCCTGCCACAGAGTAACCCTTGCCCCAGGCCATAGTCAGATTCTAGGCCTAGGCAGAGCTCTAGCCCCTCGGGAACCACCCAGTCCTAGCCCCCTCCCCAGGGACTCTGCCTTTCCCAAGAGACCCCCACCAGAAACACGGACCCTGGCCAGCCCCTCACCTCCCAGCTTTGGTGATGATCATTTCTGTTCCCACAGAGCTGAACTCCTTCCATAGCTCCCGGTTCTCCAGGCTCAGGCTGACCCCCGGGAGGGAATGGAGGGCC
The DNA here is from genome assembly GCF_000001405.40 of Homo sapiens. NCBI lineage: Eukaryota > Metazoa > Chordata > Mammalia > Primates > Hominidae > Homo > Homo sapiens. Next base: position 30,090,863 of record NC_000016.10, read on the forward strand.
TCTGGAGCTGATGGGGCCGGCTCAGTGCCCATGGCAGGGGGCAGAAGGGGCAGAGGTGGGTGCGCGGCCAGGGTGCGGGGAGCAGCCTCCATCCCGGAGAGGAAGCAATCCAGTTTAGGGGTGTCCAGTTCTGGAAGCCGGGGAAGAATGAGGAGCCAGCCGAGGGCCACAGCCCCCCTATTCTCCTACCCAGGAGCTGGTCCCAACGCTCACCGGGGTAGCGGTAGCCCTCCGCTAGGGCGGGTGGGAAGCTGGAGTCGGCCCCAGGTTGGGCGGGCCCCAGGCGGTAGCCGGCCCCCAGGGACGGGTACAATTCTCGTGGATGGTACATGTTGTAGTTCCGTCTGGCCTCAGGTCTCGCTGCTTAGGGCCCCCGGTGCTGCGAGATGCCCCCTTTATAGCTCACAGCTCAGCCCCTTCCAGATCCAGGATCACAGCCCCTCCCCTCTTTGGGGCCCTGGAGTTGGGCTGGGGTGGAGACCCCTGGGGCCTCGAAGGGGTCCGAGAGGGGGTCGGATACCTGGGTACGGTCCCCTCCTCCCCTCCCTCCCCACCCCGGGAGGCTTCATTAGCCTCGACCCCCTGCCCCCTCATTACATAATTAACTCCTCGGCTTGATTGATCCCCAGGGCTCGGACAGGGACGCAGTTTGGCGCTTCCGGCCAGCTGGTCCCCGTTCCCACGGTGGGGAGCCCCGGCTAGGGATAAGCTGGGGGGCGGGGCCTGGAACCTGGACGGAGCCAAGAGTCCCGGGACACACCTTGGCGCCCCAGACCTTCTGGCAGGTGACCGCCCTCCGCCCCCCTTCACTTGGAGGCCGGGCCCTGGAGGGAAGCAGCGTGAACAGAGGGAAAGTGCAGGCTAGAGGGACGCGGCCTGAGCTGATTTCACAGGGCACTCGGGGCCGCGAGGAGGCCGCAGCCCAGTCCCGAGCACCGTAGTCCTCCCTGGTCCCCATGCTAAAAAAACCTCCATCCCGAGCCAAGCCTCCAAAGTTCGAAGGCGCTCACAGTCCGACAGCTTCTGACGCCTCGCGCCAGGGTTTCCCGAAGGTCCCGCGCTGGGGAACCCTCGGAACTACACTTCCCGGCAGGCTCAGCGCTGAGGCGCGCCCGAAGGAGCCGGACGGACCACGCGGGGGCCGCTGGGAGTTGCAGTCCGACCGCGAGGGGGCTGCGAGGCCGGCGGCGCGGTTGCCTCCCTGGGACGCTGCCCCTAGGCGGCGGCCAAACGCTGCAGATGAGCAGACGCAGATCAGCCGAGGTCACGGCGTAGGCAGCCAGAGTGGGCTCAGGACCTCCGCCAGCAGTGAAACCGTCCCGGTTCCCGGAGACCCAGCTTGGACGGCTGTGCCTACCCCATGCCCCGCCGGGGCTCAGAACCGCACAGGTCTATAGGGGCGGAAATCTCCGCTTGAGCTCCCCCTTCCCGGATTACACGCGAGCCTGAGCTGTCTCCACTCCATTGTTTTATTATGTACAAACGCTACAGAACGAGGGGGACAGACACGCGTGGGGTAAGAAGGGCCTGGTGGGAGGAGTTCACAGAGCAGACGGTGCACTGGGACCAGGAGAGCAGAACACAGGCCATAACTATAGGGCAGGTGGGGCAGGAACGGGTTAAAAACGAGATCCAAGCCAGCCAGATCGCAGGAGGTGCGGGGGCGTCGTCCCCCTTCTGTTCTCCCCCCAAGGTCACAGTGCATGCAATAAAATATATATACAGGAGCTAGATCCGTCCTCTGCAGGGGCTCTGAGGGTCCAGAGCTCCCTTCGGGTGGCGGGAAGCCAGTGGCGCTCCCTGGCGGCCAGGCCGGGCTGGAGCCACATGCGTCGGGGGAGCGGGGGTCAGTCCCAGCCGTTGTCTTTGATCATGTGGTTGAGTTCAATGATGTACTTCCCCTCTTTGTACTTCTGGCTGCTCTCAAAGGCCTGTTCCTGAAAGGAGGGGCGGGACCGTCATCCCCGGAGCAACAGTCTCACCACAAGGCACTGGGGTTGGGAAGTGGACATGAGTGGCCCCATTTTACATATGAGGAAACTGTGGCCCAGAGGGGCAGGGCCGTATTTCTCACAAACACAGAGTAGAATAGAACTCCCTGACTCAAAGGTACTTTTTTAAGTACTAATGATGGCTCCAACAGAGAAGATAGGGAAGTGGCTAAAAGATTTCACAGTTCAGGGTTTGCAAACTGGTAGCTTCATGGCCATTTTGGCCTACAACATGTATTATGTTTGGACAGCAGACAGTTTAATAAAAATAACTTTAAAGTATTAAAATATAAGTAGGCCTTGCTCACTCCAGTTTGCCCAGCCTGCCCCCAACTCCCAACCCTGCCAATCTATGCTACCCTTTACACATCTACAGTATCTGCTTGGCCTTGCAGGCACTTGAGGTTTTTTTGTTTGTTTGGTTTTGAGAGGGAGTCTTGCTCTGTCGCCCAGGCTGGAAGTGCAACGGCGCGATATCGGCTCACTGCAACCTCCGCTTCCCGGGTTCAAGTGATTCTGCTGCCTTGGCCCCGAGTAGCTGGGATTACAGGCGCCCACCACCACGCCGAGCTAATTTTTGTATTTTTAGTAGAGATGGGGTTTCACCATGTTAGTCAGGCTGTTCTCGAACTCCTGACCTCAGGTGATCCACCTGCCTCAGACTCCCAAAAGTGCTGGGATTACAGGCGTGAGCCACCACACCCAGCCTGGCACTTGAGTTTTTGACCTCTTGTTTAGGCCAGCTCTTTATTAATTATTATTATTTTTGAAACGGAGTCTCGCTCTGTCTCCGCTCACTGCAAGGCTCTGCCTCCTGGGTTCACGCAATTCTCCTGCCTCAACCTCATGAGTAGCTGGGACTAGAGGCGCCCGCCACCACACCCAGCTGATTTTTTTTTTTTTTTTTTGTATTTTTGGTAGAGATGGGGTTTCACCGTGTTAGCCAGGATGGTCTCAATCTCCTGACCTTGTGATCCACCCGCCTCGGCCTCCCAAAGTGCTGGGATTACAGGTGTGAGCCACTGTGCCTGGCCGGCCAGCTCTTTATTTGGTAGAGGTCCAGAGTGGCCAAGCCACCTGTCCAGAGACACACAGCCAATCTGTGGCAGGGTCAGCAGCGAGCTCAGGTCAGGGCTGGCTGGCTGGCTCTGCCTGGGACATCCACCTCACAGAGGCACCACAGTTCCAAGCGACGCCTGAAGAATCCTGTCCCTTGCAGTGTCCCAAGAGCATCTTCCTGAGCATCTAATCTGATCCCTGTAACAATCCTGGGTGCTAGGCAGTGGCTTTATCTTCCACTGAGAGATAAGGAAATGAGACTCAGGGTAGTGAAATCAGACCCTGGACAGCAGCAGTGGCAATGAGGACTATGGAAAGGGAGGCTGGTGAACCCAAGCTCCATGTTGTTGCAGAGTCTGGGGCAATTTTTCTGATACTCTAAATGACAATATAAGCTGGTGACCAAGGGTTTGGAGTGAAAAAAAAAAACCAACCAACCAACTCAGATTCTGGTCCCTATTCTGTTACTTACCAGTTGGGTGATCTTGGGCAAGTTACCTAACATCTCTGGGCCTCCCTGTCTTCTTCTGTAGAGATAATAATAGCTTCTACCTAGAGGATCACTGCAATGATTGAATGAGATAATAGACGCCAGGCACACAACAGTGCAAGGCACATAAACATTCCATAAATGGTGACTCTGATTATATCCTAACTCTCTAATGGGGATCCAAGTGCCTGGGAGAGAAGGGATGGGTTAAGAGAAAAGTTCTACACCCCTTGCAAGGTGCAAGATAAAGAGAATGTGGTCAGGGATGCTGACTTGTGTGAGCTCGGCCTATGCAATCTGAAAGGCTATAGGGTGACAGCTTGTCAGGAGGAGGTGTTGGAAGGTCAGGTCAAAGGCTAGCCTGGGGTCAGAGGTGGGTGACTCACATATTTCCAGCCCAAAGTGGTCTTGCAGTTCTCGCAGTGGATGTCGGCGACAGCATGGAGGCCGGTCAGCAGCACCCGCTCCTCGGCTGGCCCGCAGCCCACGTTCACCCTGTGGGGACATGGGGTAGTCCCAGGGAGGGTCCTGCCATCACAGGGCCCACCCCCTCAAGCACTGTGTCTGTCCTCAGCATCCAAGAAATGATGCTCACAATTTCCTGCCTGCACCGGGGAACTCTGGGAGTCTCAGCAGGATGCCAGGGGTCACAGGTCACAACAGAGGTCAGGGAAAGCAAGAAGGGAGGCCAGATACTCACACTGAGTTGAAGAGGTAGGCACGCCCCTGACTGCCCTGGAAGGACTAAAGGGTGAGAGGGTGGGAAGAGAGGAGGGGGTCAGGGCTGCCGGTGGGGAGCTGCCAGGCAGCCCCTATAGGTTCCAGCCCCACTGTGGCCTGGTTGGTTACCTTGGAGATGAGGTCGTCGTGGTTGGCCAGGTGAGCGCGGCAGTGGGCACAGCTATACCTCCGGTGACAATCATCCAAGTAGGCCTGAAACGTCTTGGGCTTTGAAATCCGCACCATGGCGGGGGCCGGGGGCAGTGGCCCCACGCGGGGAGCGGCCCACGGGGAGCAGAGGGAGCCCAGTGCCTGCCGGGGAGGGAGTAGGTGGGCTGTCAGGACCTGGGCCACACACATGCGAGGCACTCCCAGAGCCGTGGGGACTCGCTCTGTCACACTGGGCTGCTCTCTCCTTTCCCCAGAGCCAGCAGCCTCTCCGGGGACCAGAGGCGTCTCGGTTTTGACTCAGTGAGGAGGCCTCAGGTTGCATCCATGGGGAAACTGAGGCTCGGAGGTGCCCAGGGTGAGTCACCCGCCTGCTTCCGGCCTCACCCTTGCTGACCTGGCAGCTGAAGCTGGAGGAAGGGGCTTTGGAGGGGCTGGGCTGTCAGTTCCCAGTTTCGGGGGAGCATGGGCGGGTAGGCACTGGTTGGTCCTTGCGACCTCATCTGGAGAGCAGTGGGGTTCACTGGTGGTTTAGGGGGTTCATCGGGGAGAGGGTCCCCCACCTGGAGGAGGTAGGAGGCCTCGCCGTGAAGGTTGAGGGTCACCTAGGAGGGGAGGGGCTCTCACCTGCGGGCGCCAAGGCCTCCTCTACGCTCAGGGGCTCTTACCTGCAACGCGGAGCCTTACCTGGACTCCGGGGCTCACCTGGGGCGCGGGGGTGGGGGCGGGCGCCGGGGGAGGGGGCAGTCCTCGCGGGCTGGGCAGGGGCGCGGGGCGACACGCAGCCCTGACGGCGCGGGCCTCACCTCGCCTGGGCGCGCGGGGCCCGGTCCGCCGGGGTGGGCTGGCCTGGGAGTGGGGGGCGCTCCTGGCGGGCGCCGTCCCCCCCGGGCCCGGGTTCGCAGGCGCCTGGACTTGTTTACACCGAGCCCAGCTGCTGCCGCCGCTGCGGCGGGAGGGGGAGGGGACCCGCCTCCTGTCCCGGCGGCCGCCGTGGCCAATGGGCGCTCCGCATGCAAATGAGGGGGCGCGTCACACGGCGGCCGGCGCAGGCCCCGACCGCCCCTCCCCCGCCGCCCGCTCCCGCCGGCCCGGAAATGCGGCTGCGGCCCGCGCGCCCCAGGCCTGCTCGCATTCCTGCTTGTGGCCCGCGCAGGGGCGGGGTCGGAAGGTCTAGGCCGGGCGCGGAGCGAGGAAGCGGGTGGCGCTGGGACGCATGCTCTGGGGGAGATGAGTATAATGACCCGCGTTTGTCCGCCGCCCGTGCCCCGCTCAATCCCCGCATCAATCCCGTGAGGCCGTTTCTCCCGTTGGCTCCACTGTACCGGGGGCTGAGGCCCAGGGAGGTCTCGCGGCTCCCTAGGTTATCCAGCTAGTAAGAGGCGAAGCTGGAATTCTCACTGTGGGCCCATTCCATGGCTTTTGCCAGAGCGCCAGGGACACACTCAGTTCACCTTCTAGCAGGGAAGACCCAAAGATGCGCGCCCCTGGCAGCCAGGGCGTCGGACCAGGCAATTCCTACTGTCCAGCATCACCTCCTCCAGGCCTCTCGGATGCCTCTGTTGGGACAGCTAAGTTCCTCTTCAAAGACTCAATTTCCTGGTCATAAGCTGTAAACAGATTCTACTCCCGCTTTTTCTTCTTTGTCGCACGTCTACCCTATTTGGGAAAGTTTAAACCTTAGCCAATCGGGATCAGCTCAGATTGTGCGGTCCAACCCCCCAGCCAATGGGGAAAGGACACAGAAACAGGAACTGCGTTAGGGTTAAAAACCACTTCCCTCCTTTGTTGGCGGGTGCTCTTGGGATTGCAACCAGCGCAAGCAGCACCCTTCTGCAGAAGTAAAGATGCCTTGCTGGGAAGTCTTCTGTCTCAGTGCTGGTTTTTCTTGACTACACTGAGCACTTGTTTTCAACAAATTTGAGGGTCTTCTGGGATCCCATTCTCCTTTGGGAGGGGTAGCGATTACTTTTCCTCGTGAGACACGTCCCACTGCCTTGTTGCAGTGGCCCAAGGAGCGGAGGATCGGGTCCACCCAAAGTGAGGAATAAATCCGGACTTTCAGCAACGTGGGCAGGAAGGAGCCTTAAAATTCCCAGGCAAGTGGGTAACTCTGTGCACAGACCAAGGTAAGAAAAGTTGCTACTGGGGCGACAAAGTATTTCCTTGGTGGTTGGGGTCACTTGGAGGTTGAAAGTGCATGGCTGAGACATGTCAGTGGACACGAATCGAGTGTGGAGTCCAGACTTGGTTCCATGGTCACCTCATAAGGCTTAGGGCGGTTTTCCAGTCGGGGATTATACCGACCCGCTAATGCTAAGAGGGGCCTGAAATTCCCACGAGGGAAGCGGCCAAAAAGTACGAAGCGATTATTCATATGAGTGCAAGAAACCTCCAATGGGAAAAGGGAGAGGTTAAGCCCCTAGGAAATGGGCACCAACCTCCAGAATGGGAAATACCCCAAGTAAGACAGGGAGTACAAAAGGCCAAGCAGACAATAAAATTCCCCCTGACAGTCCTCTGGGCCTTATGTTAGAGTACTGGAGGTATAATGAAAGAACCATGTAACACAAGGAAAGACAGTGAATGATAAAATATTGCTGTTTTATTTGGACCAAAGAACCTATCCTCAGACCCTCAGTCTTTTGGCCAAAGTTTGGATCAGACGAGGATTGGATATGCCAACTCTTAATCCAGTATGTTAATAAAAAAAGTCCAGTCTCTCAAGAGGAAATAGATTATGCTCTGTGTTGGAGACAGGAACATGTCCTTCCCTTTCCCTTAAAGGATGACGTAAAAGAGAAACCAAACTCAGTACCCTCCTAGGACAACCCAGTTAAGTCAGATTCTACATCTAAAGATGCCAATGTATAGGATCCCCTAGACCATCTTCCCCCGCCTACCCCACCTCAGGCTAATCACTCAGTCCCTCCCCCACATAACCCTGCCCTGTGGGCCTTGTGGCCCCACATCCCCATTGAGCAGCCACCCGAACATGTCCTTTCCTCAGGAAAACTCCAGCACGAGATGGAACAATGCCGGAGGGATATTCAGAACTTTCCTTTTCCCTCTTCCTCAAAGGGGTCTGCCCCAACCCCTTTTCCCTTAAGTACCACTGGGAGGAGGGGGTATTGGTTTCGTAAATGCCCCCTTAACTAGTTCAGAGGTTAGAAATCTGAAAAAGGAACTCAAACCATTATCAGATGATCCTTTTGGAGTCACAGATCAAATTGAACAATTTTTAGGGCCGCAATTGTATACTTGGGCTGAATTAATGTCCATCTTAGGTATTCTCTTCTCAGGGGAGGAAAGAACCATGATCCGCAGGGCTGCTATGATAGTCTGGGAATGTGAACACCCTCTTGGTCAAAACATCCCTGCAGCAGAGCAGAAATTCCCAGCCCAGGACCCTCAGTGGAATAGGAACAATGCAGCCCACTGAGAAAACATGAAAGACCTCAGGGATATGATAATTAAAGGGATTCAGGAATTGGTGCCTCAAACCCAAAATATTTCTCGAGCATTTAATGTACACCAAGAAAAAGATGAAGGGCCCATGGAATTTTTAAAGACACTTAAGGAGCAAATAAGAAAATATTCAGGCTTAGACATAGAGGACCCACTTGGACAAGGGATGTTAAAGCTCTATTTTATCACCAACAGTCGGCCGGACATTAGAAAGAAATTACAAAAGATAGAAAATTGGCAAGACTGCTCCATAGAGGAACTTTTAATTAAGAGAGGCTCAAAGGCCGGGCATGGTGGCTCAAGCCTGTAATCCCAGCACTTTGGGAGGCCGAGGTGGGTGGATCATGAGGTCAGGAGATCGAGACCATCCTGGCTAACACGGTGAAATCCTGTTTCTACTAAAAAAATACAAAAAATTAGCCGGGCGTGGTGGCGGGCGCCTGTAGTGCCAGCTGCTCAGGAGGCTTAGGCAGGAAAATGGTGTGAACCTGGCAGGTGGAGCTTGCAGTGAGCTGAGATCACGCCATTGCACTCCAGCCTGAGAGACAGAGCAAGACTCCGTCTCAAAAAAAAAAAAAAAAAAGAAAGAAAGTGATTAACTCTGATTTGGGTTCCACCGTCAGATTTATTTATTGATTTATTGATTTATTTATTAAAAAAAAATTCCCAGGGAAGTGGTCAGGAGAAAACGATACCCTATTCCCTTAGAAGCTAGAATGGCTCTAAAACCTATAATTGAGGGCCTCGTCCATGACGGACCCCTTGAACCCTGTATGTCCCCTTATAACACTCCAATATTGCCTGTAAGAAAGTCAGATGGGTCATACCGGCTAGTAGAAGACCTCTGGGCTGTTAATCAAACAGCTCAAACTACCCACCCTGTTGTTCCCAACCCTTACACTATTATCAGCAAAATCCCATATGATCACCAGTGGTTCACAATGATAGATTTGAAAGATGCCAGCTGGGCACGGTGGCTCACACCTGTAATCCTAGCACTTTGGGAGGCTGAGGCGGGCAGACTGCCCGAACTCAGGAGTTTGCAACCAGCCTGGGCAACACGGTGAAACCCCGTCTCTACTAAAATACACACACACACACACACACACACACACACACACACACACACGCCAGGCATGGCAGCATGTGCCTATAATCCCAGCTACTCAGGAGGCTGAGGCAGGAGAGTTGCTTGAACCCAGGAGGCTGAGGTTGCAGTTAGCCGAGATCGTGCCACTGCACTCCAGCCTGGCAACAGAGCCAGGCTCTGTCTCAAAAAATAAATAAAATAAAAAATAAAAAAAGAAAGATGGCTTTTGGGCTTGCCCTTTAGCGGAAGACAGCCGGGACATGTTTGCTTTTGAGTGGGAGGACCCTCACTTAGGTCGAAAACAGCAGTACCAGTGGACAGTCCTACCCCAGGGGTTTACAGACTCCCCAAATCTATTCGGTCAAATTTTAGAACAAGTCCTAGAAAACTTTTCCCTTCCTTCATCCATATGCCTACTCGAATAGGCAGATGACCTGTTCATTTCAGGAAATAGCAAGGACCACATAACCACAGTTTCAATTAACTTCCTGAATTTCCTAAGGGAACAAGGGTTACGGGTCTCAAGGAGTAAAATTCAGTTTGTAGAACCTGAGGTAAAATATCTAGGACACCTAATCAGTAAAGGCAAACGGAAAATAGTACCTGAACGAATTGAAGGTGTCACATCTCTACCTTTGCCTGAAACAAAGCAGGAACTTAGAAAATTCTTGGGATTAGTTGGATACTGTCGTCTATGGATTGACTCTTATGCCTGAAAAACAAAATCTCTACATAAAAAACTCACCCAAGAAGGACCAGACCCCCTTCTTTGGACCCTATCAGAAGTCCAACAAGTAGAAGAGTTAAAACACCTACTTGTAACTGCCCCCGTTATAGCTTTGCCCTCCTTAGCCATTCCACCTTTTCATCAGTGTAAACAAGGGGTTGGCTTTAGGGGTACTCACCCAAAGACACAGAGGCCACTGGCAGCCCATAGCCTTCCTGTCAAAAGTTCTTGACCCAGTAACCCACCGATGGCCCGAATGTGCCCAGTCTGTAGCAGCAACTGCTTTGCTAATGGAACGAAGCAGGAAAATAACCTTTGGGGGAAGCCTCATTGTATGTACCCTTCATCACGTTAGAACCATTCTTAATCAGAAGGCAGGAAGATAGCTCACTGACTCAAGGATTTTAAAATGTGAGGCTATCGGGTGGGTGTGGTGGCTCACGCCTGTAATTCCAGCACTTTGGGAGGCTGAGGTGGGCAGATCACAAGGTCAGGAGTTTGAGACCAGAGTGCCCAGCATGGTGAAACCCCCTCTCTACTAAAAATACAAAAAATTAGCCAGGCATGGTGGCGCACGCCTGTAATCCCAGCTACTTGGGAGGCTGACGCAGGAGAATTGCTTGAACCCCGGAGGCGGAGGTTGCACTGAGCCGAGATCAGCCACTGCACTTCAGCCTGGGCAACAGAACGAGACTCCATCCTCCACCCACCCCCCAAAAAAATTGAGGCTATCTTATTAGAGAGGGATGATTTAACATTGACCACTGGTAGTTCGCTCAACTCCGATGTTTTCCTAACAGGAAATCCGAACCGGGAGGAACCTGAGCATAAATGTTTAGATCTGATCAGTTATCAGACTAGAGTCAGACTGCATCTAAGCAAGACCCTGTTCCAAACTGGGCATTACCTCTTTATAGACGGCTCCTCTCGGGTAATTGAAGGAAGGAGGCATAACGGGTGCTCTGTAGTTGACAGGGAAACCCTCATGGAGGTAGAGTCAGGGAGACGGCCCAATAACTGGTTCACTCAAACATGTGAACTCTTTGCATTAAATCAGGCCTTAAAATCTCTGCAAAATCAGGAAGGAACTATTTACACTGACTCCAAGTATTTTGGAGTAGTCCATACCTTTGGAAAGATCTGGACTGAACGAGGCCTCATTAATAGTAAGGGCCAGGACCTTGTCTATAAAGAATTGATTATGCAAGTACTAGAAAATCTTCAACTGCCAGAAGAAATAGTGGTGGTCCACGTCCCAGGACACCAGAAAAACCCATCTTTTGAAAACCGGGGAAATAACCTCACAGATCAAGTAGCCAAGCAAGTTGCCTCTTCCTGAGAGGCACCCATTTTCCATCTGACCCCTTGCCTTCCCCTCCAGTCGCAATCCCCATCTTCTCCGACGCGGACCAAGAAAAGTTAAAAAGAATAGGAGCTAAGGAAAGCTCAGAGGGAAGGTGGGTATTACCAGACGGGAGGGAAATGCTGTCTAAACCTCTTATGAGGGAAATATTATCACAGCTTTATCAAGAAACTCACTGGGGTCCCCAAGCTATGTGTGACACAGTCCTCAAAGCCTATGGGTATATAGGAATCTCTACCCTCGCTAGTCAGGTGGCGGATAGTTGCCTAGTGTGCAAAAAAACTAATAAAACCCGAAGGAAGCAGCCTTTACTTTATCAAGGGAACCACCCCTATAATTGCCAATCCAACCAGTGCAACCCAGTACTTACCTCTATTACTACCCCTACCTCCACCGACCCTAACTCCACTCTAGGTTGCTTCTATGGCTTAGGAGCCGATGTTACTGGAAGGGACCCTATAGGCTTCTTTGAAATATGTTTTGTTCACCCTTCTCCACCTCCTACCGTCTCCCCCTCCCCAAGCCCACCAAATCAAACCATTCCTCACCTCTTACCCAATGACAAAACCAAAGTAGCTATAGTAGAAGTCAAGGACTTAAAGCAAACCCTAGCCATTGAGACCGGGTATCAAGATGCAAATGCCTGGCTGGAATGGATTAAATATTCTTTTCGCACCCTGAATAAAAGCGATTGTTACTCTTGTGCAGCGGGCAGGCCGGAAACCCAGATTGTCCCCTTTCCACTCAGATGGGCCAACCAACCAGGCATGGACTGTATGGTAGCTCTCTTCCAGCACACCACAGCCTGGGGAAACAAGACGTGCGCCACTCTTTCACTACGTTTCCCAAAGATCAGGAGCCCTACGGGTCAGCTCCCAAGGACCATTTGACTTCCACCTCTCAATGCCAGTTACACCTTGTGTCTCCCACAACAGGACAAATTGACGTTCCTTGGAAATCTAATGGGAGTCTAAACCTTTTCAAGAGCTAACCAATCAGTCAGCCCTTGTCTATCCCCGAGCAGATGTATGGTGGTATTGTGGACTGTTACTGGGTACGCTGCCAAGCAATTGGAGCAGCACTTTTGCTCTAATCCAGTTGGCCATCCCTTTCACCTTGGCATTTCATCAACCAGACAGGAAGCAAGTAACCCAAAGAAAAAGAGAAGCCCCTCGTGGGCCTTTGACCCCCATGTTTACATAGACAGTAGCAGGGTCCCACGGGAGCTACCAAGTGAATTTAAAGCTTGGAATCAAATAGCCGCTGGGTTTAAGTCTGTTTTGTTCTGGTGGTCTGCTATAAATAAAAATGTAGACTGGATAAATTATATATACTACAGCGAGCAGCGATTCGTCAGTTATACCAGGGATGCCATCAAAGGAATAGCTGAACAATTAGGCCCCACCAGCCAGATGACCTGGGAAAATAGACTAGCCCTTGACATGATATTGGCAGGAAAAGGCAGAGTCTGTGTCATGATCTGAGTCCAATGTTGTACTTTTATCCCTAATAATACAGCCGCCGACGGGACCATCACAAAAGCTTTACAAGGCCTTACCACCCTGGCAAATGAATTAGCCGAAAATTCTGGACTAGATAACCCTTTTATGGGTCTCATGGAAAAGTGGTTTGGAAAATGGAAAGGACTCCTGGCTTCAATCTTTACCTCTCTTGCAATTGTAACAAGTGTACTTATCCTTGTGGGCTGCCGCATCATACCTTGTATTCGTGGGTTAACTCAAAGGCTCATAGAAACAGCCCTCACTAAAGCCTTCCTCTCTTCTCTCCCTCCATACTTGGACAAGCTCTTGCTCCTGGATAATCAAGAAGAACAACGAAGCCAAATCCTGTTAAAATTTTTTGCAGAGGAAGAAGTATCAAATAGAAGAGAGGAAATTGTTGGGACAGCTAAGCTCTTCAAAGACTCAACTTCCTGGTCATAAACTTCTCCCCGTTTTTCTTCTTTTTCGCCAGTCTACCCTGTTTGGGAAAGTTTAAACCTTAGCCAGTCGGGATCAGCTCAGATTGTGCAGTCCATCCCCAGTCAATGGGGAAAGGACACAGAAACAGGAACTGCGTTAGGGTTAAAAAGCCCTTCTCTCCTTTGTTTGGGGTGCTCTTGCGATTACAAGCTGCGCAAGTAGCACCGTTCTGAAGTAAAGATGCCTTGCTGGGAAATCTGTCTCAGTGCTGGTTTTTCTTGACTACACTGAGCACTTGTTTCCAACACCCCTGTGCTCCAGGCTGGGTTAGGTCTGATCTCAGGGAATGTCTGTTTCAACACGTGTCTGCAGTTCTTTGGCTTGTGTTGCTCACTGCAGTGGGCCCAGCCTGGTCTAGAGGAGGCGCTCAGGAAGTATCTGTGAAATGTGAATGTGTAGTTCCTTCAGTGAATATGGCCCTGGGGCTGAAGATGGCAGAAGCATTCTGGGAGCTTCTGGAGAAGGAGACCTGGGAGGAGAAGGTTGGAATGGCGGGGGCAGCAGAGGGGCTGGGTGAACTCAGCTGTCCCACCCAGGCCCATCCTCTGCAGCCCGAGAAGGAAGCTCACAGGGCAAGACATGGAAGAGATCAAGTTCCCTGCCCGGTGCCTGGGCTGTTGATGGCCTCAGGAAAATGGAACCATTACCTGTTGCTGTCAAGTGGCTGGGGGCCAGGATGCCTGGGTTGGCCGTGAGAGGACATTGCTGAGGAGAGTGGAGGCCAGGCTGGGGTGGGGTGTGGCAGGAGGACAGGAATGCAGTGGAACCAGTGGGTCAGGCTCCTGAGGGCCCCAGGCTCCAGCCTCAGGGCTGGCCTGTTCCCTCCTAAGCTGCCATCTTCATATCTTCAGGACCCACCCCTCTACTCCTCACCCTCAGCACAACGATGTGATCGAAAGGCAAATATTTATTTTTCAGGAAGAGAAACAGGAGACCTCGAGGCTTCTGGACTTAGGAGGTCCGGGCAGCTGGTCCATGGTTGTCCAGGTAGTGCCGCAGGGCTGTGGGATAATCCGTTATGACGCCAGTGGCTCCCACGCTGAAGGCTGCTTCAAAATCCGACTCTTCATTAAGGCACCAAAAGACCACCTGAGCAGGGAGGGAGGGGGCCTGTAGATTCTGAACAATTTTACATCTGGAGAGTGGGGACCCACCTCCTCCTCTATGGAGACTCCCCAGCAGCAGTAGGCTGGAGCTGATTGTTAAATTCTCAGGAATTTTGCAAAGTGGTTATTAAACCCAGCCATTATTAAAAATTAAATCATAGCCTGGGTGCAGTGGCTCACGCCTGTAATATCAACACTTTGGGACGCCGAGGCAGGAGTTGAGGCCAGGTGTTTAAGATCGAGTGAGACCTCATCTCTACAAAAAACTTTGTAAAAATTAATTAGCCCGGTGTGGTGGTATGCGCCTGTGCTCCCAGCTACTTGGAAGACTGAGGTGAAAGAATTGCTTGAGCCCAGGACTCTAAGGCTGCAGTGAGCTATGGTTGCACCACTGTACTCCAGCCTGGGCGATACAACAAGACCTCGTCTCAAAAAAAAAAAAAAAATTATATATACTGACAATTAAATTATTTATTTATTTATTTATTTATTTTTTGAGATGGAGTCTTGGTTTGTCACCCGGGCTGGAGTACAGTGGCATGAACTCGGCTCACTGCAAGCTCTGCCTCCCGGGTTCACACCATTCTCCTGTCTCAGCCTCCTGAGTAGCTGGGACTACAGATGTCCGCCACCACGCCCAGCTAATTTTTCTGTTTTTAGTAGAGATGGGGTTTCACCATGTTAGCCAGGATGGTCTCGATCTCCTAACCTCGTGATCCACCCGCCTCGGCCTCCCAAAGTGCTGGGATTACAGGTGTGAGCCACCGCGCCCGGCCCTAAATAAATTATTAAAACAACAAGTGGCCAGGCGTAGTGGCTCACGCCTGTAATCCCAGCACTTTGGGAGGCCGAGGCAGGCAGATCAACTAAGGTCAGGAGTTCGAGACCAGCCTGGCCAACATGGTGAAATCCCATCTCTACTAAAAACAGAAAAATTAGCTGGGCGTGGTGGCGGGCGACTGTAATCCCAGCTACTCAGAAGGCTGAGGCAGGAGAATCGCTTGAACCCAGGAGGTGGAGGTTGCAGTGAGCTGAGATCACGCCATTGCACTCTAGCCTGGGCAACAGAGCAAGACTCTGTCTCAAAAAACAAAACAAAACAAAAAACAAAACCCAAAACAAACAAAAATCCAGTAATAAATATTCAAAGCATATCTCTTGCTAATCAGTTTCCTATTACTGTGTTCTTGAAGTGATTAAGTCTGTTGAGGCTGCAAGATGGAAATACTACATGATGGGGTGCCACCATGCATCTCTTCCCATTCTGCATTTAGTGGCTTCATGTCGGCAGCCTGAAACTGGCCAAGATGGGAGTATTTAAACCAGGAAAATTAATCCTCAAATCAGGGCTTTCATTTGTTCCTCTCTGAGAGCTAGTTGTTGACCACTTAACAGCACCACCCTCCCCCAAACCCCCATTCCACTGCCACCTGCCCCAGCTCCTGCAGCTCTGCCCCTTCCCTGCCCGTTGAGTGGGCACTGAGGTAGGCGGAGATGGGAATTTTTTATTTAAAAATACAGATGAGACGAGGTCTCTCTGTATTGCCAACACTGGAGTGCAGTGGTGTAATCACAGCCCACTGTAGCCTTGACCTCCTGGGCTCAAGTGATCCTCCCACCTCAGCCTCCTAACTAGCTGGGACTACAGGCATGCACTACCATGCCCAGTTAATATTTTATTTATTTATTTATTTATTTTTGAGACAGTCTTGCTCTGTCGCCCAGGCTGGAGTGCAGTGGCGTGATCTCGGCTCACTATAGCCTCCAGCTCCTGGGTTCAAGTGATTCTCGTGCTTGAGCCTCCCAAGTAGAGCTGGGATTACAGGCATGCGCCACCATACCCGGATAATGTTTACATTTTTAGTAGAGATGGGGTTTCACAATGTTGGCCAGGCTGGTCTCGAACTCCTGACCTTAGTTGATCCGCTGGCCTTGGCCTCCCAAAGTGCTGGGATTGCAGGCATGAGCCACTGCACCCTGCCTCTGCATTTTTCTTTTCTTTCCCTTTTCCTTTCCTTTTTCCTGTTTCCCTCCCTCTCCTCCCTCTCCCTGTCTCTGGCTCTCACGCTCTTTCCTCTCTCTCTTTTGAGACAGTCTGGCTATCTCTCCCAGGCTGGAGTGTGGAGTGCAGTGGCGTGATTCTGATTATAGCTCACTGCACCCTCGAAACCCCGTGCTCAGGTGATCCTCCCATCTCAGCCTCCTGAGTGGCTGGGACTACAGGTGTAAACCACTGCGCTTGGCTAATTTTTAAATTTTTTGTAGAGACGAGGGTCTCAGTATGTTGCCCAGGCTGGTCTTAAACTCCTGGGCTCAAGTGATCCTCCCACCTTGGCCTCTCAAAGGGCTGGGATTACAGGTGGGAGCCGTGCCCAGCCTCTGCCTATGGCATTTCTTCCCTGTACCCTTGATGGGAAGCTCCCACCCCTAGTACCATAGTGCCTGGAACATTCTCAAGGATCGTTTACTAATTAAATGATCTGGTGGAAGCCAATGCTCAGGGGAGAGGGGGGTGGGCTGGGCCTGGTTTCTCCCATCTCTCATCTTTCCCCAGCCCCCTCTCATCAGGGATCATGATACATCATTGTTGTCATCATAATGGCTAACATTTATCAAGCCCTTAATAAGTACTAGTTACATATCCATATGTTGGCAATGTCAGGTTAAGAAAATATGTGCGTGGCCAGGCGTGGTGGCTCACACCTGTAATCCCAGCACTTTGGGAGGCTGAGGCAGGTGGATCACTTGAGGCCAGGAGTTCGAGACCAGCCTGGCCAACATGGTGCAACCCCGTCTCTACTAAAAACACAAAAATTAGCCAAGCATGGTGGCAGGCACCTGTAGTCCCAGCTACTGGGGAGGCTGAAGCAGGAGAATCGCTTGAACCCGGGAGGTGGAGGTTGCAGTGAGCCGAGATTGCACCACTGCACTCCAGCCTGGGTGACAGAGTGAGACTCTTGACACACACACACACACACACACACACACACAGAAGAAGAAAATTGTGTGTGTTCGTGTGTGTGTGTGTGTGTATCCAGAGAGTTAAATATACCATTTTCCCATTTTAGGGACGAAGAAACTGAGGTGAGGTCACCTGCCCGAGTGATGCAGCTAGTTGGCAGCAGAGTGGGACCGGAACCCTGCTGCCAGGTCTGTGTGCGGTGGAAGTGGTGGTCACGGCCTCACCTGCACCCCTCGCTCCTCCAAGTGTCGGATCAGACTCTTCCTCATGATCAGCCTGGGGGTGGGGTGGGGACGTGGGAGGTGATGATGAGAGGGGACCTGGGAGAAGGGCAGCAGTAGGTCTCTATGGGGACACGCCACCCAGCCATCTTGCCCACCTCACCATTTCGAAACCACAGCCAATAACTGGTTCAGGCAAGAGCAGGAAAATGGGAAATAGGTCCTGCAGAGAGAAGGAAGTGGGGGTTAGCTCCTAGGGTCTCCCCTGTCCCAGAGGTGGGGTGGGCTGGTAGTGCCCCCGCCAACTAGGGTAGCGCTGCCCTCCCACCCCCCAGAATCCCCCAGAATAACCTTTGTAGTTGCCCCAGTGAACAATTCACCCATTGTTCAGAGAGCCTACTCTGACCACCACGCTTCAAGGGTGTGGCCCTCCAGTCACCATTCACCAGATAAGGAATCTGGGCCTTAGAGAACGAAAGGGACTTGCCAGACCCAAAGCAGAGTGGTGGTGGGGCTGGGCCAGGGCCTCGCTTGGTTCCAAAGCTGGACATCCAGGCTGCAGGCCCTCCTGGTTGGGCCTGGCCAGCTTCTTATTTATCTATTTATCTTATTATTAATTTAAATTAATTTTTTTTTTTTTGAGACAGAGTCTTGCTCTGTCGCCCAGGCTGGAGTGCCGTGGTGCGATCACAGCTCACTGCAAGCTCCGCCTCCTGGGTTCACACCATTCTCCTGCCTCAGCCTCTTGAGTAGCTGGGACTACAGGTGCCCGCCACCACGCCTGCTAATTTTTTGTATTTTTAGTAGAGACAGGGTTTCACCCTGTTAGCCAGGATGGTCTCGATCTCCTGACTTTGTGATCCGCCCGCCTTGGCCTCCCAAAGTGCTGGGATTACAGGCGTGAGCCACCGTGCCCGGCCATTAAAAAATTTTTGTAGAGACATGTCTCACTATGTTGCCCAGGCTGGTCTTGAACTCCTGGACTCAAGCAATCCTCCCGCTTCAGCCTCCCAAAAGTGCCAGGATAATAAGCACGAGCCAGCCAAGTGTGGTGGCTCACACCTGTAATCGCAGCACTTTGAAAGTCTGAGGTGGGAGGAGACCAGCGTGGCCAACATGGCGAAACGCCGTCTCTACTAAAAATACAAAAATTAGCCGGGCGTGGTGGCAGACCCTGTAGTCCCAGCCACTTGGGAGGCTGAGGCAGGAGAATTGCTTGAACCCAGGAGGCGGAGGTTTCAGTGAGCCAAGATCGCACTACTGCACTCCAGCCTGGGCCACAGAGTGAGACTCCTTCTCAAAAACAAAAAACAATGGCCGGGCGCGGTGGTTCACGCCTGTAATCCCAACACTTTGGGAGGCCGAGGCGGGTGGATCACCTGAGGTCCGGAGTTCAAGACCACCCTGACCAACATGGAGAAACCCTGTGTCTACTAAAAATACAAAATTAGCCAGGATGGTGGTGCATGCCTGTAATGCCAGCTACTTGGGAGGCTGAAGCAGGAGAATCGCTTGAATCTGGGAGGCGGAGGTTGCGGTGAGCCAAGATGGCACCATTGCACTCCAGCCTGGGCAAAAAGAGCAAAACTCCGTCTCAAAAACAAACAAACAAACAAAAAACCCACAAAAAACCTCGTGAGCCACTGTGCCCATTGGCCAGCTTCTTGAGACCAGACAGCACTTAGTGGGACGACCCCTAATTATCCCACTCCAGGGGTGACTTTAGAGACCCTTGACAGTGTCCTAGGGCAGGCTCTGGAGTCAGACCCAGGGAAAACCTAAGCTCTGGATTTCCAGCTGTGTGTCCTTGGGCAAATTACAGAACCTCTCTGGGCCTCAGATTCTCTAGGGTACCATGGGAGTCATGATTCTTATACCTCCTGGGGGTGCTGCAAGGTAAAAGTCAACCCAAAATATGTTAAAACACTTTATAAATCTTGTATAAGGCCGGGCGCAGTGGGTCACGCCTGTAATCCCAGCACTTTGGGAGGCCGAGGCAGGCGGATCATGAGGTCAGATTACCATCCTGGCTAATACGGTGAAACCCCATCTCTACTAAAAACACAAAAAAATTAGCCGGGTGTGGTGGCGGGCGCCTGTAGTCCCAGCTACTCGGGAGGCTGAAGCAGGAGAATGGCGTGAACCAGGGAGGCAGAGCTTGCAGTGAGCCGAGATCACGCCACTGCACTGCAGCCTGGGCAACAGGGGAAGACTCCTCAAAAAACACAAAAAAAATCCGGTATAAAAAGGTGGTACACAAATATCATTGATCTCTTTGTAGCAAGGTATTGTGGGGGCTGAGTGGGACTTCCTTCTGGACAACAGAGGGGAGCAGAGAGCTCTGGGACTACCACAGAGAAGCTGTCAGAAAGCAAAGGGAGACCGGGCCCAGGGGCTCAGGTATGTAATCCCAGCACTTTGGGAGACCAAGGTGGGAGGCTCGCTTGAGCTGAGGAGTTCAAGAGCAGCCTGGTCAACATAGTGAGACCTTGTCTCTACAAATAATTTAACAATTAGCCAGGTGCAGTGTTGCACGCCTATACTCCCAGCTACTTAGGAGGCTGAGGCAGGAGGATCTCCTGAGCCCAGGAGGTCGAGGCGCAGTGAGTCATGATCTGGCCACTGCATTCCAGCCCGAGCAAGACTGTCTCAAAAAAAAAAAAAAAATTGTAAAGCAAAGGGAGGGACTAGGCTTAAGTGCCAGCGAAGTATCCAAATTCCTGATCCTTTCCCCAGCTGTTACTTTGTTAACCCCTGCCTTCCTGCAGAACACTGACTTGGCCTTTTCCTGCTGAGGGTCTGAGACAGCCGTGCTATAATTAATGAACGAATGTCTCCCCAGCCAGACTGTAAGCTCACCAAGGACCTCTCCCCACCCTCACTGGTCTCATTTACACATTATAACTGCACCTGGGACAGAGTAGACATTCAATAAAATATGCTAGATGGCCTGAGATGGATAAATTACCTCTCTATCCTAAAACTCCACATATGCACAGAATTTCAGGGTGTTCACAGTTCCCTTAGTATTCATGAATGCTGGGTAAGAACCACTGTCCTTAAAAGACCTTGGGGGTTATCTCTGAGGGGAGCTGGGGAGCTGGGAAGATCTGGGCTCCTTCTCCACGGAGACCCTAAGCAGTGGGGAGTTTTTCTGAGGTCCGCCCCCCACTGGTACCTGTTGATGATGTTGGGCAGGAAGCAGAAGAAGAACTTCTCAGGGATTGGGATGAAGGGCAGCAGCCCCAGGTAGTAGGAAAGCAGCACCCAGAATCCTCGGCTTATTGTGAAGGACAGGGGCATCTCGGGGTTCTGGGGAGGCAAGGAGAGGCATGAGAATCTGTCTGCTCTGGGGAAGCAGAGAGGAGGCATGAGCTGCAGGGGAGCCGTGGTGGGCATTCCAGAGGCCCTACTACCTGCAGGATCCAAGTCACATCTTGGGGCTGGGTGTGGTGGCTCACGCCTGTAACCTCAGCAGTTTGGGAGGCTGAGGCAGGTGGATCACCTGAGATCAGGAGTTCAAGACCAGCCTGGCTAACATGGTAAAACCCCATCTCTACTAAAAATACAAAAATTAGCTGGGCGTGGTGGCGTGCACCTGTAATCCCAGCTACTCGGGAGGCTGAAGCATGAGAATCGCTTGAACCCAGGAGGCAGAGGTTGCAGTGAGCCGAGGTCGCACCACCGCACTCCAGCCTGGGCGACAGAGAGAGACTGTGTTTCAAAAAAGAAAAAAAACAAAAGTCACATCTTGGCTCTGTGTTCGAGGCCTGAGTTCACACCCTTTTCATTGCCACCGCCACGCCACTGGGAACTCTCCCAGACCCCTCTAGCTCGGGTCCCCATGCTGGGTGGGCTCCAGCTCTGGGGAGGAGGGGCCCCTGGAGGAGGAAGAGGACGGGGGAGGGGTGGGGGGACTCACGGCAGCCTTGCATTTCTTCATGACCGAGCTCTTCTCCGAGGCCCAGATGGTGATTTCATTACGGTCATAGCGTCTCACCAAGCCTGCTATCTGGGAGGAGGAGAAGGAGGTGAAGGGAGAGCCAGGCCTCTCTCACGCCCCCGGTGGCCGCCCTAGCCCTGCCTGCAGCACCACCTCACGGATGAGCTCTTCGTTCTTCCCTTTGATCTCTACGCTCATGGGTGTCCTTGGAAACCTCTGGAACAGGTCCTCCAGACGAACCATGCGCCGGTCTGACCCGTGAGCAAAGTGGCCTGGGGGTGGTGTGGGAAAAGGGGTCAGAGGGAAGCCAAGGCGGAGGTCCAAGGAAGGCAGGCATGGCCCAGGCAGGGCTCGAAGCCCTTGCTCTCACCTGGAGAGAAGTAAACCTCCAGCTTCTCCTTGTAGAGGGGCAGGTCCTGGGGAGGACAGGAAGGATGTCACTAGAGGCCCGCATTGGGCATGGTGACTCTCAGGGTGGGGGTTGGGGTGTCAGGGCAGGGCCCACCTCGAAGTCCAGGCTGCCCACATCCCTGTTTAGGCCCGACTGGCGGCACAGGTTCTCATCATGTGACACCACCACCACTCTGTCCCGTGTCAGCTGACAGTCGAGCTCCAGGAGGTCCGAGCGCTGGGCCATGGAGCTGTGGGGGTGAAGGTCAGCGGGGGGCAGGGGCAGGGGACTGGGATGAGGGGCATGGTGGCTGGGAGGTGGCCGGGAATGTGAGAGCGGAGTTCGTGGCGGGATGTGCAGGCCACCTCCAGGGGGCGCCAGTCACCCAGCTAGGAAGTGAATGGCGTCCCTTGCTGTGATGCAGTCCACGACCTGCACACCCTCACATGGCAGCCTGGGCAGGGGCAGATACACTCACTTCTCCATGGCCTCCATGGTGTTCTCCAGCAGCTCTCCAGATCCTGTGGGGGGCACTGGAGTGGGCCTCTGGGGCTTGGGGTCTAGGGGCCTGGCCCAACCTCATCACCCACATTCCCTCTCTGGGCTCCATCCTCCCTCTGGCCTCACCTCCCCAGCCAGCCCAGGCTGCGCCAGCATCTTCTTCCTCGTCCACACCCTGCCCTGCCACTTCGCTCTCCTTCTCTCTTGGTCCCTGCCCCGTTTCTAGCATGCCCCCTTGGACCTACCCCTCTGTGCTGTCCACTTTGGCACCTGTTCTCACCCCTACCCGGCTCACCTCCTCGGTGGGCCCCCAGGCGGATGCGGAAGGTGGGAGCCCTGGGCGTGTGCAGCAGATGAGGCCGGCGCAGGAAGAAGATGGAGAGCATGGCATAGCTGCCCAGGGCAGGGAGGGCATAGTACAGCAAAAGGCTCATGACCGTACTCCCACAGAAGCTCCTGCAGCCACACGCTCAGCCGTCCGCGGGACTGTGCTGCCTGCCTAGCCAGTGTGGGCCGGCTCTACTACTGGCCACTGCCACGCCCCTGGGACCTGCTGAGCCTGCCGCTGGGCTGGCTTGGAGCCAGGCTGCAGGGTTCGGCTGAAGCTGGGGTAGTGTCAGGAGGTGAGGCAAGTAGCCCTGGCTCTCATATCCCCAGGCCCTTCCCAGCCCCCAGCAGCCCCGTCCTGGGCTACATGAGGGGAGTAAAAACCACCCAGGACTGTCAGGACCTCTCCCTCTCACTGGTACTTGTAGCCAGCGCATCCAACATGCCTACCCCTTGCCATTTCAGAGGATCCAGGGGTGTGTAGGGTGCTCCTGAGTCACCCCGAATCACCCCCAGCCAGTTAGACAGGAAGCCATTAGCGAGAGGACAGGACAGTGACTAAGGGGAAAACTGACCCCCTTCTTTCTAGGAGTCTGGAGCTCTCCAGAGCCCCGTCCCCAGCCCTGGGCAGCTGGGAGTGAAGGGCACCAGGCCCCTGAAAGCCCAAGTCAAGTCTGTCCTCAGAGCCGCACGGGGCAGGGCGGGGGCGTCGCGAACACAGACAGAGCCAGGGTCAGCCATAGACACATCTCTATATTTATATATTAGACGGGTCAGGGAGGTGGCAGGGGCGCCGGGCTCTCCACGCCCCCCAGCTCCACTTCTGCTCACCACACACAGAAGCAGCGAGGGCACGCGAAGTGACAGCTTTGACAGGGAGGGGATTCGGCCCGGCCTGGCTCCTCAGGGATGCTAGCCCTTGAGACTAAGGAATGTTCCTTCAGGGAAACTAGGGTGGGGTTTGAATGAGATGAGGGGGGCAGGCATGGCCCTGAGTCCCTACTCAGCGCCCCCCACCCTCCACCTCTGCCCTTCAGCAGGTTGGGGCAGCCAGAACCCTTCCATTCCAGAACTGCCAGAGACTGGGACGCTGGGGAAGGTAAGGGCGCAGCAGCAGCAGCGGGAGATTGAACTGGGGCCACCTGAGGTCCCGAGGCCCCGTGGGGAGGGCGGGTGGGGAGGAGAAGGCCTTGGCCTGCCTGAAGCTGGAGGCCTCAGCAAAGGAGAGAGGTGGCCAGGCCCATGCTCCACCCCGGCCTGGGCTGCCAAGGTCCGGGCTGGGCACAGTGTCCATTTTCTAACAGTCTGGCGGGAGAGGGGCAGGCAGGAGGCAGGTCCTAAAGAGAGAAGCAGGCAGAAGAGGAGTCGTTAGCACCCCCCGGGCAGACCCACTGGAGCCCTGACCTCAACATCTCTCATTTCACCCTCACAGCTGGATAGGCTGGGTCTCAGTTTCCTTATCTGTAAATGGAGATAATAATAGTACCTAGCTTGAGGTACTGCTGTAAGATTAAAGGAATTAATACATGTAAACCTCTTAGAACAATGCTTAGGGCTTTATGCTTTCATTATTAGAACTGTCTCGGCCGGGCACAGTGGCTCACGCCTATAATCCCAGCACTTTGAGAAGCTGAGGTGGTGGATCGCTTGAGCCCAGGAGTTTGAGACTGGCCTGGGCAACATAGCAAGACCCCAGCTCCACAAAAAAAAAAAAAAAAAATTAGCCGGTTGCAATGGCTCGTCCAGCTAGCTGGGAGGATCCCTTGCACCCAGGAGTTTTGAGGCTGCAGTGAGCTATGATTGCACCACTGCATTCCAGCCTGGGTGACAGAGCGAGACACTGTCTCAAAAAAACAAAACCAAAAAAAAAGATAAATAGATTGACTCCGGAAACTGAGGCGCCGAGAGGTGAGGTGCCTTGCCCAATATCACACAGCACTTACTAAGTGGCACAGCTGGAGTTTGAGCCCAGGTGCGCATGCCTTCTTTCTATCAGGCCACACCTGGCTGAAGACAGGAAGAGACCGGAGGAGGCAAGGAGGCAGCGTGGGTGGGGGCAGGCCAGTGGGGTCCCCACAGCTATGTGAACTGCTGATCTGGCAGCAGGTGTGAGGAGGCCTGGCAATCTGGGTCAGGCTGGGCGCTGCTGGGCCCCTCCCAAAGCAATCATGGCCCCACCTGCTTCTGCCACACCCAGAGCTGAAGCTTGGCTCAGGTCCTCACCTGGGTGACAGAGGCCCTCAGTGACCTCTTGCCTCTTTGCCAGTTCTGTTCCTAGAAGGAGATTAGAATGGCTTGTGGGGCTGGAGGATGCAAGGTGTTGACAGGCAGAGACATTTGGGGCTGGAGGACTCGGTGGGCCACCAGTCTGGGCAGCCTTGGGCATTTTTTTTTTTTTTTTTGAGATGGAGTCTTGCTCTGTAGTCCAGGCTGGAGTGCAGTGGTGCGATCTCGGCTCACTGCAACCTCTGCCTCCTGGGTTCAAGCAATTCTCCTGCCTCAGCCTCCTGAGTAGCTGGGATTATAGGCATGTGCCACCACACCCAGCTCATTTTTGTATTCTTTACAGTAGAGACCGGGTTTCACCATGTTGGCCAGGCTGGTCTCAACTCTTGACCTTGTGATCCACCCACCTCGGCCTCCCAAAGTGCTGGGATTACAGGCATGAGCCACTGTGCCCAGCCCTTTTTTTTTTTTTTTTGAGAGAGTCTCACTGTTGCCCAGGCTGGAGTACAGTGGTGCAACCTCCGCCTCCCAGGTTCAAGCAGTCCTCCCACCACAGCCTCCTGAGTAGCTGGGACTAGAAGCGCATGCCTACGTGCCCGGCTAATTTTTGTATTTTTAGTAGAGACAGGGTTTCACCACGTTGGCCAGGCAGGCTGGTCTCGGACTCCTGACCTCAGGTGATCCACTTGCCTCAGCCTCCCAAAGTGCTGGGATTACCAGAGTGACCCACTGTGCCCGGCTAATTTTTGTATTTTTAGTATAGATGGGATTTCACCATGCAGGCCAGGCTGGTCTCAAACTCCTGACCCTCAGGTGATCCACTCCTCTCAGTCTCAGTCTCCCAAAGTGCTGGGATTCCAGGCATGAGCCACCACACCCAGCCCCCTGGGCACTTCTGTTGTCACCAGACACATTGACCATGGGTGTGGGGTAAGCTTGCTGCTGTATGGAGGCATGTACAGATAGATATAGATATAGATATACAGATATAGATATTTAGTATCAGGGTGTCCATGTGTGGGCCATGGAGACACTCACCAGGCCCCAGGGTGCAGAGATGTCTGTCTGGGCTAGGGGGCCTCCAGCACTCCGGGCTGGAAGCGTGCTGTCTCCTGGAAGATGAGCTCCTTCAGCCGCTCCTTAGGTAGGTCATCCAGCTCCATGGCGAAGGTGAAGGGCTCCTCGGCCACTGGCTGGGGTGGTAGAGACAGCAAGGCTCAGGCCTGGCATGGGGGATGCCTACGTGCCCCCCTGCTCCCCTGCCCCCAGCCCCACTGCTGCTGGGGACTGGCCCACCTCATCCGTCGGGTCATAGTACTGCTCCAGGTAGGGGTGAGCCAGCGCTTCCTCCACTGTGATCCGTTTATTGGGGTTAAAGGTTAACATCCGGTCCAGCAGGTCAAGGGCTATGGAAGGGCAGGAGTCAGGGGTCACAGGGAAGACTGGAGGAGCTCCGAGAAGCATTGCTTTGCCTGTCTCCTCCAGCGGCTGCTGGGCTCACACACCCTCCACGACACCCAAGGTTTATCCCACACCCACCCTCATGTCTCTCGAACCTTTGGAGTCTGACTTGGGGAAAAGCTTGGCCCAAGCCACCTTGGTCTTGGAGGGCAGAGACTGTAGGTAGTTTCGGGCCTTCATGTTGATGATACAATTCAGGTCCTCCTGGGATGGGGAGCCCAGGATGCCTGTGGATAAGGAGGTGACTTGGTAAATGATCACCTCTTTCTTTCTGGGAACAGAATAGGCAACAAGGCAAGAACAAGACCCCCCAGCCCAGCAACCCATGCCAATCCCTCAGTCACCTCCTAGTCATTAGCATGGTGGTGCAGAGCAAGGGGGCTGGGTTCAGGCAGACCGAGGCTCAAATCCTAGGTCTGGTGCCTCCTCAGGTGTGGGACTTAGCCTTGCTTTTCCCATCTATCCAATGGGGATAATATCTATACCTCATTGAGATACCATGAGATGCTGGAGGCACCCCACACGTGGTGGTATCCCTGACTTGGACTCTCGAGAAATCTCACCTCGGAAAAGCTAATCATCCCCAACTCAGCCAGCCGGGCCTCCCTCACCCAGAATGTGGTTGAGCTGATCCAGGTAGTGCTTGCCAGGGAAGATGGGCCGGTTAGAGAGCATCTCAGCCAGAATGCAGCCCACAGACCAGATGTCGATGGACTTGGTATAGCCCTGGGGGAGAGGAGGAAGTGGTGAGCTCCTGGGCCAGCCTCAACAGGGTCCTGTTGTCTGCGCCAGGCCACCACCTCCAAGTTAGATCCAACACCAGGCAGAAGGCAGAGGCCTGGAGGGCTCAATGCTCAGCTTCCTTGCAGAGCCCAAGGCCCAGAGGGTAGAATTCCTGTGTCATGGGGGTCAGTGTCTGGCTCAGAGGTAGCTCCAGGGCTTCCTGGGAACTGGTCCGTTCCTTTCAGGAGTGGGCAGCCCCTCCTACCTTGGAGTTCAGCATGATCTCTGGGGCCCGGTACCAGCGCGTAGCCACATACTCCGTCAGGAAGCCGGTGTGGTCATGCTCAGGATCGGCAATCCGGGCCAGGCCGAAATCACAAATCTGGAATCAGACCTAGCTGCTAAGCTCGGCGCTCAAGGCCTCTGCAGCCTAAGCAGTCACGCCCCCTTGTCTTTGCCTCCACTGTTCCCTTTGCTTGCAATGTTCTCCTGCCCAAGGCTTCTTCTACTGGTCACTGGAAGCCCCAGACCCTGGGGGAGGAGGGGACAGGTGCCCAACCCTCTGACCTTAAGGTCGCAGGTGGTGTTGATGAGCAGGTTGGAGGGCTTTAGATCTCGGTGGAGCACGTTGGCGGAGTGGATGTACTTGAGGCCCCGCAGGATCTGGTAGAGGAAGTAGCAGATATGGTCATTGCTCAGCTGCTGGCTTTTCAGCAACTTGTACAGGTCAGTCTCCATCAGGTCCTGCACAATGTAGCTGAGGATGGTTCCGCAGACCCCCCCAGGCAGGGGGCAGTGGGAGGCACTTGGTTAAGGAAAACAGGCTCTGAAGGCGAGGCTGCACACCTCCTCCAGCCAGGGCCCCTGGGACTCAATAGATCTGCCAACCTGCACCACCAGCTGGGGAAGCTGCTGCCATTACCCAGCGGCAGGGCTCTGAGCCTCTGTTGCATCACAGTTGCTGATCCTGAGCAAGGGGCTTCATTTCTGAGGCCTCAGTTTCCCTACCGGGGAAACGGGGATAATAATAAACTGTGGGAGGCAGGAGAACTTCACAGTTAAGAGCAGCAACTTGGGCCAGGAGTGGTGGCTCACACCTGTAATCCCAGCACTTTGGGAGGCTGAGGCGGGAGGACTGCTTGAGGCCAGGAGTTTGAGACCACCAGCCTGGGCAACATGGCAAAACCCTGTCTCTACTAAAAATAGCAAAATTAACTGGGCACGGCGGCATGTGCCTGTAATCCCAGCTACTCAGGAGGCTGCAGCACGAGAATCACTTGAACCCAGGAGGCAGATGTTGCAGTGAGCCAAGATTGTGTCACTGCACTGCAGCCCGGATGACAGAGTGAGACTCTGTCTCAAAAATAAATAAATTAAAAAAAAAAAAAAACCTACAAAAAGAGCAGCAACTCTGGAGTTAACCCATGGATGTCTGAAATCTCCTCTCTACTACTCACTGGCTTTAGGATCTCAACCTGTCTGTGCCTCAACTTTCTCATCTGGTATGTAGGGGAAATAATGTTTTTTTGTTTGTTTGTTTGTTTTCTTTTTGTGGAGATGGGCTCTTGCTCTGTTGCCCAGGCAGGTCTTGAACTCATGGGTTCAAGTGTTCCTTCCACCTCGGCCTCCCAAAGTGCTGGAAATTACAGGTGCAAGCCATGAAATAATGGTTCTTTTGAGGGTGGTTGTGAAGACTAGATGAGATGGCGCATGTAAAGCTGTCAGCCCAGTGCTTGGCAAGTTGTGAGTGCTAGGCAAACATGAACTATTATTACTAATATGAATGCCTGAGTCACATGGCTGTTGAGGGAGTTAAATGAGATAATGTATGAACACCATCTGGCATGCAATAAATGTTTGCTTAAAAATAAATGCCTGCCTTATGGGAATGGTTTGTGCAAGAAAAATGAGGAGACACTCCCAACAGCACACTCCCACTCAAAGGAGAGTGCTTGGCCATACCTCAGAAGATGGAGGAGTAAAATGTCTTTTTCTATTTGAAGATACAAAAAAGCTTATGCGTAAATAAATAAATAAATCCACAAATGCTGTTTGGCTTGTCTCTAGAAAAATAAGTCAGGGCTGTCTTTTAGAATCTGCCTTGAGACCAGGCATGGTGGCTCATGCCTGTAATCCCAGCTCTTCAGGAGGCCAAGGTGGGTTGATGACCTGAGGTCAGGAGTTTGACGCCAGCCTGGTGAACAGGGCGAAACCCCGCATCTACTGAAAATACAAAAATTAGCCGGGCGTGGTGGCAGGCGCCTGTAGTCCCAGCTACTTGGAAGGCTGAGGCAGGAGAATAGCTTGAACCTGGGAGGTGGAGGTTGCCGTGAGCTGAGATTGAGCCACTGCACTCTAGCCTGGGCAACAGAGGGAGACTCCATCTAAAAACAAACAAACAAAAAACAAAGAAAACAAGAATCAGCCTTGAAAGGGTCTTCAGAGAATATGTGGACCAGCCCTGCTGTTTTAGGGCTGGGGAGGCCCAGCGAGACGCAGTGACTTGCTTCAGATCACACAGCGAGCTGGGGGTGAGCACGGAGATTTCCTGTCCACAGTTTGTGGTGGGGGTTGCAGACACCTCAGTACAAATCCCCACTCTTGGGTGGAGGGCTGGGACTGAGAGTGGGTGGGTGGGGCAGGGAAGAAGTGACAGGTGTCATAAGTTGCTAAGGAGAGCCAGACAGGAAGTGGACAGCAAACTAGGAAAGCAGTATTGGGGGAGGACAGCCAAGGCTAGGCTGTCCCTCCCTGGGCAAGGTGCAAGTCCACAGGTGATTAGGGTGTGGCTCTGAGTGAGAAGTCCTAAGAAGAAGGACAAGTTCCCATCTGGGGGAGGAGAGGAGGAGACAGCAACAGAAACACTTGATTTTAGGTTTTCTGAGCCTTAGCTTCCTCATCTTTTTTTTTTTTTTTTTTTTTGACAGGGTCACGCTCTGTCCCCCAGGCTAGAGTGCAGTAGCACAATCATAGCTCACTGCAGCCTCGAACTCCTAAGCTCAAGCCATCCTCCTGCCTCAGCCTCCCAAGTAGCTGGGACTATAGTCGTGTACCACCAAACCTGGATAATTTTTAAATTTTTTGTAGAGGTGGGGTCTCACTATGCTGCCCAGGCTGGTCTTGAACTCCTGGCCTCCAGTGATCCTCTGGTCTTAGCCTCCCAAAGTGTTGGGACTACAGATGTGAGCCATTGCACTCCACCCCTCATCTTTGAAATGAAGCTGAAAAGCCCATCTCATAGGGTAGTTGGGAGGTGTAATAGAAAAAAAAAAGCATTGGGCATGTATAGTACCTGACACACAGCAGGCCCTCAAGAAAGGCAGTTTTTTGTTTTTGTTTAGTTTTGAGACAGAGTCTCGCTCTGTCACCCAGGCTGGAGTGCAGTGGCACGATCTTGGCTCACTGCAACCTCCAGCTCCTGGGTTCAAGCGATTCTCCTACCTCTGCCTCCCAAGTAGCTGGGATTACAGGCTTGCACCACCATGCCCCGCTAATTTTTTTGTATTTTTAGTAGAGATGGGGTTTAACCATGTTGGCCAGGCTGGTCTCCAACTACTGACCTCAGGTAATCTCCCACCTCAGCCTCCCAAAGTGCTGGGATTACAGGCGTGAGCCACCACGCCCAGCTGACAGTTTTCTTTCTCCCTGTCTCCCTTCCGGTCTGGGCAAGGAGGAAAGAGAGGAAAGAATCATCCATTCCTTAGCAAGAAGTGACTGTGGGCAGAGGCCAGGTCATGTCTCAGAACTGCCGACGTCAGAAGACACCACTCCCATAGAGACCATCCTGCCTAGCCCTTCCCCCTGGGGCACAGAGCAGAGAACCCACTTGCTCGAGGCCATACTGCCTGGGCCGCTGCAGGCCTGGGTTCATCAGAGGTCTCCAAGTCCTGTTACACTGTGGCTTCCCCTCTGCAGGAAAGTTTATTTTACTGGGTTTGTTTTGGAGGGTGGTGGGTAAGATGGAAACAGAAACCAAGCAACGGGTCCCCAGCCCAGCTGCGAGGCCGTGCCTGACCAGCCGACTGGCCAAGGTGAAGGATACACATCTCTCATGGCTTCCAGGGTGGACGCCCGCAGAATGTCTCGGATGCCGATGACATTCTCATGGCGGAAGCGCAGCAGGATCTGGATCTCCCGGAGCGTGCGCTGGCAGTAGGTCTGATGTTCGAAGGGGCTGATCTTCTTGATGGCCACGCGAGTCTTGCGCACGTGGTCATAGGCCGAGCTGAGGGGACCGGAGAGAGGCTGCTGCTGTGGCCTTACAAAGGGGGAGTCCGGGCCTGGTGGCCCCACCCAGGCCTTGGCAGGGAGGGGAGAGAGCAGGAGCTGGCTCTGGTCAAATCATAAACAATGCTGGTTCCTTCCTGCTGTGGAGGCCTGGGATCTCCAGAGAGAAAGCTGGGGACCAGCCAGGCGGCCCTTCGGTGACTTTACAAACAGAGGAAGAGACTGACCGCTCACTGACTTCCCCTCTCCTCAATCCCCTTCCATTCTACTGGCCCTGAACCCTTCGCCCCCATTCCCAGGAAAGGCTCCTTAACCCAAGACAGGTCCGGGGGTGCAGATGCTGGGGACACACCATGGGGCAAATACTGGGAAGGTGGCAGCCAGGGGAGGGGCAGGAGAGAATGGACAGGGCAGGGGAGGGTCCCAGGGTGAGGGATCCGGGCAGCGGGGCTGTCCCAGAGGGATAGAGGCCCAGAGCACACGGTGGGGCCGGGGGCACTCACAGACCCCTCCCAAAACATGCAGGTGGCACTCCTGGCCGCCTCATCTCTCTCTGGGCCCCTGGGGTGGTGGGGCCAAAGCCCTGCCCCACCCTGATCTCGGCTCTTCTCCCCCAGGCTCCCTGGCACTGCCTCACAGGGGGAATCCAAGACACCCTTTCCCCCAAAACGGGCCCTCCACTGCCTCTTCACTAAGGATGTCGCCTCCCCGAGAGTACTCATCCTCTGGGCCTCGCCCCGTGTCACTAGGGTCCCCGCGGGCCCCCACATGCACTCGGATGCCCCTCCCATCATTACAGAAGGGTGGACTCAAAGCCTCCAAGCCTGCTCCCCTGAGGACGTAGGCAGCGCCCCCTCCCCCAGAAAGCACTCAGGGGCCCCCTCCCTGGGACGCTCCCGATCATCCCGAGTCTCCTGCCTCCTCGGGACGCTCCGCGTCTCCACGTCCCGGAAAGCGCTCGGCGCCTCCTCCTCCTCTCCCGCGAAGCCCCCTCCCCTGAGGGCACCCCCTCCCCCGGAACGCCCCCTCACCTGACCATGCCGTACGCGCCCTCGCCGATGTACTGCAACTGCGTGTAGCGCGGGCCCACGTCGAACGGCTGCCCCTTCACCATCTCCACCTCCCCCGGGACCCCCGGGCCGACCCCCTCGGTTCTACGGGGCTCCCCGCCCCCGCCCCCCTGAGCCGCCGCCGCCGCCATCTCCACTCCTCCCCTCCCACCGCCCTCCTCCCCACGGCGGCCCCGCCCGAGGCCCCGCCCCTTCCCGCCTGCCTGTCACCCGCAGGGCCGCGCGCGCCAGGCCCCGCCCTTGCCCCGGCCCCGCGTGGGCCTGGAGCTGTCACGTGACCCGCCCCGCGCGCGCCCGCCCTTCTTGCCCCAGGTTCGGGGGCCATGGGTCCCTGCGGGCTCCGCGGCCTCCAGGTCACCGGGAGGTTCGGCAGCGCCGCCTCGGAGACTGTCCTCACCCTCCCCTCGATGGCGAAGCGGCCAGGGCGTGACCTACCAGAGCCACCCAGCCAATGTATGCGGCAGCCCACCAGAACCTGGGCCCGGGATCACCCTAGGTTAAAAATAATGTTCTAATAAATGGATCAAATTTTACAGATGGAGAATCTGAGAGTTAGGTTTACTAACTTGGGTAAGGTCACTAGTAGTGACAGCTGAGACTCAAAATGGTGTCTTCTGACACAGAGACTCTTTCTAATTCCATGCCTCTCAGAGTCCTAGACTGTTTTTATTTTATTATAGAGACAGGGTCTCTCTCTGTCGTCCAGGCTGGAGTGTAGTGGTGCAATAATTGCTCACTGCAGCCTCAACCTCCCTGGGGTCAAGTGATCCTCCCACCTCAGCCTCCCAAAGAGCTGGGACTACGAGTGCGCGCCACCACGCCCTGCTAATTAAAAAAAAAAATTGGGGGGCTGGGCACGGTGGCTCACGCCTGTAATCCCAGCACTTTGGGAGGCCGAGGTGGGCAGATCACCTGAGTTTGAGACCAGCCTGACCAACATGGTGAAACCCCGTCTCTACTAAAAATACAAAAATTAGCTGGGCATGGTGGCACGTGCCTGTAATCCAAGCTACTTGGGAGACTGAGGCAGGAGAATCGCTTGAACCCGAGAGGAGGAGGTTGCAGTGAGCTGAGATTGCACCACTTCACTCCAGCCTGGGCGACAGAGCAACACTCCGTCTCAAAAACAAAAAACAAAAAGAAGAAGAGAAAAAGTAGGGTTGCAGAAGGTAGGGACTGAAGAAAGGCATGAAGGAGAAGGATCGGGGTGAGCTGAGGCATAAAGGCAGAAGCATAACTTGTCCAGCATGGCTGCAGTAAAAAAATGATGAGGTTTCAGCCTGGAGAGGTAGGTTGGGGCCAGATTAGGAAGGCTCTGGATTCTGGCAAGGAGTTTGGATGTTACTCAGTAAGCAGTAAAAACCCTAGAGGGACTTTTGCCAGATCATTTTGCAACTGCGGGAGAATATAGTGACTCAGAGAAAACACTATGGAGTTCAGCATGGAGCCAGGTTTGCTGAGTGGGAGTGAGTTTCCCAGCATAGGAAAGGCTGGTGTATCAGAGCTGCAAGCTGCCACCTCCTGCTGCTGGAAGCTCAGTTAGAGTGTGACTGAGATTCCCCTCTAGTGACTGAGGTTGGCATTTCCTTGGAGGACTGGACTGGGATTTGTTCTGGTTCATAGACGCATATTCAACTAATGTAGACTTACCATCTCTTCTGTGCCAGGCACTTTTGGTTTTTTTTTGTTTGTTTGTTTGTTTGTTTTTTTGAGACGGAGTCTTGCTCTATCACCCAGGCAGGAGTGCAAGCTCACTGCAACCCCTACCTCCTGGGTTCAAGTCATTCTCCCACCTCAGCCTCCCAAGTAGCTAGGATTACAGGCGCCAGCCACCACGCCCGGCTAATTTTTGTATTTTTAGTAGAGACGAGGTTTCACCATGTTGGCCAGGCTGGTCTCAAACTCTTGACCTCAGGTGATCCACCCACATTGGCCTCCCAGAGTGCTGAGATTACGGCACCTGGCTTGCCAGGCACTTTTATGTACACTACCTCCTGTAATCCTCACAGCAGCCATATGAAGTAGATACTATTAACATTTAACTGGAAAATGATGCTGGCTGGTCGTGGTGGCTCACCTCTGTGATTCCAGCACTTTGGGAGGCTGAGGCAGGCTGATTGCTTGACCCCAGCAGCTGGAGACCAGCCTGGGCAACATAGTGAGATCCCATCTCTACCAAAAATACAAAAATGAGCTGGGTGTGGTGGCATGCGTCCGTAATCCCAGCTACTTGGGAGGCTGAGGCAGGAGGATCAGTTGAGCCCAGGATGTTGAGGTTGCAGTGAGCTCTGATGGTGCCACTGCACTCCAGCCTGGGTGACAGAGTGAGAGACCCTGCCCCCACCCCCACCCCCCCAAAAAAAGGGACAGAGGGAAAACGATGTGGAAGCTTACGCTCTGTCACCCAGGCTGGAGTGCAGTGGCGCGATCTCAGCTCACTGCAAGCTCCGCCTCCCAGGTTCACGCCATTCTCCTGCCTCAGCCTCCTGAGTAGCTGGGACTGCAGACACCCGCCACCATGCCTGGCTAATTTTTTGTATTTTTAGTAGAGACGGGGTTTCACCGTGTTAGCCAGGATGGTCTCCATCTCCTGACCTCATGATCCACCTGCCTCGGCCTCCCAAAGTGCTAGGAGTACAGGCGTGAGCCACTGTGCCCGGCAGAATTATTTTTCTAGCACAGGGTCTTGCTCTGTTGCCCAGGCTGGAGTGGAGTGTAGTGGCAAGATCATAGGTCACTGCAGGCTCGAACTCTTAGGCTCAACAGATCCTGCCACCATGCCTAGCACACACAACCACGCCTAGCTAATTTTTTTTTTTTGTTTTTGAAACGGAGTCTTGCTCTGTTGCCCAGGCTGGAGTGCAATGGTGCAATCTCAGTTCACTGCAACCTCTGCCTCCCGGGTCTCCTGCCTCAGCCTCCTGAGTAGGTGGAACTACATGCGTGTGCCACCATGCCTGGCTAATTTTTTGTATTTTTATTAGAGAGGGGGTTTCACCGTGTTAGCCAGGATGGTCTCTATCTCCCGACCTCGTGATCCGCCCGTGTCGGCCTCCCAAAGTGCTGAGATTACAGGTGTGAGCCACTGCGCCCAGCATTTTTTTTTTTTTTTTTGAGATGGAGTCTCCCTCTGTGCCCAGGCTGGAATGCAATGGCACAATCTCGGCTCACCTTGACCTCTACTTCCCAGGTCAAGCGATTCTCCTGCCTCAGCCTTACAAGTAGCTGGGATTACCGGCACACGTCACCACGCCTGGCTAATTTTTATATATTTAGTAAAGATGGGGTTTCACCATGTTGGCCACGCAGGTTTCAAACTCCTGACCTCAAGTGATCTGCCCACTT
Organism: Homo sapiens; assembly: GCF_000001405.40. Classification (NCBI taxonomy): domain Eukaryota; kingdom Metazoa; phylum Chordata; class Mammalia; order Primates; family Hominidae; genus Homo; species Homo sapiens. The sequence continues at coordinate 30,126,424 of NC_000016.10, forward strand.
TGGCCTCCCAAAGTGCTGGGATTACAGGTGTGAGCCACCGTGCCTGGCTTGGCTAATTTTTAGAATGTTTGTAGAGAAGGGTTCTAGCTAATGTTGCCCAGTCTGGTCTCAAATTTCTAGGCTCAAGTGATCCTCTCACCTCGGCCTTTCGGAGTGCTAGGATTACAGTCATGAGCCACTTCGGCTGGCTCCAGATTAAATCTTAAACCAGTTATTAGCTTTTTGTGATTTTCAAGGTCTGGCACTTCTTTTTTTCTTTCTTTCTTTCTTTTTTTTTTTTTTTGAGGCAGTGTCATGCTGTGTCGCCCAGGCTGGACTGCAGTGGTGCGGTCATGGCTCACTGCAACCTCTGCCTCTCAGGCTCAAATGATCCTCTCACCTCAACCTTCTGAGTAGCTGGGACCACAAGCATGTGTCACCATGCCCAGCTAATTTTAGTATTTTTGGTAGAGATGGGGTTTCACCGTGTTGCCCAGGCTGGTCTCAAATGATCCGCCCACCTTGGCCTCCCAAAGTGCTGGGATTACAGGCATGAGCCACCATGCCTGGCCTGAAATAGTTATTTATTCTTCTTATTATTAGTAGTAGTATTCTGGTCTTTCATGACCGTAGACTTTTGAAGATTATAGGTCAGTTATTTTGTAGAATGTCCCTCAGTTTGGGTTTGTCTGATATTTCCTTGTGATTCTCATGTCACTTTGCCTTTACTATTGTATTGTATCGAGACGAGGTTCACCATGTTACCCAGGCTAGTCTTGAACTCCTGGTCTCAAGAGATCTGCCCACCTTGGCCTCCCATCATGCTGGGATTACAGGTACAGGTGTGAGCCACTGCGCCTGGCCTTTCTTTTCATTTCATTTCTTTCCTTTTTTTTGAGACAGGGTCTCGCTCTGTTGCCCAGGCTAGAGTGCAGTGGCATGATCACAGCTCACTGCAGTCTCAACCTCCCAGGCTCAAATGATCTCCCTTCCTCAGCCTCCCAAGTAGCTGGCACTACAGGTACACAATACCACATCTGGCTAATTCTTTTTGTATTTTTATTAGGATGGGTTTCACCATGTTGGCCAGGCTGGTCTCAAACTCCTGACCTCAAGTGATCCACCTGCCTTGGCCTCCCAAAGTGCTAGGATTACAGGTGACAGCCACTGCGCCTGGCCTAATTTTTTAAATTTTTTGTAGACACGACAGTCTGGCTATACTGCCCAGGCTGGTTCTTTTTTTTCCCCCTGAGTCAGAGTCTTGCCCTGTCACCCAGGCTGGAGAGCAGTGGCTCGATCTCAACTCACTGCAACCTCCACCTCCTGGGTTCAAGCAATTCTCCTGCCTCAGCCTCTCGAGTAGCTGGGATTACAGGTGCCCGCCACCACGCCTGGCTAATTTTTGTATTTTTAGTAGAGATGGGGTTTCACCATGTTGGCCAGGCTGGTCTTGAACTCCTGACCTCGTGATCTGCCCGCCTCGGCCTCCCAAAGTGCTGGGATTACAGGCATGAGCCACTGCGCCCGGCCCCAGGCTGGTCTTAACTAGGTTCCTTTCTGTCTGTCTCCTTCCTCCTCAGATATGCCTAAAACATGGCCCTGATGAGGTTGTAGTAGGCAGGAATCTTTCAGTAACAAGTCTTCAAAGACCCAACTCAAAAGGACTCAAGCAAGAAAGGAGGTGCATTGGCTTACTGACTGTGAAGACACAGTTGGCTCCACTGACTCAAACAGTATCATTAGGACTTTGATCCCTCCCTTAGCTCAACTTTCTTCTGAGTTGGTTCCATTCTTAGCCACCCCCTCCTCTCAGAGTAGCCAGATGGAAGCTAGTACTTGCAGATTCGTGTCTGGTTTTTTCAGTAACTCCAGCAAGGGAAAGCTCTTCTCTCTCTGTCTCTCTTTCTCCCTGTCTCTGTCTCTTGTAATGCAAGGCCTAGATTTGACTCTTATTGGTTACTAGTTTTTTTGAGACAGAGTCTCCCTCTGTCACCCAGGCTGGAGTGCAATGGTGCGATCTTGGTTCACTGCAACCTCCACCTTCTGGGTTCGAGAGATTTTCCTGTTTCAGCCTCCCGAGTAGCTGGGATTACAGGCGCCCGCCACCACGCCCGGCTAATTTTTGTATTTTTAGTAGAGACGGGGTTTGGCCATGTGGGCCATGCTGGTCTCAAATTCCTGGCCTCAAGCGATCCACTCACCTCAGCCTCTGAAAGTGCTTTGATAACAGGCATGAGCCACCGTGCCTGGCCAGTTACTAGTTTTGTTTGAAGCCTGTGCAAATCCTTCAACCTGAATCAGTGTGGAATTGGGGGTTTAGTTATCTCTACTGGCATGACATAAAGTAGGCTAGGGAAGGGATGGTTTTCCCAAGGAAAATTCGGGCACCATCCCCAGAAAGTGCTGAGCAGACAGTTACAGCAGTGTCTATTATAATATATATATTTTTAATTCCTCCCCCCACCTTTTTTTTTTTGAGGCAAGGTCTCGCTCTGTCCCCCAGGCTGGAGTGCAGTGGCACCATCATGGCTCACTGTAGACTCGACCACCCAGGCTCAGGCAGTTCTCTAGCTTCAGCCTCCCAAGTAGCTAGAACTACAGGCACACAACACCATGTCCAGCTAATTTTTGTATGTATATATATATATATATATATTTTTTTTTTTTGTAGAGATGGGGTTTTGGCATGTTGCCCAGGCTGGTCTCAAGCTCCTGGGCTTGAGACCAGTCCTCCCCACCAGCCTCCCAAAGTGCTGGGATTACAGGTGTGAGCCACTGCTCCTGGCCTAATTCCTCTCATTAACTACCAAATGAAGTCCACCACCCCTGGCTAATTTTAAAAAATTATTTAGGAGATAGGGGTCTCTCCATGTTGCTCAGGCTGGTCTCGAACTCCTGGCCTCAAGCAATCCTCTTGTTTCACCCTCCCAAGTAGCTGGGATTATAGATGCAAGCCACCATGTTCAGTTTAGATTGTACAATTTCTTTTCTTTTTTTCTTTTCTTTTTTTTTTTTGTTTGAGATGGAGTTTTGTTCTTGTTGCACAGGCTGGAGTGCAATGGCACGATCTTAGCTTATGGCAACCTCTGGCTCCCGGGTTCAAGTAATTCTCCTGCTTCAGCCTCCCGAGTAGCTGGGATTACAGGTATGCACCACCACGCCCGGCTAATTTTTTGTATTTTGTTTTAGTAGAGACGGGGTTTCTTCACGTTGGTCAGGCTGTTCTTGAACTCCCGACCTCAGCTGATCCTCCCGCTTCAGCCTCCCAAAGTGCTGGGATTACAGGCGTGAGCCACTGCGCCCGGCTAGATCGTACAATATCTTGAAGGCCATTATGCTGGTGTCTTCCCTTTGAAGCCCTCTTATATTTTGTTGGTGCAAAAGTAATTATGGGGTGGGCATGGTGGCTCACACCCATAATCCCAGCACTTTGGGAGGCCAAAGAGGGGTGGATTACTTGAAGTCAGGAGTTCAAGACCAGTCTTACCAATGTGGTGAAACCCTGTCTCTACTAAAAATACAAAATTAGCTGGGAAGACTAGTTTCCTAGACGGGGTTTCACCATGTTGTCCAGGCCGATCTCGAACTCCTGACCTTGTGATCCGCCCACCTCAGCCTCCCAAAGTGCTGGGATTACAGCCAGCCACCGCGAGCCACCGCGCCTGGCCTTATTTTTTATTTTATCTTTTTTAGAGACAGGATCTTGTTCTGTCACCTAGGCTGGAGTGCAGTGGCCTGATCATAGCTCACTGCAGCCTCGAACTCTTGGGTTTAAGTGATCCTCCCACCTCAGCCTCCTGAGTAGCTAGGACTACAGGCACACATACACCACCCCTGGTGGTGTGTGCCTGTAGTCCCAAACCAGTCTGAAAAGATAGATGTGGGGGCCAGGCGCAGTGGTGATGCGCGTCTGTAGTCCCAGCTACAGGACTGAGGCAGGAGAATTCCTTGAGCCTAGGATTTTTGTTTTGTTTTGTTTTTTTGAGACAGAATCTCGCTCTGTCGCCCAGGCTGGAGTGCAGTGGTAAGATCTCTCAGCTCACTGCAAGCTCCACCTCCCAGGTTCACGCTATTCTCCTGCCTCAGTCTCCCGAGTAGCTGGGATTACAGACGCCTGCCACCACGCCCGGCTAATGTTTTGTATTTGTAGTAGAGACGGGGTTTCACCGTGTTAGCCAGGATGGTCTCGGTCTCCTGACCTCATGATCCGCCTGCTTTGGCCTCCCAAAGTGCTGGTATTACAGGCGTGAGCCACCGCGCCTGGCATGAGCCTAGGAGTTCAAGGCTGCAGTGAGCTGTGATTGTGCCACTGCACTTCAGCCTGAGCGATAGAGCAAGACCTACAAAAAACAAACAAAACCCAAAACAGAATCACATGTAACACACAGCTGTGGACTGATTGGTTGACAAAAGTGTGGTGATCAGAGGCTGGCAGGAACTTCACCATGTATTTCCGCTAGAAGCAATGTTCAGTATTCTCTAATTCATTGTTTGTGGTGACTTTGGGGAATATAACCACCACAGAGACAAGAATCAACTTTGAATGTGTCATCCCACCACCTGCTGGCTTCCGTTGTTTCTGATGAGAAATCAACTGTCAATCTCATTGGAGTTTCCTTGTACGCGATGAGTTGTTTTTCTCTTGCTGCTGCCAAGAGTCTCTTTTTGTCTTGTTTGTTTATTTATTTATTTATCTAATTTATTTATTTTGAGATGGAGTTTCACTTTTGTTGCCCAGGCTGAGTGCAATGGCACAATCTCAACTCACTGCAACCTCTGCCTCCCGGGTTCAAGCAATTCTCCTGCCTCAGCCTCCTGAGTAGCCAGGACTACAGGTGTGCGCCACCATGCCCAGCTAATATTTGTATTTTTTTTTTTAAATTTTTTGAGATGGAGTCTCACTCTGTCCCCCAGGCTAGAGTGCAGTGGCGTGATCGTGGCTCACTGCAAACTCTGCTTCCCTGGTTCAAGCGATTCTCCTGCCTCAGTAGCTAGGATTACAGGCACATGCCACCACACCTGGCTAATTTTTTATTTTTAGTAGAGGCAGGGTTTCACCATGTTGGCCAGGCTGGTCACGAACTCCTGACCTCAGGTGATCCATCCACCTTGGCCTCCCAAAGTGCTGGGATTACAGGTGTGAACCGCTGTGCCCAGCCTAATTTTTGTATTTTTGGTAGAGTGGAGTTTCACTATGTTGGCCAGGCTGGTCTCGAACTCCTGACCTCAGGTGATCCACCTGCCTCGGCCTCCCAAGGGTTGGGATTACAGGTGTGAGCCACCATGCCTGGCCCTTGGGGTCTCTTTTTTTATGAACTGTCTGTCCCACTGGGCAAAGCCTCTGAGACCCTATTTTGGACACTGGTGGAGCAGTAGCCTCTGGTTTTCGTGGCTTGCCCCTCCTGGCATGGGATCTCTGTTCCACAAGCAAGCTGGGAGGAGTGTGATTATGGTCCCAGTATTCTTGGACTGTCACTGATGGTACAGCCTTCATTCTATGGTGTGGGCGAGTGCTGGGTGGAGGAGAAGAGTGCCCTACTTCTTTACCACGTTCACCAGAAATGTAGCCTCTTCAATTTGGAGTTGGAGGGGATGAAAACTGGTGGCAGCATGCTCCTCCTGGTGAGATATGGTAAGCCTTGATTGGCAGCTGAGGGGAGAGGGAGCTTGTCTTCTTGGCCACATCTACTCAGAGAGCAGTTTCCTTCCAGCTGAACTGTGGGGGGAGGGCAGTCAGGAGATAGTTGGTCCTCCTGGCTTAAATGCCACAGATGGCCTGGCACAGTGGCTCATAATGTTACAGGTAGTTAAACAGGCATGAGCAGGGCTGGAGAGGGCTCTTCCCCACCCACCAGGAATGTCAAGTGATGGTTCAACAATGATCACATTGCCTCTCTAAATAATTTGGCAGCCAGCGCCAGAGAGAGAGACAAGCTCCTGATGGTCCACAGCTGTTATGTTAGAGTGTTAATTGAATGCAGACACCAGGGAGAAGCAATTTCCTGGACATGTGCATTAAGAGACAAAATAGTCTGGGCACGGTGGCTCACACCTGTAATCCCAGCAATTTGGGAGACTGAGGCGAGCGGATCACCTGAGGTCAGGAGTTCAAGACCAGTCTGGCCAATGTGGTGAAACCCCCATCTCTACTAAAAATACAAAATTAGCCAAGCGTGGTGTTGGGTGCCTGATATCCCACCTACTCAGGAGACTGAAGGAGGAGAATTGCTTGAACCCAGGAGGTGGAGGTTGCAGTGAGCTGAGATCAGGCCACTACACTCCAGCCTGGGAAACAAGAGTGAAACTGTCTCAAAAAAAAAACAAACAAACAAAAAAGAAAGAGACAAAATGATGGAGCATGACCTTCCGGGGTCAGACCACCGGAAAAGGGAAGAAAACCTCAGATAGGCATGCATACAACTTCCTACACACACTGTGCATGCTCACCTTCCCAGGGTAAGGAGGCCACTGTGCATGCAGGCAGCCCATCCTAAGGGAAGAATCATGGGAAAGGAGCCAGCCTATAAAGTCCTAGGATCAAGGTTGAACACCACGCTTGACCTTGGTGCCCACTTGAGTCTCTTCCAAATGTACTTACCTTTCTTTCCCATTCTAAAGCCATTTAAAATAAACTTCCACTCCTGCTCTGAAACTTCCCTTGGTCTCTTTTTCTGCCTTATGCCCTGTGGTTCTTTCTTCTGTGGAGGCAAGAATTGAGGTTGCTGCAGACCCGTACAGATTTGTCACCGGTAACTTGGATAACCTTTCACCGATAACAATGCTTATAATCCCAGCACTTTGGGAGGCCGAGGTGGCAGGATAGCTTGAGCCCAGGAATTTGAGACCAGCTTGTGCAACATAGTGAAACCCCATCTCTACAAAATAATAATAATAAAAGTAATAAAATTCAATGCCACAGATTCTCCCTGTTCTTACTGAGTTTTAGTAGATTTTCTTGAATAAGAAAGTGAGCCAAGATTGCACCACTGCACTCCAGCCTGGGCAACAGAGCAAGACTCCATCTCAATAAAAAATAAAATTAAATGTTTATTCATCTGTTATATGACATTAGGATAATTCCAGAAACTTTAAGTGTTTATTTATTTTTAAATGGTTTTCACCAGCTTTGCTTGTTTTGCTGGGGAAAAGATCCTCAGAGCTCCGGCACTGTCATCTTAGAGCTTTGATGTCCCCCAGTGTATTAATCCATTCTTGTATTGCTATAAATACCTAAGCCTGGATAATTTATAAAGGCAAGAGGTTTAATTGGCTCATGGTTCTGCAGGTTGTACAGGGAACATGATGCTGGCATCTGCTTGGCTTCTGGGGAGGCCTCAGGAAACTTACAATCATGGCAGAAGGTGAAGGGAGAACAGGCATGTCACATGGCAGGAGCAGGAGCAAGAGAGCAAGGGAAGAGGCGCCACACACTTTACTTATTTTATTTTTATTCATTTATTTTGAGATGGAATCTCACTTTGTCACCCAGGCTGGAGTGCAGTGGCACTACCTCAGCTCACTGCAGCCTCCATCTCTTGGATTCAAGTGATTCTTTTGCCTCAGCCTCCTGAGTAGTTGGGACTACAGGCATGCGCCACCACTGGCTTTTTTTTTTTTTTTTTTTTTTTTTAGACAGAGTTTTGCTCCCGTTGCTCAGGCTAGAGTGCAATGGCACCATCTTGGCTCACCGCAACCTCCATCTCCCAGGTTCAAGCGATTCTCCCACCTCAGCTGCCAAGTAGCTGGGATTACAGGCATGCGCCACCACATCCGGCTAATTTTGTATTTTTAGTAGAGACGGGGTTTCTCCATGTTGGTCAGGCTGGTATCGAACTCTTGATCTCAGGTGATCTGCCCGCCTCGGCCTCCCAAAGGGCTAGGATTACAGGCGCGAGCCACCGTGCCTGGCCAATTTTTTTTTTTTTTTTTTTAGATGGAGTTTCGCTCTCGTTGCCTAGGCTGGAGTGCAATGGTGCCATCTCGGCTCACTGCAACCTCCGCCTCCTGGGTTCAAGCAATTCTCCTGCCTCAGCCTCCCTAGTAGCTGGGATTACAGGCATGCGCCACCTCGCCTGGCTAATTTTGTATTTTTAGTAGAGATGGGGTTTCTCCATGTTGGTCAAGCTGGTCTCGAACTCCTGACCTCAGGTGATCCACCTGCCTCGGCCTCCTAAATAGCTGGGATTACAGGCGTGAGCCACCACATCTGGCCTAATTTTTGTATTTTTAGTAGAGACGGGCGTTTCACCATGTTGCCCAGGCTGGTCTCGAACTCCTGGCCTCAAGTGATCTACCCACCTCGGCCTCCCAAAGTGCTGGGATTACAGGTGTGAGCCACTGCGACCCGCCTTCACACACTTTTAAACAACCAGATCTCTTGAGTACTCACTCACTGTCAAGAGAACAGCACCAAAGGGATGGCGCTAAACCATTCATGAGAAACCCCACCCCCATGATCCAATCACCTCCCACCAGGCCCTACCTCCAACACTGGGGATTGCAATACGACATGAGATTTGGGTGGGCACACAGTTCTAAACCACATCCCTCAGCTTTTCCTTTCAGGCTTTTGGGTTAGTCTATTGCTTGCTCCAACACCTGTCTACTACTTCAGACAGTCTCAAAGTTAAAAATCCTACCTGTTATCCAATGAAGTCTCCCTGAAAAAAAATCTTGCCTGTAAATGTTTCTGATGAATGCCTCCTGGGGAGAGGGCCTTTTGCACTGGGCCAGCTCCAGTGAGGTCACATACAGATGGACTTGCAAGTGGAGTCTTCTAGGGAACCTCAAGACAGCTCCAGTAATGACAGTTCTTTGGAAACACAACTTTGAAAGAACTCCAGCTCCGTTTTACTCCCTCAGGGGGCTGCCAGGTTGCTCTGAGAATGTGGGCTGTTATTTTTTAAGGTTGCAACAGAGCTGGAGGCTGTGGGCTGGGACTAGGGCAATTTTTTTTTACTTTATTTATGTTACCTTTCTTTTTTGAGACAGGGTCTTGCTCTGTCGCCCAGGCTGGAGTGCAGTGGCACGATCTCTTCTCACTGCAGTCTCCACCTCCTGGGTTCAAGTGGTTCTTCTGCCTCAGCCTCACAAGTAGCTGGGATTACAGGTGCACACCACCACGCCTGGCTAACTTTTGTATTTTTTGGTAGAGATGGGGTTTCACCATGTTGGCCAGGCTGGTTTCAAACTCCTGACCTCAAGTGATCCACCTGCCTCGGCCTCCCAAAGTGCTGGGATTACAGGCGCTCAAGCCACCTTGCCCAGCCACTTTTTAAAATTTCTTGAAAGCCACAACAAGATTTGCCTATCCCCGGTACTTTCCCCATTTTTAAAAATTTCTCAAAGGTGGTCTTCAGTGGTTCCAAAACTTTATCTTAGAAACTTTCAGCATTTTGAGGGGTGGACTGCATCCAAATCTGGGGTCTTGAACATTTCAGTTGAGTTAGTGTCCTATTATCATTCTCCACTTCTTTGGGGCTTCAATTTCCACTGAAGTGTGGACCTAAAAGCATTTTAATCTTGAGTGTCATTCTCTTTACAGAAAACACAGGCTGGGCACTGTGGCTCACGCCTGTAATCCTAGTACTTTGGGAGGCTGAGGCAGGCGGATCACGAAGTCAAGAGATTGAGACCATCCTGGACAACATGGTGAAACCCTGCCTCTACTAAAAATACAAAAATTAGCTGGGCGTAGTGGCACACGCCTGTAGTCCCAACTACTCGGGAGGCTGAAACAGGAGAATTGCTTGAAACCAGGAGGCAGAGAGGTTGCAGTGAGCCGAGATCATGCCACTGCACTCCAGCCTGGCGACAGAGCAAAAATCCATCTCAAAAAAAAAAAAAAAAAAAAAGAGAGAGAGAGAGAAAACACAAACCAGGCTTGACACAGTGGCTCATTCCTGTAATCCCAGGACTTTAGGAGGCTGAGACGGGTGAATCCTTGAGCCCAGGAGTTTTTTCTTTTCTTTTTCTTTCTTTTTTTTTTTTTTTTTTTTTTTTTTTTTTTTTTTTTTTGAGACGGAGTCTCACTCTGTCGCCCAGGCTGGAGTGCAGTGGTGTGATCTCGGCTCACTGCAACCTCCGCCTCCTGGGTTCAAGCAATTCTCCTGCCTCAGCCTCCCGAGTAGCTGGGACTACAAGCGCATGCCACCACGCCCAGCTAATTTTTTTGTATTTTTAGTAGAGACGAGGTTTCACCATGTTAGCCAGGATGGTCTTGATCTCCTGACCTCATGATCCGCTCGCCTCGGCCTCCCAAAGTGCTGGGATTACAGGTGTGAGCCACCACACCCAGCCAAGTTTTTTTCTTTTCTTTTCTTTCTTTCTTTTTTTTTTTTTTTTCCTAAGACGGAGTCTCATTCTGTCGCCCAGGCTGGAGTGTAATGGTGGGAACTCAACTCACTGAGGCCTCTGTCTGCTAAATTCAAGCAATTCTCGTGCTTCAGCCTCCCGAGTAGCTGGGATTATAGGTGCGTGCCACCACGCCCGGCTAATTTTTGTATGTAGAGACGGGGTTTCACCCTGTTGGCTAGGCTGGTTGAACTCCTGACCTCAAGTGATCTGCTCACTTCGGCTTCCCAAAGTGCTGGGATTACAGGCGTGAGCCACTGTGCCAGGCCGAGCCAAGAGTTCAAAACTAGCCTGGGCAACATAGGAAGACTCCAGCTCTATAAATAAATAAATAAGCTGAGCATGGCAGTGCATGCCTGTAGTCCCAGCTACTTGGGAGGCTGAAGTGGGAGGATCCCTGGAGCCTGGAAGGTGGAGGCTGCAGTGAGCTATGATTGCACCACTGCGCTCCAGCCTGGGGAACAGAGTGAGAGAGCCTGTCTCAAAAAAAAAAAAGAAAAAAGAAAGAAAAAAGAAAAAAGAGAAACTAAATGAAAGTGGAGAGCTTCTGCTTCCTCTTGGTCATCTGTTCGTATTACAACATCTACCCTAAGCAATGGGCCTATTTCTTCCTTTTTCTTGATCCAGATATAGCTATCAAAGCCCTTTTTGTTGTCTATAGCATGTTTTGTAATCTCAGCTCATTCCGAGTTACAGCCATCCCGACACTGTTCTCATAGGTTTATGCTCAGCTTTTGTGTTTATCCCTGGGTTACGCGGCTCTTCTTACATCTTCTTTTATTACAGAACTTCCTGTGCAGCCGCTTTGGCTCCTATAAATGCTATTCCGATTGCCTCTTCATCAGGACCCAAAAGGGATGAAGGAGTGGCTGGTTTTTTGGGGAGGCGGGAGGAGGTTGGATATTCTTGAAATGATAAATAAAATGATACATATTAGTTCAGTATTGGAACACAGATAAATATTTAGCACATGCAATGAGATAATTGTTCATTAATTTAGCATCCTATGATTAATTTAGCATCCTAATAGTCATAGGCATTGTCTTGTTCACCTCAAGTACATTAATACACAATTACATACTGCTTTTTCCCTTAGCTTTCATTTATTTACGACTGTGTGGTAAACGATCCTAAAATTTAGTGGCATGAAACAACCACCTTTTAAAATTTTTTTTCAAATGCTCGTTGATTCTGTGGGTGGAGTTTGGGAAGGGCAAAGTGGGAAAAGCTATACTCTGCTCTGTGATGTCTGAGCCTCAGCCTCAGATGGGGTGACCCGAACAGCCAACAGTAACTCTAATGGATGGGGAGGGAACAGCCGGGGCTGGGGATCTGCTTCGCAGATGGCTGCTTTAGTCACATGCCTGTTGCCTGCGCTGCAGTGGCAGGAGGGTAGGCTCAGGCCCAAAGGGGACTGAAAACCACGCAGCCTGTGTGTAAGGGGGCAACCCGTATGCGAAAGCACAGTTGGACTTTTTTTTTTTTTTTTTTTTTGAGACAAGAGTCTCACTCTGTCACCCTGGCTGGAGTGCAGTGGTGTGATCTCAACTCACTGCAACCTCTGCCTCCTGGGTTCAAGTGATTCTCCTGCCTCAGCCTCCGAGTAGCTGCCATTACAGGCTCCCACCACCACACCTGGCTAATTTTTGTATTTTTAGTAGAGATGGGGTTTCACCATGTTGGCCATGATGGTCTCGAACTCCTGCCCTCAGAGGATCCACCTGCCAAAGTGCTGGGATTATAGGTGTGAGCCACCATGCCAGGCCTTTTCTTTTCTTTTTTTCTGAGGCAGGGTCTCAGTCTGTCACCCAGGCTGGAGGGCAGTGGTGCAATCTCAGCTCACTGCAGTCTCTACCTCCTGGGCTCCAGCAATCCTCCCATCTCAGCCTCTCAACTACAGGTGTGCGCCACTATGCCTGTCTAACTTTTTTTTTTTTTTTTTTTTTTTGAGAAAGAATTTCGCTCTCCTTGCCCAGGCTAGAGTGCAATGGCGTGATCTCGGCTTACTGCAACCTCTGCCTCCCAGGTTCAAGTGTTTCTCCTGCTTCAGCTTCTGAGTAGCTGGGATTACAGGCATGCACCACCATGCCTGGCTAATTTTGTATTTTTAGTAGAGACGGGGTTTCTCCATATTGGCCAGGATGGTCTCAAACTCCTGACCTCAGGTGATCCGCCCGCCTCGGCCTTCTGGCTAATTTTTTTACAGATTTTTTGTGGAGACTCAGTACATTGCCCAGGCCGGTCTGGAACTTGTGGGCTCAAGTCATCCTCCCACTTATGCCTCCCAAAGTTCTGGGATTACAGGTGTCAGCCACTGCACCTGGCCGGCCGGCCTTCCTTCCTTCCTTCCTTCTTTCCTTCCTTTCCTTTCTTTTTTTGTTGAGACGGAGTCTCGCTCTGTCACCCAGGCTGGAGTGCAGTGGTGCAATCTCAGCTCACTGCAACCTCTGCCTCCTAGGTTCAAGCAATTTTCCTGCCTCAGCCTCCCAAGTAGCTGGGATTACAGGCGTGCGCCACTGCGCCAGCTGATTTTTGTATTTTCAGTAGAGACAGGGTTTCACCATGTTGGCCAGGCTGGTCTCGAACTCCTGACCTCAAGTGATCTGCCCACCTCAGCCTCCAAAGTGCTGGGATTACAGGCATGAATCACGGCACCTGGCCTCCTGGCTTTTCTTTTTCTTTGAGACAAGGTCTCACTCTGTCTCCCAGGCTGGAGTGCAGTGGTGTGATCATTGCTCACTGCAGCCTTGAACTCCTGGGCTGAAGCAATCCTCCCATTTCAGCCCCTCAAGTGGCTAGGAGTACAGGTGCATGCCACCATATCCAGCTAATTTTTTCAATTTTTTGTAAAGATGGAGTCTTATCATGTTGCCCAGGCTTGTCTTGAACTCCTGGGCTCAAGTGATCCTCCCGCCTCGGCCTCCCAAAGTGCTGGGATTATAGGCATGAGCCGCTGAAGCTGGGCTCTATAGGCGTATTATGAAAAACCAGGGCTCCTTCATGACCCATTTCCTGTTCCCCAGAGGCAAGAACGTTCCACCGCTTTGGCTGGGCCATTGGTATTGACTTCCATGTCTCTAAACAGCATGTTCATATTGTACTTGCTGATTTCTCGGTTTTAGGCACTACCTGTTATCATTTTGAAGGTTGAGGCTTTACAATTCTTCCACCTCTCCCCGACAGCCCACATCTCTATTCCTACATATGCACGTGTGCACTTCCTGTTTTCATTCTTCCATGTCACTGTGCCTCGGTTCTGGGTACACAGATATTCAGAGTCTATATCCTATAGCTATGTAAACACTGTTCACAGCTGAACCATGCCCTTTCCACAAACACTTCTTCCCTGCACTGTTTGTTCCTTCTTTCCCCTCCACCACACTGAGTTCATTATGTCACATTTTAGCTGCTGTGTTTTTTTGCTATGTAACACTAGTTCAATCCTGAATGCTACCTTGAGATGTCAATCCTTTATCACATTCAAACATATTCCATTTTCTATTGGTTTTATTTCATATTATTTTGTTTTGTTTTATTTTGAGATAGGGTCTTGCTCTGTACCGGAGGCTGGAGTGCAGTGGTGCAATCACAGCTCACTGCAGCTTCAGCTTCCTGGGCTCCAAGCAGTCCTCCCACCTCAGCCCCCAGAATAGCTGGGACTACACATGCGTGCCACTACACCCGACTAATTTTTAAATTTTTTGTAGAGACAGGGTCTTGCAATGTTGCCCAGGCTGGTCTTGAATTCCTGAGCTCAAGTGATCTTCCTGCCTCAGCCTCCCAATGTGCTGGGATTACTGGCATCAGCCACCTCGCCCAGCTGCACCATGTATGCATTTCTAAACAGGCTTAGTTCCTGCCTGTTTTGGGCTTTATAAGAACGCACTCATGGCCAGACACAGTGGCTCACGCCTGTAATCCCAGCACTTTCAGAGGCCAAGGTGGATGGATCATGAGGTCAGAAGTTCGAGACCAGCCTGGCCAACATAGTGAAACCCTGTCTCTACTAAAAATACAAAAATTAGCCGGGCATGGTCTTGCACGCCTGTAGTCCCAGCTACTCTGGAGGCTGAGGCAGGAGAATCACTTGAACCCGGGAGGCAGAGGTTGTGGTGAGCCGAGATTGTGCCACTGCACTCCAGCCTGGGCAACAGAGCTAGACTCTGTCTCAAAAAAAAGAATGCACTCATTGTAGGCTGGGTGTGGTAGCTCACGCCTGCACGCCTGTAATCCCACACTTTGGGAGGCTGAGGCGGGTGGATCACCTGAGGTCAGGAGTTAGAGACTAGCCTGGCCAACATAGTGAAACCCCATCTCTACTAAAAATACAAAAATTGGCCAGGCGCACATCTGTAATCCCAGCACTTTGGGAGGCCAAGGCAGGCGGATCATCTGAGGTCAGGAGTTTGAGACCAGCCTGACCAACATGGAGAAACCCCGTCTCTACTAAAAGTACAAAAAATTAGCCGGGCGTGATGGCACAAGGCTGTAATCCCAGCTACTCGGGAGGCTGAGGCAGGAGAATTGCTTAAACCCAGAAGGTGGAGGTTGCGGTGAGCCGAGATTGCACCACTGCACTCCAGCTTGGGTGACAGAGCAAGACTCCGTCTCAAAAAAAAATAAATAAATAAAAAGTTAATTGTGATTGTGGTAGAATACACACAACATAAATGTACCTTTTTTTTTTTTTTTTTTTTTGAGACAGAGTCTCGCTTTCTTGGCCAGGCTGGAGTGCAGTGGCACGATCTCCACTCACTGCAGCCTCCATCTCCCAGGCTCAAGCAATTCTCCTGCCTCAGCCTCCCGAGTAGCTGGGATTACAGGTGTGTGCCACCACGTCCGGCTAATTTTTGTATTTGTAGTAGAGACAGGGTTTCACCATGCTGGCCTGGCTGGTCTGGAACTCCTGACCTCAGGTGATCCACCCACTTTGGCCTTCCAAAGTGCTGGGATTACAGATGTGCGCCTGGCCAATTTTTGTATTTTTAGTAGAGATGGGGTTTCACCATGTTGGCCAGGCTAGTCTCCAACTCCTGACCTCAGGTGATCCACCCGCCTCGGCCTCCCAAAGTACCATCTGAGCCATTTTTTAGTGTTCAGTTCAGTGGTGTTGAGTACATTCACACTGTGGTGCAACCAATCTCCAGAACTCTTCATCTTGCAAAACTGAAACTCTGAACCCACTAAACAACAACTCCCCTCTCTCCCCTCCCCTCAGCCCCTGGCAACCATCACTCTACTTTCTATCTCTATGACTCTGACTCCAGGTACCTCACATAAGTGGAATCATGCAGTATATGTCTTTTGGGGACAGGGTTATTTCACATAGTATAATGTCCTCAAAGTTCAGCCATGTTGTAGCATGTATCAAAATTTCCTATTTTAAAAAAAATTCTGAATAATATTCCACTGTATGTAGGTAGCACAGTTTGTTTATCCATTCACCCTTTCAGCCTCTGTCTTTATTATTATTATTATTATTTTGAGACAGTCTTGCTCTGTTGCCCAGACTGGAATGCAATGGCGAGATCTCAGCTCACTGCAACCTCCGCCTCCCGGGTTCCAGTGATTCTCCTGCCTTTGCCTCCTGAGTAGCTGGGATTACAGGTGCCCGCCACCATATGCCTGGCTAATTTTTGTATATTTAGTAGAGACGGGGTTTCACCATGTTGACCAGGCTGGTCTCGAACTCCTGACCTCATGACCCGCCCGCCTCGGCCTCCCAAAGTGCTGGGATTACAGGTGTGAGCCACCGCTCCCGAACCTGTCTTCTATATTGGATGCCTTCCTCAAACGTGGTGAATCTTGGGGGTCTGTGCATACTAAAGCTGGAGCTATTAAAAGCCTTTTAAAAGTTCCCCAGGCTGAGGGCACAGTGGCTCATGCCTGCAATCCCAGCACTTTGGGAGGCCAAGACAGGTGGATCTCTTGAGTCCAGGAGTTCAAGACCAGCCTGGGTAACATAACAAGACCTCATCGCTACAAAAAATAAAAAAATAAAGCTGACCATGGTGGCTCACGCCTGTAATCTCAGCACTTTGGGAGGCCAAGGCGGGCGGGTCATGAGGTCAGGAGTTCGAGATCTGTCTGGTCAACATGGTGAAACCCCATCTCCATTAAAAATACAAAAATTAGCCAGGCGTGGTGGTGGATGCCTGTAATCCCAACTACTCAGGAGGCTGAGGCAAGAGAATCACTTGAACAGGGAGGCAGAGGTTGCAGTGAGCTGAGATCGTGCCTCTGCACTTCAGCCGGGGCGACAGAGTAAGTCTCCATCTCAAAAAAAAATAAGAAAAAAAATAAATCAGGCACGGTGGTGCACACTTGTAGTCCCAGATACCAGGAAGGCTGAGGTGGGAGGACGATCGAGCCCACGAGTTTGAGGTTGCAGTGAGCTGTAATTGTGCTACTGCACTGCAGCCTGGGTGACAGAGTGAGACCCAATCTCAAAAACAAACAAACAAACAAAAAAAAAACCTCTCTCCACTGTGTGGCACTGTGTGCTAGGGGGTGACCTTGCTGGTGGCTTCCCAGGGAGCTCCTGATGTCAGTGTCTTCAGGACTTTCCTCTTGGCTTGATCACAGTCCCTTCAGAAGATTCTTCCAATTCCTGCCTGAAGGTGCCAATTTCTATGTCTTTTGTGGCTTCTGCAAAGAAAACCTAGCAATTTCTCATTTTTTCCAATGCCAGCTCGATTCCACTTCCTTGGTTCTAGTAAATTGGTTACCATGAGTCCCTCTATTAGTACCTGGCTTAAACATTTTTGTTCGTATTGTCTTCTTTCCTATTCTTACTCTTCCTGTGGGTGTGTGGCATTAGAAAGATTCTCTTACTGCCATTTTATTATGTTTGGGGCAAGAACAGAAGTAAATACATGTGTTTAGTCTACTATCTTTAACCTGATGCCTTTTAACTTTTTTTTTTTTTTGAGGTGGAGTTTTACTCTTGTCACCTAGGCTGGAGTGCAATGGTGTGATCTTGGCTCACTGCAACCTCTGCCTCCTGGGTTCAAGCGATTCTCCTGCCTCAGCCTCCCGAGTAGCTGGGGTTACAGGCGCCTGCCACCATGCCTGGCTAATTTTTTTTTTTTTTTTAGTAGAGACAGGGTTTCACCATGTTGGCCAGGCTGGTCTTGAACTCCTGGCCTCAGGTGATTTGCCCGCCTCGGCCTCCCAAGGTGCTGGGATTATAAGCGTGAGCCACTGTGCCTGGCCCCTTCTAACTTTTTAAAAGTAAACCTTGTCTTGGTTAGGCATGGTGGCTCATGTCTGTAATCACAAAATTTTGGGAGGCTAAGGCAGGAGGATTGCTTGAGGCCAGGAGTTAGAGACCAGCCTGGGCAACAGAGTGAGACTGTCTCTACATAAAATTTAAAAAAATAGCCAGGTGTGGTGGTACATGCCTATAGTCCCAGTGCTTTGGGAGGCCAAGGCAGGAGGATCACTTGAACCTAGGAATTCAAGGCCACAGTGAGCTGTGATTGCACCACTGCATTCCAGCCTGGGTAACAGAGCAAGACCCTGTCTTGAAGGAAAAAAAAAGAGTTGTCATATTCTTACCACATCATTATCCACATTATCCACAAAGCAAAGATATGGAATCAACCTAAGTATCTATCAATGGAGGAGTGGATAAATCAACTATGGTATGTATACAGAATGGAATACTATTTGACTATAAAACAGAATTAGGCTGGGCATGATGGCCCACACCTGTAATCCTAGCACATTGGGAGGCGAACACAGGTGGATTGCTTCAGCCCAGGAGTTCGAGACCAGCATGGCCAACATGGAGAAACCCCACCTCTACTGGAAAAAAAAAAAAATTAGCCAGGCGTGGTGGCAGGTGCCTATAATCCCTGCTACTTCAGAGACTGAGGCAAGAGAATTGCTTGAACCTGGGAAGCAGAGGTTGCACTGAGCCAAGATCACTGCACTCCAGCCTGGGCCACAGAGCAACACTCAGTCTCAAAAAAAAAAAAAAAAGTTTTAATATCTGATAGCAGAGTAGGGTGATTATAGTTGGCTGCAATGAATTGTATATTTCAAAGTAACTAGAAGAGAACTTGAATTACTCCCAACCCATAGGAATGAGAAATACTCAAGGTGATGAGTACCCCAGATACCCTGGCTTGATCATTACACATTCTATGCATGTAACAAATACTCTCATGGACCCCATAAGCATGGTGTATATATATATGACATATATGATATATCATATGCAACACATATTATATCATATATGATATAATATATGTGATATATCATATATGATATATAATATATGTGATATATCATATATCATATATAATATATGCGATATATCATATATCATATATAATATATGTGATATATATCACATATAATATATGTGATATATTATGTATCACATATAATATATGTGATATATTATGTATCATATATAATATATGTGATATATTATGTATCATATATAATATATGTGGTATATTATGTATCATATATAATATATGTGGTATATGTGATATATATTATATATGATATGTGTGATATATTATATAATATATGTGATATATTATATATGTGAGATATATATAATATATATATTTCTTTTTTAGACAGCATCTTGTTCTGTTGCCCAGGCTGGAGTGCAATTGCACAATCTTGGCTCACTGCAACCTCCGCCTCCTGGTTTCAAGCAATTCTCCTGCCTTAGCCTCCCGAGTAGCTGGGATTACAGGCGACCGCCACCACACCCAGCTAATTTTAGTATTTTTAATAGAGATGGGGTTTCACCATATTGGTCAGGCTGGTTTTGAATTCCTGATGTTAGGTGATCCACCTGCTTTGGCCTCTCAAAGTGCTGGGATTACAGGTGTGAGCCACTGCGCCTGGCCTGGAATACATTATGTATCAATAAAAAAAAACAGGAGTTGTGTGGAGAACAATTGGAGCAGCAGATGGCAAAGAAGACCTTGAGGGCTGGGATAAGAAGACTGGATTTTCTGCTAGAAGGAATGAGAGCATTTTATCATGTTAGTCAGCTTCAGAGCCTTGCAGTAAAAACATTTGCACATTTGAATGTTGATGAAGACATTTACAAATATAGACAGGATGTGATAATTTGTACTTTTCCCTCATCCCCGGTTGGTGTGAGTGATGTCATTGATTGCACCAGTTAACAGGTGAAAAAATAGAAGTTTGGGATGTCAGGATTGTACCTGATGCTTGAGCATCATAGGTGGATGTGAAGGAAAAGGAAAACATGATCAAGGGCTGAGCAATCTGGGCCACAGGAATATCAAACTCATTTACCAATGTGTGCAGCCACCCTTAGGCTGCATGACAGATTGAGGACAGAGCTTATCTGGGCACTCATTAATTGAAAGGAGGAGATCAGTGAGAAGAAGTAGAGAAAACAAACTACTTGTCAGTTCAAACTTAATCACTTTGTTTTTTGAGACAGAGTCTCGCACTTTCGCCCAGGCTGGAGTGCAGTGGCATGATCTCGGCTCACTGCAAGCTCCGCCTCCCGGGTTCATGCCATTCTCCTGCCTCAGCCTCCTGAATAGCTGGGACTACAGGCACCCGCCACCACGCCCGGCTAATTTTTTGTATTTTTAGTAGAGACGGGGTTTCGCCGTGTTAACCAGGATGGTCTCGATCTCCTGACCCCGTGATCCCCCGACCTCGGCCTCCCAAAGTGCTAGGATTACAGGTGTGAGCCCCCGCGCCCGGTCTTTTTTTTTTTTTTTTTTTTGAGACAAAGTCTTGCTCTGTTGTCCAGGCTGGAGTGCAGTGGCATGATGTCAGCTCACTGCAACCTCTGCCTGTGGGGTTCAAGAGATTCTCCTGCCTCAGCCTCCCAAGTACCTGGGATTATAGGCACCCGCCACCACACCCGACTAATTTTTGTATTTTTAGTAGAGACAGGGTTTCACATGTTGGCCAGGCTGGTCTCCAACTCCTGACCTCAGGTGATCCACCTGCCTTGGCCTCCCAAAGTGCTGGGATTACAGGTGTGAGCCACCACGTCCAGCTTTTTTTTTTTTTTTTTGAGATGTAGTCTTGCTCTGTCACCCAGGCTGGAGTGCAGTGGCTCAATCTATGTTCACTGCAACCTCCGCCTCCTAGGTTCAAGTGATTCTCCTGCCTCAAACTCCTGAGTGGCTGGGATTACAGGTGCGTGACACCACGCCCAGCTAATTTTTGTATTTTTAGTAGAGAGAGGGTTTTACCATGTTGGCCAGGCTGGTCTCAAATTCCTGGCCTCAGGTGATCTGCCCGGCTCAGGCTCCCAAAGGGCTGCGAATCCAGGCGTGAGCCACCGTGCCCGGCCCGGTTTATATTTTAGAAGGGTAATACAGTAAGTTGACAGTAAGAGAGCCCTTATCTCTTTTCTTTTCCTTTTTTGTTCTCCTTTCATATTCCATCATTGAAAGGTAGGAACATACAGCATAACTTAAAATTAGGAACAGAGTTCACATATAACTTTTTTTTTTTTTTTTTTTGAGATGGAGTCTTGCTCTGTCACCAGGCTGGAGTGCAGTGGCGCAATCTTGGCTCACTGCAACCTCTGCCTCCCAGGTTCAAGCAATTCTTCTGCCTCAGCCTCTTGAGTAGCTGGGACTACAGGCACGTGCCACCACACCCAGCTAATTTTTTTTGTATTTTTAGTAGAGACGCGGTTTCATCATGTTGGTGAGGCTGGACTCGATCTCCTGATCTTGGGATCCACCCGCCTTGGCTTCCCAAAATGCTGGGATTACAGGCATGAACCACCACACCCAGCCACCTTTTTTTTTTTTTTCTTTTTCTTTTTGAAGACAGAATCTTGCTCTGTTGCCCAAGCTGGAGTGCAGTGGCGCAATCTCAGCTCAATGTAGCCCCCACCTCCTGGGTTCAAGTGAGTCTCCTGCCTCAGGCTCCCGAGCAGCTGGGATTACAGGCATCCGCCATCACACCTGGCTAATTTTTGTATTTTTAGTACAGACGAGGTTTCACCATGTTGGTCAGGCTGGTCTCGAACTCCTGACCTCAAGTGATCCGCCCGCCTCAGCCTCTCAAAGTGCTAGGATTACTGGTGTGAGCCACTGCGCCTGGCCCATATAACCTTTTTAAAAAATAACAGCTTTATTGGAATATAAAACATACACCATTAAGTTTACCCTTTCAAAGTGTACAGTTTGGTGGGTTTGGTTTTTAGTTGATTCACAAAGTTCATCTGTCACCACTATGTAATTCCAAAATATTTTCACCCCAGGAAGAAACTCTATACTAATTGGCAGCCACTCCCTGTCCCCTCCCTACTCCCCAAGTCCCTGGCAACCACTAATCTAATTATTGTCTCCATGGATTTGCCTATTCTGGACAGACCACATGTAAAGTTTTTGCTTAATCTGATTAATTGATAGGTTCCACTTTTACAGATAAATAGCTTTTCATGTCAGCAAAAATGAAAGATTTAAAATGTAGTACTAGGCTGGTCACAGTGGCTCACGCCTGTAATCCTAACACTTTGGGAGGCCAAGCTAGGTGGATCACTTGAGCTCAGGCATTCAACACCAGCTTGAGCAACATGGCAAAACCCGGTCTCTACAACAAATACAAAAAATTAGCCGGGTGTGGTGGTGCATGCCTGTGCTCTCAGCTCCCAGCTACTTGGGAAGCTGAGGTGGGAGGATCACTTGACCCTGGGAGGCAGAGATTGCAGTGAGCCAAGATCACACTACTGCATTCCAGCCTGGGCAACAGAGTGAGACCCCATCTCAAAAAAAAAAAAAATATATATATATATATATGTAGTACCTGACCTCCCCCAAAGTTATTTGAGGTTCAAATGATTTATTTCAGCCTCCACTTAACTAGAGCTGACCTCTTATTAGACACCTTGGGGACATTACTATGAGCCTTAAAGAAATAAAAAGTATTATAAAGGAATACAATAAATAGTTGTATGCCAATTAATTAAACAACTTAGAAAAATGGACAAAGTCCTAGAAAAACAAGAAAAACCTACCAAATTTCAGGAAGAAATGGAAATTCTGAATAGACATATAACAAGTAAATAGATTGAAGTAGTAATAAAAAACTTCCCACAGGTTGGCGTGGTGGCTCATGCCTGTAATCCCAGCACTTTGGGAGGCCGAGGTGGGCAGACCACGAGGTCAAGAGATCAAGACTATCCTGGCTAACACCGTAAAACCCCGTCTCTACTAAAAAAAAATTAGCCAGGCATTGTGGTGGGTGCCTGTAGTCCCAGCTACATGGGAAGCTGAGGCAGGAGAATGGTGTGAACCCAGGAGGTGGAGCTTGCAGTGAGATGAGATCGTGCCACTGCACTCCAGCCTGGGCAACAGAGCGAGACTCCCTCTCGAGAGAAAAAACAAAAACAAAAACAAAAACTTCCACAAAGGCTCATGCCCACAGGGCTTCACTGCTGTATTTAACTAAACATTTAGAGAAAAATTAATACCAGTTTTTCATAAACTCTTTCAAAAAATAGAAGAAGAGGCAACATTTCCCAACTCTTTTTATGAGGCCAGTATTACCCTGATGCCAAAGCCAGACATAAGAAAGGAAACTACAGATCAGTATTTCTTATTAATATAGAGGCAAAAATCTTCAAATACCAGCAGACAGAATCCAGCACCACATCAAAAGGACAGTACACCATGATCAAGTGCGAATGATCCCAGGAATGCAAGGCTGGTTCAATATCTGAAAATACATTAACTTAATACACCATAATTTTAGAATAAATGGAAAAAAGCAATTAATCATCTCAATAAATGCAGAAAAAAACTTTGACAAAATTCAACATTCTTTCGTAAGAAAAAAACCATGCAACAAACTACAAGTAAAAGACAACTTCCTCTACCTGATAAAGAGCATCTGTGAAAAACCCACAGCTGACATCATACTTAATGGTGAAAGTTCCTGACAGATCAAAATAAGACAAGGAAGTCCGCTCTTACCACTTTTATTCTGTATTGTACTGGAGATTCTAGCCAGGAAAATTAAGCAAGAAAGTGAAATAAAAGGCATCTAGATTGGAAAGAAAGAAGTGAAACTATCTATAGATTACATGATCTTGTATATAGAAAATATACAAGATCCAAGGCCGGGCGTGGTGGCTTATGCCTGTAATGCCAGCATTTGGGAGGCCAAAGTGGGCAGATCATTTGAGATCAGCAGTTTGAGACCAGCCTGGCAAACATGGTGAAACTCCGTCTCTACTAAAAATACAAAAAATTAGCTGGGCATGGTGGTGCACACCTGTAATCCCAGCTACTCAGAGTCTGAGGCAGGAGAATCCCTTGAAGCTGGTAGGCAGAGTTTGCAGTGAGCTGAGATCGTGCCACTGCACTCCAGCCTGGGTGACAGAGTCAGACTCTGTCTCAAACAAAACAAAACAAAAACAAAAAAAGAAAATATATAAGATCCTGTAAATCCTAAGGAACCCACTAAAAAATCAGAACTTTAATCGCCAGGGAAATGCAAATCAAAACCTCTGAAGAAAAAACACAAACTGTTTTTTTTCTTGGCTCTCACACCACAGTAACAATCACTACAGAAGTCTTCTGTGACCGGGCTGGGTGCGGTGGCTCACATCTGTAATCCCAGCACTTTGGGAGGCCAAGGTGGGTGGATCACGAGGTCAGGAGTTCAAGAACAGCCTGACCAACGTGGTGAAAACCTATCTCTACTAAAAACACAAAAAGAATAGCCAGGTGTGGTGGCAGGCACCTGTAATCCCAGCTACTGGGGAGGCTGAGGCAGGAGAAATGCTTGAACCAGGGAAGCAGAGGTTGCAGTGAGCAGAGATCACACCACTGAACTCCAGCCTGGGCAACAGAGTGAGACTTGGTCTCAAAAAAAAAAGAAAAGAAAAGGAAAAGAAAAAAGAAAAAAAAAAGAAGTCTTCTGTGACCAAATGTTGGGGGGAACTCCTGCCAACACCAAGCAAACAACCAATTCTCCAATGGACAATTCTGAATTGAGTGTCCTCCAATTCAATTCCAACACTATCTACCTGAAGATAGCATCAGATCCCACAAGTTGAGGGTTCAATCCCACAAGACTGCACCCCTACACACACCAGAACTTCTGACCGACTGGCTTCAAATTGGGGTTTCCATGATTCCCTCTTTTTTTTTTTTTTTTTTTTTTTTTTTTGAGACAGAGTCTCCTCTGCCACCCATGCTGGAGTGCAGTGGCAGAGATCTCAGCTCACTGCAAGCTCCGCCTCCCAGGTTCATGCCGTTCTCCTGCCTCAGCCTCCTGAGTAGCTGGGACTACAGGTGCATGCCACAACGCCCAGCTAATTTTTTGTATTTTTAGTAGAGATGGGGTTTCACTGTGTTAGCCAGAGATGGTTTCGATCTCCTGACCTCGTGATCCGTCCGCCTCGGCCTTCCAAAGTGCTGGGGTTACAGGCATGAGCCACCATGTCTGGCACAGCTCTCTCTTTAGTGAGAGTGGGGACTTCTGAGAGGAAAAGACCAGCAGGTGGGGGATGTGCCATATTTTATAGTCAGATTTGAGGATGTGGTGCCTGATTTACATAGGACTCACAGATTGGTTTGATCAAGAGTGATATTACATAGCATGCAGGGAAGGCTGGCTGCCTCACCCTAATCATATTATGCAAATGAACTTTCCCCTTGGCCTTCGCCATCTTGTCTGCTCTTTACTGTACACGTGGCTGACAAAGAGAAGGGAAGATGGAGCCACCATCTTGAACATGATTGGCACAACTGCCAACATCTATGTCTGCAGCTCGATTTTACAGGCTACTCTTCGTTAGAAAGGAAAATAATTTGGGGCTGCTTTTCATTAAAAGGAGAACCTTACCAAAGACTTCTGTACCCTTACTATCTGCCTAAGTAATTTCTTCTTAACTCCTGTATGACCTCCACATGGTCAGCTATCCGGAAGCTCCCTAAGCCCTGTCCTTTTGGCCTTTTATGGAGACTTAATTGGATAGGCATGACTCAAGCATGGACAAATGTGTAGAAAGGTGATTGGTCAAAAAGGGCACGATCTAATACTAATACCCTGAATGGGGAACCCCAGCAAGGCCCTTGTGTTCAGCAACTCCTTGGCCTCTCTGTGCAGCTTTCCTTCCTCCAGGGTATGGGCAGGAGTCCTACCGAAATGAAGGTGTCATCAACTACACTCAGACAAGGTATGTCAGAGAGTTTCTTTATGGCCAATTTCAATACAGAAAGGTAGGGGAAGATTCCTGCCTTGGTGAGAAAAAGAAGCAGGTGAAAGGAGAGCAGGAGAAGGTCAAACAGAGAGAGAGAGTTTTTTTTTTTTTTTTTGAGACGGATTCTTGCTCTGTTGCTCAGGCTAGAGTGCAGTGATCTCCGCTCACACTAACCTCCGCCTCCCAGGTTCAAGCGATTCTCCTGCTTCAGCCTCCTAACTGGGACTACAGGCGCCCGCCACCACACCTGGCTAATTTTTGTATTTGTAGTAAAGACGGGGTTTCACCATGTTGGCCAGGCTGGTCTTGAACTCCCGACCTCGTGATTCACCCACCTTGGCCTCCCAAAGAGCTGGGATTACAGGCATGAGCCACCACACCCAGCCAAGAGATTCTTTTTTCAATGAGGCCTGCTTCAGAGGATTGCAGCACTCCAGCATTCTAGCAAGAGCTATGGGAGCTGTGAACCAGGAACTGTGGACAAAATCTAGATGTATATATATATATATCACCAAATCACAATGAGGTGCTGCCTCATACCTGTTACGATGGCCACTATAGAAAACAAAAACAAAAAACACCAAAACCAGAAAATACGTGTGGCAAGAATGAGAGCGAATTGGAAACCCCGTGCACTGTTGGTGGGAATGTAAAATGGTACAGCTAATGTGGAAAACTGTGTGAAAGTTCCTCAAAATATTAAAAATAGAACTACCATATGATCCAGCAGTCCCACTTTTGGGTATTTATTTATTTATTTATTTATTTATTTATTTATTTATTTTTGAGACGGAGCTTCGCTCTTGTCACCCAGAATGGAGTACAATGGTGCGATCTTGGCTCACAGGAACCTCCGCCTCCTGGGTTCATGCGATTCTTGTGCCTTGGTCTCTCAAGCAGCTGGGACTACAGGGGTGTGCTATCACGTCCAGCTAATTTGTGTGTGTGTGTGTGTGTGTGTGTGTGTCTGTGTATGTTTTTTGAGACAGAGTCTCACTCTGTCGCCCAGGCTGGAGTGCAGTGGTGTGATCTTGGCTCATTACAACCTCCATCTTCCGGGTTCAAGTGATTCTCCTGCCTCAGCCTCCTGAGTAGCTGGGATTACAGGCATCTGCCACCATGCAGACTAATTTTTATATTTTTAGTAGAGACGGGGTTTCACCATGTTGGCCAAGCTGGTCTCAAACTCCTGACCTCAGGTCATCCACCCACCTCAGCCTCCCAAAGTGCTGGGATTACAGGCATGAGCCATGTGCCCGGCCTAATTTTTGTGTTTTCAGTAGAGACAGGGTTTCACCATGTCAGCCAGGCTGGTCTTGAACTCCTGACCTCAAGTGATCCACACACCTCAGCCTCCCAAAGTGCTGGGATTACAGGCATGAGCCACGTGCCCGGCCTAATTTTTGTGTTTTCAGTAGAGACAGGGTTTCACCATGTCAGCCAGGCTGGTCTTGAACTCCTGACCTCAAGTGATCCACCCACCTCGGCCTCCCAAAGTGCTGGAATTACAGGTGTGAGCCACTGCGCCTGGCCACTTCTGGGTATTTATCCAAAAGAATTGAAATCAGAATCTCAAAGAGATATCTGCATTCCCATGTTCATTTCAGTATTATTTACAATAATCAAGAGGTGTACACAACCTAAATGTCCACTAACAGATGAATGGATAAAGAAAATGTGAGGCCAAGGTGGGCGGATCACGAGGTCAGGAGATTGAGACCATCCTGGCTAACACGGTGAAACCCCATCTCTACTAAAAATACAAAAAATTAGCCAGGTGTGGTGGCGGGCGCCTGTAGTCCCAGCTACTCAGGAGGCTGAGGCAGGAGAATGGCGTGAACCCGGGAGGTGGAGCTTGCAGTGAGCTGAGATTGCGCCACTGCGCTCCAGCCTGGGTGATGGAGCAAGATTCCATCTCAAAAAAAAAGAAAGAAAGAAAGAAAGAAAATGTGGCACAGACATACAATGGAATATTATTCAGCTGTAAAAAGGAGGAAATCTTGTCATATGCTACAACACAGATGAACCCTGAAGACTGATACAGTTTCGATGTGTGTCTCTGCCCAAATCTCTTGTAGAAATGCAATCCCCAATGTTGGAGGTGGGGCCTGTGGGGAAGTGTTTGGATCACGGGGGCAGATCCCTCATAAATGGCTTGCGCCATCTCCTTAGCAATAAGTGAGCCCTTACTCTGAGTTCACACGAGATCTGACTCTTTAAAAGTTAGTGGCACCCCTCCTCACCCTCTCGCTGTCTTGCTCCTGTTTTCGCCATGACATGCCTGCTCCCCATTCGCCTTCTGCCATGATTTTAAGTTTCCTGGGGCCTCCCCAGAAGCCAAGCAGATGCCAGCACCATGCTTCCTGTACAGCCTGCAGAACCATGAGCCAATTAAACCTCTTTTCACCGTAAATTACCCAGTCTCCGGCATTTCTTTATAGCAAAGCAAGAATGGCTTAAGACAAAGACATTATACTAAGTGAAATAAACCAGTTATAGAAGGACAAAAACTGCATGATTCCACTCATACGAGGTATCTAAAGTAGTCAAACTCACCAAAACAAAAATTAGAAAGGTGATGTTCAGCAGCTGAGGGGAGGGGGAGAGGAGGAGTTGCTGTTTATTGGGTATCGAGTTTCAGTCATGCAAAATGAAAAATTTTAGAATCTGCTGCACTACGTTGTGATCGTAGTTTAAAGTACTGTACACTTAAAACTTGCTCGGGTCCAGGTGTGGTAGCTCATGCCTGTAATCCCAGCACGTTAGGAGGCCGAGGCGGGCGGATCACGAGGTCAGGAGATCGAGACCATCCTGGCCAACATGGCAAAACCCCGTCTCTACTAAAAAATAAATAAATAAAAATTAGCTGGGGATGGTTGCGTGGCATGGAGGCTGAGGCAGGAGAATTGCCGGAACCCGGGAGGCAGAGGCCACAGTGAGCCAAGATCGTGCCACTGCCCCCTAGCCTGGGCGACAGAGTAAGACTCCATCAAAAGCAAACAAACAAACAAAAATCAACAACAAAAACTTGCTAGGAGGGTACATCTCATGTTATATGTTTTATCACAATAAGAAAATAAAACTGGCCAGGCACAGTGGCTCACACCTGTAATCCCAGCACTTTGGGAGGCTGAGATGGAAGGATCTCTTGAGCCCAGGAGTACGAGACCATCCTGGGCAACACCGTGAAACCCCCGTCTCGACAAAAATAAACAAAATCAGCTGGGCATGGTGGTGCATGCATGTGGTCTCAGCTATTTGGGAGGCTGAAGAGAGAGAATTACTTGAGCCTGGGAGGTTGAGGCTGCAGTAAGCCAAGATCGCACCACTGTACTCCTGCCTGGGCAATAGAGATAGACACTGTCTAAAAAAAAAAAAAAAAAAAGGCCAAGGTCAGGTGAGGTGGCTCATGCCTGTAATCCTAGCACTTTGAGAGGCCAAGGTGGGTGGGTCACCTGAGGTCAGGAGATGGAGGCCAGCTTGGCCAACATGGTGAAACTCCATCTCTACTAAAAAAATACAAAAATGAGCTAGGCGTGGTGGCACGCACCTATAATCCCAGCTACTGAGGAGGCTGAGGCAGGAGAATTGCTTGAACATGGGGTGCGGAGGTTGCAGTGAGCCGACATCATGCCACTTCACTCCAGCCTGTGTGACAGAGCGAGACTCCATCTGAAAAACAAAAAACAAAAAACAAACTAATTAATGAAAACAGTAATGTTGCAAGATATAGGTCAATATGCAAAAAAAAAATCAATTATATTTCCATATAATTGCAATGGACAGGTCAGGCACGTTTGCTCACAGCTGTAATCCCAGCACTTTGGGAGGCCAAGGCGGGCAGATCACTTGAGGTCAGGAGTTCGAGACCAGCCTGGCCAACATGATGAAATCCCATCTCTACTAATAATACAAAAACAAACAAACAAAAAAATTAGCCAGGCATGGTGGTCGGCACCTGCAATCCCAACTACTAGAGAGGCTGAGGCAGGAGAATAGCTTGAATCTGAGAGGTGGAGGTTGTGGTGAGCCGAGAATGCACCATTGCACTCCAGCCTGGGCGACAAGAGTGACATTTCATCTCAAAAAAAAAAAAAAAAAAAAAAGCCGGGTGTGGTGGCTCATGCCTGTAATCCCAGAACTTTGGGAGGCTGAGGTGGGTGGATCACGAGGTCAGGAGATAGAGACCATCCTGGCCAACATGGTGAAACCCCGTCTCTACTAAAAATACAAAAAAATTAGCTGGGTGTGGTGGCGCATGCCTGTAATCCCAGCTACTCAGGAGGCTGAGGCAGGAGAATCGCTTGAACCAGGGAGTTGGAGGTTGCAATGAGCTGAGATCGTGCCACTGCACTCCAGCCTGGTGACAGAGCGAGACCCCGTCTCAAAAAAAAAAAAAAAAATGCAATGAACAATTTCTGAAAACGAAATTAAGAAAACAATTCCATTTACAATAGCACCCCCAAAATAAAATACTTAAGAATAAACTTAACAAAAGGAGTACAAAATGTATGCTCTGAAACCTTGAAATAATTGTTGAAACAAATCAAAGAAGATTTGATTTCTAAGTAAATGGAAAGATACCCCACATTCATGGATCAGAAGATTTAATATTGTTAAATTAATCTACCCAATCCCTATTGGAATTCCAGTGACTTCCTTGTAGAAATTGACAAATGGGTCCTAAAATTCATATGGAAACTCAGGGGACTCAGAATAGCCAAAACAATCTTGAAAAAGAAACAAGTTGAAGGCTCACACTTCCCAATTTCAAAACTTACTACAAAGCTACAGTAATCAAGACACTGTGATACTGTCATAGGGCTAGACCCATAGATCAATGATCTATAGAGTCCATGGCTGGATGTGGTGGCTCACAGCTATAATCCCAGCACTTTGGGAGGCTGAGGTGGGTGGATCACTTGAGGTCAGGAGTTCGAGACCAGCCTGGCCAACATGGTGAAACCCCATCTCTACTAAAAATACAAAAATTAGCCAGGTGTGGAGGTGGGCACCTGTAGTCCCAGCTACATGGGAGGCTGAGGCAGGAGAATCACTTGAACCCTGAGTGACAGACTCTGCCTCAAAAAAAAAAAAATCTAGAGTCCAGAAATAAACCTATATGTCTGTGGTCAATTTATTTTAAATAAGGGTGCCAAGACAATTCAATGAGGGAAAGAATAGTCTTTAAATAAACAGTGCTATGTAACAGTGAACATGTACAAAACATACACATACAAAATAATGAACTTGACTGGGCATGGTTGCTCATGCCTGTAATCCCAGCACTTTGGGAGCCCGAGGTGGGTGGATCACTTGACCCCAGGAGTTTGAGACTAGCCTGAACAACATAGTGAAACTCCTGTCCCACAAAAAATACAAAAAGATAAGCAAGGCATGGTGGTGTGTGCCTGTAGTCCCAACTACTTAGGAGACTGAGGTGGGAGGATCACCTGAGCCCAAGAGTTCAAGGCTGCAGTGAGTTGTGATCACACCACTGCACTCCAGCCTGGGCAGCAGAGTAAGATCCTGTTTCAAAAAATAATAAATAAATAAGGAATGTGGAGCCCCTGCCTCATACCATATACAAAAATTAACTCAAAATAGGGTTGTTGTTGTTTTAAAACCAAATGTAAAAGCTAAAACTATAAAACTCTTAGAAGAAAACATAGGGACAAGTCTTTGTAGCTTCAAATTTGGCAGTGTCTTTTTTTTTTTTTTTTGAGACGGAGTCTTGCTCTGTTGCCCAGGCTGGAGTGCAGCAGCACAATCTCGGTTCACTGCAAGCTCGGCCTCCCAGGTTCACACCATTCTCCTGCCTCAGCCTCCCGAGTAGCTGGGACTACAGGCGCCCACCACCACACCCGGCTAATTTTTTGTGTATTTAGTAGAAACGGGGTTTCACCATGTTAGCCAGGATGTTCTCCATCTCCTGACGTTGTGATCCGGGTGCCTCGGCCTCCCAAAGTGCTGGGATTACAGGCATGAGCCACCGCACCCATCCCGGCAGTGTCTTCTTAGACATGTCAACAAAAAGGAAAGCAACAACAATGAAAACAGATACATTGGGCTTCATCAAAATGTGAAACTTATAACATACACTGGGGCCTGTCGGGGGGTCGGGGGAGCAAGAGCATTAGGATAAAGCTAATGTATTCAGGGCTTAATACATAAGTGATGGGTTGATAGGTGCAGCAAAGCACCATGGCACACGTTTACCTATGTAACAAACCTGTACATCCTGCACGTGTATCCCAGGATTTAAAATAAAATATAGAAAATACTCAACAATCATAATAAGTGTAAAAGAATTTTGGTCGGGCGCAGTGGCTCACGCCTGTAATCCCAGCACTTTGGGAGGCCAAGGCAGGTGGATCACGAGGTCAGGAGATCCAGACCATCCTGACTAACACGGCAAAACCCTGTCTCTACTAAAAATACAAAAATAAAATAAAATAAAATAAAAATAAATAAAAATAAAAATTAGCGGGGTGTGGTGGCTGGTGCCTGTAGTCCCAGCTACTCAGGAGGCTGAGGCAGGAGAATGGTGTGAACCCAGGAGGCGGAGCTTGCAGTGAGCCGAGATCGTGCCACTGCATTCCAGACTGGGGGACAGAGTGAGACTCTGTCTCAAAAAAAAAAAAAAAAAAAAGAATTTGAAACAAAAACGTGAAACTTCTGTGATTCAAAGAACACCGTCAAGAAAGTGAAAAAACGCCTGCCTGCCCGCCTTTCTTTCTCTCTCTCTCTCTCTTTCTTTCTTTCAACAGTCTCCCTCTGTTGCCGAGGCTGGACTATACTGCCGTGATCTCGGCTCGCTGCAACCTCCCTGCCTCAGGCTCCTGTGATTCTCCTGCCTCGGCCTGCCGAGTGCCTGGGATTGCAGGCATGCGCCGCCACGCCTGACTGGTTTTTGTATTTTTGGTGGAGACGGGGTTTCGCCGTGTTGGCCGGGCTGGTCTCCAGCTCCTGACCTTGAGTGATCTGCCCGTCTCAGCCTCCTGAGGTGCTGGGATTGCAGACGGAGTCTCGCTCACTCAATGCTCAATGTTGCCCAGGCTGGAGTGCAGTGGCGTGATCTCGGCTCGCTAAAACCTCCACCTCCCAGCCGCCTGCCTTGGCCTCCTAAAGTGCTAAGATTACAGCCTCTGCCCGGCCGCCACCCCGTCTGGGAAGTGAGGAGCGCTTCTGCCCGGCCGCCACCCCGTCTGTGCTGGGTGTGGTGGTGGGCGCCTGTAGTCCCAGCTTTTTGGAAGGCTGAGGCAGGAGAATCGCTTGAACCCAGGAGGCGGAGGTTGCTGTGAGCTGAGATTACACCACTGCACTCCAGCCTGGGCGACAGAGCAAGACTCCATCTTAAAAAAAAAAAAAGGCCGGGCACAGTGGCTCACGCCTCTAATCCCAGCACTTTGGGAGGACAAGGCAGGTGGATCACGAGGTCAGGAGATTGAGATCATCCTGGCTAACACGATGAAACCCCGTCTCTACTAAAAATACAAAAAATTAGCCGGGCCTGGTGGCAGGCACCTGTAGTACCAGCTACTTGGGAGGCTGAGGCAGGAGAATGACGTGAACCTGGGAGGCGGAGCTGGAAGTGAGCCAAGATCGTGCCACTGCACTCCAGCCTGGGCGACAAAGCGAAACTCCATCTCAGAAAAAAAAAAAAAAAAGTAAGAAAAGAAAAAAAGAAATGTAAAATAGTAAACAGAAATATCTCCCAGCTCTTAAAATTAGGCAATTCTGTTGGAAAGGACATAACTCTGAATAGAGGTTATAAGGAAGAGTTTGGATTTAACAGGAGAGTGCCAAGAAGCTCTTCCAGTTTACAAAGCAGGAGAGTATCATTAAGCCTGTGTTTTAGAAGATGACTGCATTCTGTGATTCTGAAATAGCTATATATAGGTTGCTCGTGAAATCTGTGCTGCTAGTCTTCTTTTTTTTTTTTTTGAGACAGAATCTTGCTCTGTCCCCCAAGCTGGAGTGCAGTGGCACGATCTCAGCTCACTGCAACCTCCGCTTCCTGGGTTCAAGCAATTCTCCTGTCTTGGTCTCCTGAGTAGCTGGGATTACAGGAGTGCACCACCACGCCCAGCTAATTTTTGTATTTTTAATAGAGAAAGGGTTTCCCTGTGTTGACCAGGCTGGTCTTAAACTCCTGACCTCAGGTGATCTGCCCGCCTCGGCCTTCCAAAGTGCTGGGATTACAGGCGTGAGCCACTGTGCCCGGCGTCGCTAGTCTTCTCTTACTGAAGTGAAACTCACCTCTATTCTTTTTTTTTTTCTTTTTCTGTTTTTGAGACAGAGTCTCAGTCTGTCACCCAGGCTGGAGTGCAGTAGCTCGATCTCGGCTCACTGCAGCCTTCACCTCCTGGGTTCAAGTGATTCTCCTGCCTCAGCCTCCCAAGTAGCTGGGATTATAGGAGTGCATCACCACGCCCAGATAATTTTTTTTTTGTATTTTTAGTACAGGTGGGGTTTCACCATGTTGGCCAGGCTGGTTTTGAACTCCTGACCTCAAATGATCCACCGGCCTCGGCCTCCCAAAGTGCTGGGATTACAGGTGTGAGCCATAGTACCCAGCCAGAAATAAATTTATTGACTGATATAAATTAAAATTCCTGTGTATAGCTGGCTTCAGGAAAGCCTGAATAGGTGTTCAAAGAATGTCATCAGGAACTTGTCTCACCAATCCCTTACCTGTGTTAGCTTCAATTAAAAAAACATATTTTTGGGCCGGGCGCAGTGGCTCACACCTGTAATCCTAGCACTTTAGGAGGCCGAGGTGGGTGGATCACCTGAGATCAGGAGTTTGAGACCAGCCTGGCCAACATGATGAAACCGTCTCTACTAAAAACATAAAAATTATCGGGCGTGGTGGTGCATAACCGGGCATGGTGGTGCATGCCTGTAATCTCAGCTACTCGGGAAGCCGAGGGAGAATTGCTTGCATCTGGGAGGCAGAGGTTGCAGTGAGCTGAGATCGCAACATTGCATTCCAGCCTGGGCAACAAGAGTGAGACTCCATCTCAAAAAAAAACCAAAAAACAAAAACAAAAAACATTTTTTTAAGAGACAGTTTCACTCTGTCGCCCAGAGCTGGGTCCAGTAGTGCAATCACAGCTCACTCTAACCTCAAAGTCCTGGACTCAGGCATTCCTCCTGTCCCAGCCTCCCGAGTCACTGAGACTATAGGCAAGCACCAGCACGCCTGGTTACTTTTTTTTTTTGAAACAGGGTCTCCCTCTGTTGCCTATGGTGGTATGCAGTGGTGCAATCATGGTTCATTAGAGCCTCAATCTCCGAGGCTCGAGCAATTTTCCCGTGTCAGCCTCCAAAGTAGTTGGGACTACAGGTAAGTGCCACAATGTCCAGCTAATTTTTTTTTCTTTTTATTGAGACGGAGTCTCGCTCTGTTGCCCAGGCTGGAGTGCAGTGGTGCAATCTCGGCTACAACCTCCGCCTCCCGGGTTCAAGCGATTCTCCTGCCTTAGCCTCCGAAGTAGCTGGGACTACATGCGCGTGCCACCACGCCCGGCTAATTTTTTGTATTTTTATTAGAGACGGGGTTTCACCGTGTTAGCCAGGATGGTCTCGATCTCCTGACCTCATGATCCACCTGCCTCGGCCTCCCAAAGTGCTGGGATTACAGGCATGAGCCTCCATGCCTGGCCTGTCCAGCTAATTTTTAAATTTTTTGTTTTAGGGATGAGGTCTTGCTATGTTGCCCAGGCTGGTCTTGAAATCCTGGCCTCAAGTGATTCTCCCCTGGCCTCCCAAAGTGCTGGGATTACAGATGTGAACCACTGCGCCCGGCTGTTAGCTTCATTTTCAGGCAGCCTCTTCTTTCTGCCATTTTGCCGACCAGAGTCGAAAGAAATCTCATCCCTAAAAGTTCCTGCAATGGTGCTTGGGAAGAATCTCATTGGTCTACAGTAGGTCATAAATTCTTCTGTAAACTAATCACCATGGGGAAGAGGAGGTAAGGTATGTTCTGCTCGGCCAGGGTAATAGCAGTGGGAACAGAGGATGGACTGGCCAGGAAATAACATGGTGGAGGCAGAGTATGCAAGTGCTCATTGCTTAGCAGTGTTGGGAAAGAAAGAGGATTTTATCTATTGAATGCCAGCCATGTGTTGGCCACTGTGCTGGGCAAATGCAACTCATTTTGAAGGCCAGACATGGTGTGGCTCATACCTGTAACCCCAGCACTCTGGGAGGCTGAAGCAGGAGGATCACTTGAGGCCAGGAGTTTGAGACCATCCTGGGTGACACAGTGAGATCTCATCTACAAAAAATGAAAAATTAGCTAGGTCCAGTGGCTCGTGCCTGTGGGCCCACCTCCTGGGGAGACTGTGGCAGGAGGAGGATTGCTTGAGCCTGGGATGTCAAGGCTGCAATGAACCATAATCACACCACTGCACCCCAGCCAAGGCGACAGAGCAAGATCCTGTCTCAAAGAAACAGACAACAACTCAGTCTGTGGAAGAGGGGGACATATAAACAATGACTATCCAATGTACCAGTTACAATGATTGAGGTATACAGCAAGGGCCACTAACACAAAACAGAAAGGAAAGCATTTGGGCAGTGACTGTGGGTCAGGGGAGAGGCAGTTCCCAGAGAAGGAAATCTTGACTTGAGTTTTATTTATTTATTTTAATTTTTATATTTTTGAGATGGAGTCTCACTCTGTCACCCAGGCTGGAGTACAGTGGTGCGATCTCGGCTCGCCGAGCCACCACACCTCGCCAGGTTTCAAGGGATAAGTAGGATACATGAAAGTTTGGTAGGAAACAAAGAGTAAGAGATTTCAGGCCCAGGCTGGGCACGGTGGCTCACACCTGTAATCCCAGCTCTTTGGGAGGCTGAGGCAGATAGCTTGAGTTCAGGAGTTCGAGACAAGCCTGGGCAACATGGCAAGACCCTGTCTCTAAAAAATATATAAATTAAAAATAAATTCAGGCCAGGCGCAGTGACTCACATCTGTAATCCCAGCACTTAGGGAGGCCAAGGTGGGTGGATCATTTGAGGTCAGGAGGTTGAGACCAGCCTGACCAACGTGATGAAATTCTATCTCTACCAAAAAATTAAAAAATTAGTCAGGTGTGATGGTGCATATCTGTAGTCCCAGGTACTTGGGTGGCTGAGGCAGGAGAATCACTTGAACCAGGGAGGTGGAGGTTGCAGTGAGCCGAGATGGTGCCACTGCACTCCAGCCTGGGTGACAGAGCAAGACTCTGTCTCAAAAATAAATAAATAAATTAATTTTAAAAAAGAGATTTCAGGCCCATGTCAAGGGCAAAGAACAGAGTCAAAAAAGAAAAATTGCTGGCCAGGGCAGGGCCTGGTGGCTCATGCCTATAATCTTAGCAGTTTGGTAGGCTGCGGTGGGAGCATCACTTGAGGCCAGGAGTTTCAGACCAGCCTGGGCAACATAGCAAATCCCTGTCTCTATTTCTTTAAAAAAAAAAAAAAAAATCTGGCCAGAAAAACCACATCCAAACCAAAGACATATTTAGTTTTGCTCGCACAACATTTTTAGAAATTTTTGAATTAGTTGCCAACATTGAAAGATCTAGAGCTTTCACATAAAAATCCATATTTCTACTTTATCTTGAAAAGCCAAGTTTGGCTACACAGGGCCAGCATTTCTTCATGGTGACAAGTGGCTGGCACCACCACAGCCCCTCCACTCCCTGTTCTGGTTCACCCGCCCTGCCTCAGATGCTCATGTTACCTGCACAGTCCTCTCTAGTGAATGAAAGACGGCTGCCAATCCTTTGTAAATTTCCACATCAAAAGAAGTTGGCTGGGTGTGGTGGCTCACACCTTTAATCCCGGCACTTTGGGAGGCAAAGGTGGATGGATCACCTGAGCTCAGGGGTTTGAGACCAGCCTGGCCAATATGGTGAAACCCCATCTGTTGCCAAAAAGAGTGGTTTGTTTGTTTGTTTGTTTATTTGTGTATAGACAGGGTCTCACTCTATTACCCAGGCTGGAGTGCAGTGGTGTGATCATAGCTCACTGCAGACTTGACCTCTTGGGCTCAAGCGATCCTCCCACCTCAGCCTCCCAAGCAGCTGGAACTATAGGCACACGCCACCTATAGTCTGGCTAATTTTTAAATATTTTTAGAGACAAGGGTCTTACTTTGTTGCCCAGGCTGGTCTTGAACTCCTGGCCCTAAGTGATCCTCCTGCCTTGGCCTCCCAAAATGCTGGGATTAGAGGTGTGAGCCACTGCACCCAGCCCGCTAACTTTTTATATTATTCGTTGAGTTAGGATCTCTCTGTGTTGCCCAGGCTAGTCTTGAACTCCTGGGCTCAAGAAATCCTCCTGCCTTGGCCCCTCAAAGTGCTGGGATTACAGGTGTGAGCCACCACACTGGAGCCATTATTTATTATTATTTTGTTTGTTTGTTTGTTTTGAAACAGGGTTGCACTTTGTTGCCCAGGTTGGAGTACAGCAGTGTGATGTTGGCTCACTGCAACCTCTGCCTCCCTGGTTCAAGCAATCCTCCCACCTCAGCCTCCTGAGTAGCTGGGACAACAGGTGCATGCCCAGCTAATTTTGTATATTTTTTGTAGACACAAGGTTGCACCATATTGCCCAGGCAGTTCTTGAACTTCTGAGCTCAACTGATCCACCCGCCTTGGCCTCCCAAAGTGCTATGATTATAGGTGTGAGCCACTGCACCTGGCCAAATTGACAACCATTTTGTTATTTCTCATTATTCTGGGATTTTGAGCAGAAGCATCCTGAGAAAGGAAGCAAAACCTTTTAGTCTACTGAAAGGATAGGCCTGTAATTGTCACAGAATAACTTCTACCACATTCTATCAGTTAAGCAGTCATGGGAGCTGGGTGTGGTGGCTCATGCCTGTAATCTCAGCACTTTGGGAGGCTGAGGTGGGCGGATCGCCTGAGGTCAGGAGTTTCAGACCAGCCTGGCCAACATGGTGAAACCCCATCTCTACTAAAAATACAAAAATTAGCCAGCTGTGGTGGCGTGTGCCTGTAACCCCAGCTACTCAGGAGGCTGAGGCACGAGAATCGCTTGAACCCAAGAGGTGGAGGTTGCAGTGAGCTGAGATTGTGCCACTGCACTCCAGCCTGAGTGATGGAACAAGACTCTGTTTCAAATAAGTAAGTGAGTAAGTAAGTAAGTAAGTAAGTAAATAAATAAATAAAAGATGGATCAGAAGAAGGTGAGATGGCCTGCAGATTACTTAGGGGGTTCCTGCAATGGTAGAAGCAACTCAACTCAGGTAGTGTCGGTAGTGATGAAGAGAAAAGGGGAGATTCAAGGTCAAGACTCCTCACTCCAGGAGGCCCTCCCTGGGGTTCTAATGGGACATGCAGGTCAGAACCAGGAAACACAGAGACAGGTTTGTACCTCAGAGACAGGCTGAGAGTCATCAGAGTTTGCAATTGAAGCTGCCTATGTGGATAAGATAGTGTGGGGAGTTTGAGTGCAATAAGAAGAGATGGAGGTGCGGGACTCACGTCTGTAATCCCAGCACTTTGGGAGGCTGAGATGGGTGGGTTGCTTAGGGCCAGGAGTTTAAGACCAGCCTGGGCAACATTATGGGACCCCCCCCGCCTCTCCAAAAACCAGAAGTATTAGCCAGGCATGGTGTTGCACGCCTTTAGTCCCAGCACTTTGGGAGGCTGAGGCAGGAGGATCGCCTGAGCCCAGGACTTTGAGGCTGCAGTGAGCTGTAATTGCACCCCTGCACTCCAGCCTGGGTGACAGAACAAGACCCTGAATCTAAATAAGTAACTAAGAGGTGGAGTCCTGGGAGGACTCTGGGTGTAATGAGTAAAGCAGAGGAAGAGACACCCCACAGGGGATTGACAGAGAAAGCCATAGAGAAAGATGAGAACAAGGGGAGGGTGCGTCGTCGCATATTCGAAAGGAACATGTTCAAGGAGGAGGCATAGTCAGTAGCATTGGATGGACACCAAAACGTGTTTGCCTGATTTGATGACCAGGAAGTTACTGGTGGCCCTGCTGAGGGCAAATCTTTTTTTTTTTTTTTTTTAATGGAGTTTCGCTCTGTCACCCAGGCTGGAGTGCAATGGCTCAATCTCGGCTCACTGCAACCTCTGTCTCCCGGGTTCAAGCGATTCTCCTGCCTCAGCCTCCCCAGTAGCTGGGATTACAGGTGTGCGCCACCACACCCAGCTAATTTTTGTGTTTTTAGTAGAGATGGGGTTTCACCATGTTGGCCAGGGTGGTCTTGAACTCCTGACCTCAGGTGATCTGCCTGCCTCAGCCTCCCAAAGTGTTGGGATAACAGGCGTGAGCCACCGGGCCTGGCTGGTGAGGGCAAATATATGTGGAATGGCGAGGGCAGAAGACAGACTCAAGTAGGTGGAAAAGTAGGAAATGAGGAAGTGGAGACAGTGAGTGTCCACCACTCTCTCAAGAAACTCACATGTGAACAATAGGAGTGAAATAGGGAAGTGGTTTGAGGTTGCCAAGTTGAGAGAGGTTCCCCCTGCACACAGGAACCTGGGTGTGTTTTATATCCTGAAAAGAGAGGGTCTGCAGAGAGAGGCCTGCCAGTAGAGGAGAAAAGGGTGAAACGATGAGGTGAGATCACTGAAGAAATGGGAGGAATGTGTCCCAAGAGGGATCGGCCTTGGGCCCAATGAGAACCATTACTTTAAAAACATTTTTTTAGAGACAGGGTCTCCTTCTGTCATCCAGGCTGGAATGCAGTGGCGCAATCATAGTTCACTGAAGCCTCCAACTCCTGGGCTCAAGGGATCCTCCTGCTTCAGCCTCCCGAGTAGTTAGGACTACAGGCACATGCCATCACACGTGGCTAATATTTTATTTTATTTATTTATTTATTTATTTGAGACAGAGTTTCGCTCTTGCTGCCCAGGCTGGAGTGCAATGGTACAATCTCAGCTCATTGCAACCTCCGCCTCCCGGGTTCAAGCAATTCTCCTGCCTCAGCCTCCCAAGTAGCTGGGATTACAGGCATGCGCCACCACGCCTGGCTAATTTTTTGTATTTAGTAGAGACAGAGTTTCACCATGTTGGTCAGGCTGATATCGAACTCCTGACCTCGGGTGATCCGCCCGCCTTGGCCTCCCAAAGTGCTGGGATTACAGGCATTAGCCACCGTGTCCAGCCCATATTTTATATTTTGTAGAAATGGAGTCTCACTATGTTGTTCAGGCTTGTCTCAATCTCCTGGCCTCAAATGATCCTCCTGCCTTGGCCTCCAGAAGTGCTGGGATTTCAGGCATGAGCCACTGTGCCCGGGCAGGAGTGCTTTCAGAATGTGAGTCAGTGCTGACCCTGCAGGTAGATGGAAGATCAGGGCCACATGAGGAGGTGCCAGGCTACCAGAGCAACCTCTTGCCAATGAAACTGTTACTTCTTTACCTGGAGACTTGTGGGGGCTCCGTGCTACTCACTGGAGAAAACTCCTTGAGAAGGCTCTGTTTGAGGTCCCCCATGCTCTGCCCCTATGGACCTTCCCAGCATTCTGACCTTTCCTCTCACCCCAAGCATCTGAGGCCCCAGCCTTGGGGGACAGCTCTCCATTCCCTAAAACGTCATGATCTTTTCCTGCCTTCATCTGAATGGCTCTTCTCCCTCCTGCCTCTCTTCTTTGCTTGGCAGACTCCTATTCAATACCTAGTTCAGGCCAGGAGCAGTGGCTCACGCCTGTAATCCCAGCACTCTGGGAGGTGAGGCAGGCGGATCACCTGAGGTCAGGAGTTTGAGACCAGCCTGGGCAGTATAGCAAGACCCCATCTCTAAAAAAATAGAAAAATTAGACAGGTGTGGTGGCTTGCACCTGGAATCCCAACACTTTGGGGTGCCCAGGCGGGCGGATCACCTGAGGTCCGGAGTTCGAGACCAGCCTGGCCAACATGGTGAAACCTGTCTCTACAAAAAATAGAAAAATTAGACAGGTGTGGTGGCTCACACCTGGAGTCCCAGCACTTTGAGAGGCCGAGGCATGCAGATCACTCTGAGGTCAGGAGTTCAAGACCAGCTCAGCCAACATGGCAAAACCCCATCTCTACTAAAAATACAAAAATTAGCTGGGCATGGTGGCAGGCACCTATAATCCCAGCTACTCTGGAGGTGGAGGCAGGAGAATTGCTTGAACCTGCGGGGAGGAGGTTGCAGTGAGCCGAGATCGTGCCACTGCACTCCAGACTGGGCGAAACAGCAAAACTCCATATCAAAATAAAGAAATCATGTCTGCTATGGCAGACCCACAGTCAGCTGCAGCTCTGAGCCAACTGCAGGATGAAGAACCATTGCCTAATTGGAAAGTGTCAGCATCCCAGAATTCAAAAAAGAAATCTGATGAGGCTTTTCCTGCTTGATATATTATATGGAGAATTTAGATCTTATGTTGGTTTGCACAAGTTCCCTGCAGAAAAAAAAATTGCTCTGTGTATATCTCTTGGAAAATAAGATAATACTATTTTTCCTTTGCAAAGGCAGCTATAACAGATGTGAAGACTCAGTGCTCGGTGGTGCCCAGGCTGGAGTGCAGTGGCGTGGTCTCGGCTCGCTACAACCCCGTCTGGGAAGTGAGGAGCGTCTCTGCCTGGCCACCCATCGTCTGGGATGTGGGGAGCCCCTCTGCCTGGCTGCCCAGTCTGGGAGGTGAGGAGCGTCTCCGACCGGCCGCCATCCCATCTAGGAGGTGAGGAGCGCCTCTTTCCGGCCGCCATCACATCTAGGAAGTGAGGAGCGTCTCTGCCCGGCCGCCCATCGTCTGAGATGTGGGGAGAACCTCTGCCCCGCCGCCCCGTCTGGGATGTGAGGAGCACCTCTGCCCGGCCACGACCCCGTCTGGGAGGTGAGGAGCATCTCTGCCCCGCCGCCCCGTCTGAGAAGTGAGGAGACCCTCTGCCCGGCAACCACCCCGTCTGAGAAGTGAGGAGACCCTCCACCCGGCAGCCGCCCCGTCTGAGAAATGAGGAGCCTCTCCGCCCAGCAGCCACCCCGTCTGGGAAGTGAGGAGCGTCTCCGCCCGGCAGCCACCCCGTCCGGGAGGGAGGTGGGGGGGGTCAGCCCCCCGCCAGGCCAGCAGCCCCATCCGGGAGGGAGGTGGGGGGGTCAGCCCCACGCCCCGCCAGCCGCCCCGTCAGGGAGGGAGGTGGGGGGGTCAGCCCCCCGCCAGGCCAGCCGCCCCGTCCGGGAGGGAGGTCGGGGCGTCAGCCTCCCGCCTGGCCAGCCGCCCCGTCCGGGAGGTGAGGGGCGCCTCTGCCTGGTCACCCCTACTGGGAAGTGAGGAGCCCCTCTGCCCGGCCAGCGGCCCCGTCCGGGAGGGAGGTGGGGGGGTCAGCCCCCCACCCGGCCAGCCGCCCCGTCCGGGAGGGAGGTGGGGGGGGGTCAGCCCCCCGCCCGGCCAGCGGCCCCGTCCGGGAGGGAGGTGGGGGGGGTCAGCCCCCCGCCCGGCCAGCCGCCCGGTCCGGGAGGGAGGTGGGGGGGGTCAGCCCCCCGCCCGGCCAGCCGCCCCGTCCCGGAGGGAGGTGGGGGGGTCAGCCCCCCGCCCGGCCAGCCGCCCCGTCCGGGAGGGAGGTAGGCGGGTCAGCCCCCCGCCCGGCCAGCCGCCCCGT
Organism: Homo sapiens; assembly: GCF_000001405.40. Classification (NCBI taxonomy): domain Eukaryota; kingdom Metazoa; phylum Chordata; class Mammalia; order Primates; family Hominidae; genus Homo; species Homo sapiens. Next base: position 30,169,561 of record NC_000016.10, read on the forward strand.
CAGGGAGGGAGGTGGGGGGTTCAGCCCCCCGCCAGGCCAGCCGCCCGGTCCGGGAGGGAGGTCGGGGCGTCAGCCCCCCGCTCGGCCAGCCGCCCCGTCCGGGAGGTGAGGGGCGCCTCTGCCCGGCCGCCCCTACTGGGAAGTGGGGAGCCCCTCTGCCAGGCCAGCCGCCCCGTCCGGGAGGGAGGTGGCGGGGTCAGCCCCCCGCCCGGCCAGCCGCCCCGTCCGGGAGGGAGGTGGGGGGGTCAGCCCCCCGCCCGGCCAGCCGCCCCGTCCGGGAGGTGACGGGCGCCTCTGCCCGGCCGCCCCTACTGGGAAGTAAGGAGCCCCTCTGCCAGGCCAGCCGCCCCGTCCGGGAGGGAGGTGGCGGGGTCAGCCCCCCGCCCGGCCAGCCGCCCCGTCCGGGAGGGAGGTGGGGGGGTCAGCCCCCCGCCCGGCCAGCCGCCCCGTCTGGGAGGTGAGGGGCGCCTCTGCCTGGCCACCCCTACTGGGAAGTGAGGAGCCCCTCTGCCAGGCCAGCCGCCCCATCCGGGAGGGAGGTGGGGGGGTCGGCCCCCCGCCGGGCCAGCCGCCCCGTCCGGGAGGGAGGTGGGGGGGTCAGCCCCCCGCCCGGCCAGCCGCCCCGTCCGGGAGGTGACGGGCGCCTCTGCCCGGCCGCCCCTACTGGGAAGTAAGGAGCCCCTCTGCCAGGCCAGCCGCCCCGTCCGGGAGGGAGGTGGCGGGGTCAGCCCCCCGCCCGGCCAGCCGCCCCGTCCGGGAGGGAGGTTGGGGGGTCAGCCCCCGCCCGGCCAGCGGCCCCGCCCGGGAGGTGAGGGGCGCCTCTGCCCGGCCACCACCCCGTCTGGGAGGTGTGCCCAACAGCTCATTGAGAACGGGCCAGGATGACAATGGCGGCTTTGTGGAATAGAAAGGCGGGAAAGGTGGGGAAAAGATTGAGAAATCGGATGGTTGCCGTGTCTGTGTAGAAAGAAGTAGACATGGGAGACTTTTCATTTTGTTCTGTACTAAGAAAACTTCTGCCTTGGGATCCTGTTGATCTGTGACCTTACCCCCAACCCTGTGCTCTCTGAAACATGTGCTGTGTCCACTCAGGGTTAAACGGATTAAGGGCGGTGCAAGATGTGCTTTGTTAAACAGATGCTTGAAGGCAGCATGCTCGTTAAGAGTCATCACCAATCCCTAATCTCAAGTAATCAGGGACACAAACACTGCGGAAGGCCGCAGGGTCCTCTGCCTAGGAAAACCAGAGACCTTTGTTCACTTGTTTATCTGCTGACCTTCCCTCCACTATTGTCCTATGACCCTGCCAAATCCCCCTCTGTGAGAAACACCCAAGAATTATCAATAAAAAATAAATAAATTAAAAAAAAAAAAAAAACAGATGTGAAAATAAATACACTCAACTCTAATATGATTATACAGAAGAGCATGAATGCATTTCAAATGTTAGATGTTGCTAGTATTATCAAATGATTTATTTTTCTTTTCTTTTCTTCTTTTCTTTTCTTTTTTTTTTTTTTTTGAAACAGGGTCTCTCTGTCACCGAGGCTGGGGTGCAGTGACACAATCATGGCCTAATGCAACCTCGACCTGCTGAGCTTAAGCAATCCTCCCACCTCACCCGCCCCCAGAGTGGCTGGGACTGCAGGCACGTGCCACTGTGCCCAGTTATTTATTTTTTCCTTTTAAATTTTTTGTAGAGACAAGGTCCTACTACGTTACCCAGGCTGGTCTCAAACTCCTGGACTCAAGCAATCCTCCCACCTCGGCCTTCCGAAGTGCTAGGATTATGGGCCTGAGTCACCACACTCAGCCTCAAATAATTTCATATTGACCTTTTAATCATTATTCCTCTCTGCCAAGCACTGAAAAGTTGAATCATTATACTCTATTTCTGCAGTGATATAGATTATGAAAATTCCTTTCGAATTCATTGCAGCAGCTAACTTTTTTGAGTCATTGACTTCATTTTATATTTTAAAAATTATGAAATACCGTCTGTCATTGCATTCTAATTAAAATTTGTGCAGAATGCTTTGGGAAAATGGATCTTTTATAGAAAAAAAACTGGAACAAATGATTTCTTTTCTTTCTTTTTTTTGTTTTTTGAGATGGGGTCTTGCTCTGTTGCCCAGGCTGGAGTGCAGTGGCATGATCTCGGCTCACTGCAACCTCCGCCTCCCGTGTTCAAGCAATTCTCTGCTTCAGCCTCCACAGTAGCTAGGACTACAGGTGCCCACTACCATACCCGGCTAATTTTTGTATTTTTAGTAGAGATGGGGTTTCACCATATTAGCCAAGCTGGTCTTGAACTCCTGACCTTTTGATCCACCCACCTTGGCCTCCCAAAGTGCTGAGATTACAGGCGTGAGCCACCACGCTCGGCCTGGGACAAATGATTTCTATGGCTTTCAAAGATAAAATATATAATATACTAAATCAGGGGTGTCCAATCTTTTGGCTTCCCCGGACCACATTGGAAGAAGAATTGTCTTGGGCCACACATAAAATATACTAACGATAGCTAATGGGCTAAAAAAAAAAAATCACAAAAAAATCTCATAATGTTTTAAGTTTACCAATTTGTGTTGGTCTGCATTCAAAGCCATCCTGGATCATCCTGGGGTTGCACAAGCTTGCACTAAACCAACTCTAACATAGCTTATTCTGTTTTACTGTTAAATTATATCTCTGGGCTGGGCAAGGTGGCGCATGCCTGTAATCCCAGCACTTTGGAAGGCCAAGGTGGGCAGATCACTTGAGGCCAGGAGTTTGAGACCAGCCTGGACAACATGGCGAAACCCCATCTCTACTAAAAATAGAAAAATTGGCTGGGCACGGTGGCTCATGCCTGTAATCCCAGCACTCTGGGAGGCCGAGGCAGGCAGATCATGAAGTCAGGAGTTCAAGACCAGCCTGGTCAACATGGTGAAACCCCATCTCTACTAAAAATACAAAAAATTAGCCAGGTGTGGGCCGGTTGCGGTGGCTCACACCTGTAATCCCAGCACTTTGGGAGGCCGAGGCAGGAGGATCACAAGGTCAGGAGATCGAGACCAACCTGGCTAACACGGTGAAACCCCGTGTCTACTAAAAATACAAAAAATTAGCTGGGTGCGGTGGTGGGTGCCTGTAGTCCCAGCTACTCGGGAGGCTGAGGCAGGAGAATGGCGTGAACCTGAAAGACGGAGCTTGCAGTGATCACACCACTGCACTCCAGCCTGGGCGACAGAGCGAGACTCTGTCTCAAAAAAAAAAAAAAAAAAAATTAGCTGGGTGTGGTGGCACACACCTGTAATCCCAGCTACTCCGGAGGCTGAGGCAGGAGAATTGTTTGAACCCAGAAGGCGGAGGCTGCAGTTAGCTGAGATCATGCCACTGCACTCCAGACTGGGCGATAGAGCAAGACTCTGTTTTGAAAAAAAATAAATTAGCCAGGAGGGTTGGTGCACTCCTATAGTCCCTGCTACGTGGGAGGCTGAGGCATGAGAATTGCTTGAACCCAGGAAGTGGAGGCTGTAGCAAACTGAGATTGTGCCACTGCACTCCAGCCTGGGCAACAGAGCGACAACCCGTCTGCGAAAAAAAAAAAAAAAAAAAAGCTTTTATGGATGATTAAATTTTAGTACATTTCCAAAAAAAAAATTCTTGCTAAATTTAGGTGTAATTAATTATGTATTACGTAATGGTACTGTGGTTAGGTAAAGTAATCCTTATCTGACATACAATAATATGACGAATCTCAAAACATTATGAAAAGTGAAAAAAAGCAGACCCGTATTGTATATTTCATTTGTGTGGAACATTCTAGAACAGGCAAAATTAATCTATAATGACAGCAAAAAGATCAATCGCTGTCTGGGGCTGAGGTTGGGGATTGATTGGGGAAGGAACTTATTTTTTTTATTTTTATTTTTTTTGAGATGGAGTCTCGCTCTGTCGCCCAGGCTGGAATGCAGTGGCGCGATCTTGGCTCACTGCAACGTCCGCCTCCTGGGTTCAAGCGATTCTCCTGCCTCAGCCTCCTGAGTAGCTGGGACCACAGGTACTTGCCACCACGCCCGGCTAATTTTTTGTATTTTTAGTAGAGATGGGGTTTCACCGTGTTGGCCAGAATAGTCTCAATCTCCTGACTGGCAGCCACTGCGCCTGGCGAGTGGAAGGAAATTTTAAGGGTGATGGGAGTATTTCATATTTTGATTATGGTAGTAATTACATGGGTATGTATATTTGTCAAAACTAACTGAATCATGCACTTAAAATGAATGTGCTTTATTGTATGAAAATTAAAGTGGGCTGCGCGCAGAGGCTCACGCCTGTAATCCTAGCACTTTGGGAGCCTGAGGCGGGTGGATCACGAGGTCAGGAGTTTGAGACCAGTGTGGCCACATAGTGAAACCCTGTCTCAACTAAAAATACAAAAAATTAGCCGGCTGTGGTGGTGTGCACCTGTAATCCTAGCTACGTGGGAGGCTGAGGTAGGAGAATCACGTGAACCCGGGAGGCGGAGGTTTCAGTAAGCTGAGATCGCACTACTGCACTCCAGCCTGGGTGACAGCGTGAGACTCCGTCTCAAAAAAAAAAAAAAAAAAAAAAAAAAAGATAAAAAAAGAAAATTAAAGTGTGTTTTGTTGTATGTAAATAAAGTTTGTTTTAAAAAGAAGGAAAATAACGTTACAACTAGAATAAAAATAATCCGCCAGGCATGGTGGTGCACACCTGTAATCCTAGCACTTTGGGAGGCCAAGGTGGGAGGATCGCTTGAGCCCAGGAATTCAAGACCAGTCTTGGCAAAATGGTGAAACCCTGTCTCTACAGAAAATGCAAAAATTAGCCAGTTGTGGTGATGAGCACCTGTCCCAGCTACTTGGGAGGCTGAGGCAGGAGACTTGCTTGAACCCAGGAGGAAGAGGTTGCAGTGAGCTGAGATCTCGTCACTGCACTGGAATTACAGGCACACGCCACCACGTCCAGCTAATTTTTGTATTTTTGTAGAGACGGGTTTTTGTGATGTTGGCCAGGCTGGTCTCAAACTTCTGACCTCAGGTGATCTGCCCACCTTGACCCTGAAAAGTGCTGGGATTACAGGTTTGAGCCACTGCATCTGGCCAGATCTAAGAGATTTTTTTTTAAGTCTCTGTGTGTTAGAGGTAAATACTGAAGTTTTTTTTTTTTGTTTTTTTGAGATGGAGTCTCACTGTGTCGCCAGTCTGGAGTGCAGTGGCATGATCTTAGCTCACTGCAACCTCCACCTCCTGTGTTCAGGCGATTCTCCTGCCTCAGCCTCCCGAGTAGCTGAGACTACAGGTGTGCACCACCACGCCCAGCTAATTTTTCTGTTTTTAGTAGAGATGGGGTTTCACCATGTTGGCCAGGATGGTCTCAATCTCTTGACCTAGTGATCTGCCCACCTCAGCCTCCCAAAGTGCTGGGATTACAGGTGTGAGCCACTGTGCCTGGCTAATACTGAAGTATTTAAGTTGAAATGCTATGATGTCTGAGATTTGTTTTAATACATTCTGTTTTTTTTTGTTTTGTTTTGTTTTGAGACGGAGTCTCAATCTGTCGCCCAGGCTGGAGTGCAGTGGCGCAATCTCAGCTCACTGCAAGCTCTGCCTCCCGAGTTCACGCCATTCTCCTGCCTCAGCCTCCCGAGAAGCTGGGACTACAGGCGCCCACCACCTCGCCTGGCTAATTTTTTGTATTTTTAGTAGAAACAGGGTTTCACCATGTTAGCCAGGACGGTCTCGATCTCCTGACCTTGTGATCCGCCCGCCTCAGCCTCCCAAAGTGCTGGGATTACAGGCGTGAGCCACTGCGCCCGGCTGTTTTAATACACTCTAAGAAAATAATGTGAAAAAAGAAATGAATCAATGTTTGCTAATATTGCCATATTTGAATCAAATATTGCCAATATATGTTGACCATTGTCAAAGCTGGATGATGGGTACAAAAGAGTTTATTATACAATTATTCCCGTTTTCTGTATTTGAAAATGTCTACAGGCCGGGCATGGTGGCACATGCCTGTAATCCCAGCACTTTGGGAGCCTGAGGCAGGAGGATCACTTGAGGTCAGGAGTTGGAGACCAGCCTGGCCAACATGGTGAAACCCCATCACTACTACAGATACAAAATTAGCTGGGTGTGGTGGTGCATGCCTGTAATTCCAGCTACTCAGGAGGCTGAGGCAGGAGAATCATTTGAACCCAGGAGGTGAAGGTTGCAGTAAGCTGAGATTGCAGCATTGCACTCCAGACTGGGCAACAGAATGAGACTCTGTCTCAAAAAAAATTGGCTGCATGAGGTGGCTCATGCCAGTAGTCCCGGCACTTTAGGAGCCCAAGGTAGAGGATTGCTTGAGCCTAGGAGGTCGAGTCCACAGTGAGCTCTAATCGAGCCACTGCACTCCAGCCTGGGTGATAGAGTGAGACCCTGATTCAAAAAATAAAAATAAAGTTAACAAATTCTTGAAAACAGATAAAATAGGCTGGGCGCAGTGGCTCACGCCTGTAATCCTAGCATTTTGGGAGGCCAGGGCAGGCAGATCACCTGAGGTCAGGAGTTTGAGACCAGCCTGGCCAACATGGTGAAGCCCCATCTCCACTAAAAATAGAAACAAATTAGCTGGGCATGGTGGTGAACATCTGTAATCCCAGCTACTCAGGAGGCTGAGGCAGGAGAGTCGCCTCAACCTGGGAGGCAGAGGTTGGAGTGAACCAAGATTGTGCCATTGCACTCCTGCCTGAACAACAGAGTGAAACTCCATCTCAAAAATAATAATAATAATAATAATAAGAGATAAATCCTTATTACCATCAAAAGTTAAAAAAGAAGAAAGAAGGGCCGGGAGCAGTGGCTCACGCCTGTAATCCCAGCATTTTGGGAGGCCGAGGCGGACGGATCATGAGGTCAGGAGATCAAGACCATCCTGGCTAACAGGGTGAAACCCCGTCTCTACTAAAAATACAAAAAAATTAGCCGGGTATGGTGGCGAGCACCTGTAGTCCCAGCTACTTGGGAGGCTGAGGCAGGAGAATGGCGTGAACCCAGGAGGTGGAGCTTGCAGTGAGCTGAGATGGCACCACTGCACTCCAGCCTGGGCAACAGAGCGAGACTCTGTCTCAAAAAAAAAAAAGAAGAAGAAGAAGAAGGAAACCTAGTTCAAATTTTGATAAGGAAAAAAAAAAAGAGAGAATTTGTTGCTTCACATAATGGAAAGGATCTAGCTTCAAGTGCGGCTGGACCCAGGGCGGGCTCCGGGAGTCTGTCTTGTTCTCTCCCTTTCTTGACCCTACTGTCCTCTAGGTTGGTTCTGTTCTCAGGCAGTTTTGCTTCAGATGAAGGTGGGATGACTACCAGCATTTCTTAGACTTCTATCCTATAATGTGAGTCATCCAACAGAAAGTTCCAATAAAAGGCCTGCAATTAGCACTTTGGGAGGCCGAGGTGGGCGGATCACCTGAGGTCAGGAGTCCCAAACCAGCCTGACCAACATGGTGAAACCCCGTCTCTACTAAAAAAATATGGAAGTAGCCAGGCTTGGTGGTGCATGCCTGTAATCCCAGCTCCTCAGGAGGCTGAGGCAAGGAGAATCGCTTGAACCTGGAAGGTGGAAGTTGCAGTGAGCCGTGATTGCGCCATTGCACTCCAGCCTGAGCAACAAGAGCAAAACTCTGTCTCAAAAAAAAAAAAAAAAAAAAAGGCCTGGAATTAGTTCGCAGGGCACTGTTGGCCTGGCCTGGGTCTCCAGCGCTCATCACTCCTCTCTTAATCAGCTGTTCTCTAATGGCAGGAGTGTGCTAATTAGCCTCTGAATCCCCAGCACAAAGCACCCTGCCTGGGACACAAGTAGGTGGGTGGATGGATGGACAGATGGGTGAGGAAGAGGATAGAAAATAAGCAACACAGTGAGACCATGTCTCTAAAAAAATTAAAAGAGGGCTGGGTGAGGTGGCTCAGGCCTATAATCCCAGCACTTTGGGAAAAGCTGAAGCGGGAGAATTGCTTGCATTCAGGAGTTCAAGACCAACCTGGGCAATAATGCAAAACCCCCATCTCCACAAAAAATTTAAAAATTAGCTGGGTATTATGGCACTTGCCTGTAGTCCCAGTGACTCGAGAGGCTGAGGTGGGAGGATCGCTCACTTGAGCCTGGGAGGTGGAGGCTGCAGTGAGCTGTGATTGTGCCACTGCACGCCAGCCTGGGCGACAGAGTGAGACGCTGTCTCAAAAATAAATTAATTAAATTAAATAAAAAATAAGAAAAAGAGCTGGGCACGGTGGCTCACGCCTGTAATTTCAGCACTTTGGTAGGCCAAGATGAGCAGATCGCCTGAGGTCAGGAGTTTGAGACCAGCCTGGACAACATGGTGAAATCCCATGTCTACTAAAAATTCAAAAAATTTGGCCGGGCGTGGTGGCTCACGCCTGTAATCCCAGCACTTTGGGAGGCCGAGGCGGGTGGATCATGAGGTCAGGAGATCGAGACCATCTTGGCTAACACAGTGAAACCCCGTCTCTACTAAAAATACAAAAAATTAGCCGGGAGCGGTGGCAGGCTCCTGTAGTCCCAGCTACTTGAGAGGCTGAGGCAGGAGAATGGCGTGAACCCAGGAGGCGGAGCTTGCAGTGAGCCGAGATCGCGCCACTGCACTCCAGCCTGGGCGACAGAGCCAGACGCTGTCTCAAAAAAAAAAAAAAAAAAAAAAAAAAAAAAATTCAAAAAATTAGCCGGGCGTGGTGGCGGGCACCTGTAATCCCTGCTACTTGGGAGCCTGAGGCAGGAGAATCGCTTGAACCTGGGAGGTGGAGGTTGCAGTGAGCCAAGGTCGGGTTACTGCACTCCAGCCTGGGCGACAGTGTAAGACTCTGTCTCAAAAAAAATAAAAAATAAAAAATAAGAAAAATAAGAAAAGGGTCCCTTTCACATGTTTACAAAGCATGCTACCATGCTAAGGGCAGAAACTCCAAGTGGAAGTGACTTCCCAAAGACAGCATGTTACGTGTGTCATTCTAGGGCCACACTTTCTCCATGGAGAAGGCGGAGGGGGTAGGGAAAGTTGCCAGCACACTCCAGCCTGGTTCCTGGCACTGTGCCCAGCATTTATAGCTAGTTTCCATTAGTCCTCATCCTCTATAAAGTGAGGGCCACTGTGCACCTGTCCTAGATGAGGAAAACGCACCTGGCCAGGGACAGTAAGGAGATGCTGAAACCAAGGTTATCAGGGGTGCCTGACCCCACCATGCTCCACAGCCTCCTTTGGGCAAGACAGACTAGGGAAGCTCTGTGAACCTTGCTAAAGACATTGGACTTTGGCCGGGCATGGTGGTTCACGCTTGTAATCCCAGCACTTTGGGAGGCCCAGGTGGGTAGATCACCTGAGGTCAGAAGTTCAAGACCAGCCTGGCCAACATGGTGAAACCCCCTCTCTACTAAAAATACAAAAATTTGCCAGGCAAGGTGGCATGCACCGTAATCCCAGCTACTCGGGAGGCTGAGTCAGGAGAATCGCTTGAACCTAGGAGGCGCAGGTCACAGTGAGCAGAGATTGTACCACTGTACTCAAGCCTGGGTGACAGTGAGACTCTGTCTCAAAAAAAAAAAAAATAAATAAATAATAAAAATAAAAAGAGGAGTAATGATTTGATTCCAACACTTCAGTCTACCTCTACTGTAGGTATCTGGCTCCTTGGAAGGGCCTCTGGTCCTGTCTCCCTCCAGGGTAGGTGTAATCAGAACTTTTTCAGCTGCAAGTGCCAGGAATCCAACTCATACTTCTTGGCTTACGTGAAAAAGAAGTGCATTGCCTTATACAACAGGAAAGTTAAGGGTTTCAGGCACAGCTTGATCCAGACACTCAAATGATCTCAAGAATATGTCTCTTCATATCTGGCCTCTTCAGGCCTCTGTGTAGACCCATCCTAGCCAGCTTTTTGCTGTTTTTTTTGTTTTTGTTTTTTGTTTTTTTTTTTTTGAGACAGAGTCTTGCTCTGTCGTCCAGGCTGGCGTGATCTCGGGTTACCAAAACTCCCACCTCCTCAGTTCAAACTATTCTCCTGCCTCAGCTTCCCAAGCAACTGAGACTACAGGTGCACACCACCATGCCTGGCTACTTTTTATATTTTTAGTGGAGACAGGTTTTGCCATGTTGGCCAGGCTGGTCTCAAACTCCTGGCCTCAGGTGATCTGCCTGCCTCGGCCTCCCAAAGTGCTGGGATTACAGGCGTGAGCCACTGCACCTTGCTCTGACCAGCTTTTCCTGCATACCAACAAGATATCACCAGCAGTGCTGGGCTTACATCCTATCAGCTTCCTAACTCCCAGTGGAGAGAGGGCATCTTTTTCACAGCAGCTCCAAGGTGAGTCTTGGGCACAAGATGAATCAAGTGCCCATCCCTGAGCCAATGAAAACAGGTTGCTTTGGTTGGGAAGCACAGGCCATGTGAATACGCCAGGTCCCCTCCTGAACCTCATGGAGTGCCTGTGAGGAGAGGTTGGTTCCCCAAAAGAAAATCCAATAAAGAGGCGACGGGACCAGGCACGGTGGCTCATGCCTGTAATTGCACCACTTTGGGAGGCTGAGGCAGGAGGATTGCTTGAGCCCAGGAGGTCGAGACCCACCTAGGCCACATAGTGAGATCCCGTCTCTACCAACAATTTAAAAAATTAGCTAGGTGTGTTGGGCATGTGCCTCTGGTCCCAGGTACTCGGGAGGCTCTGAGGATGGATGGGAGGATCGCTTGAGCGTGGGAGGTTGAGGCTGCAGTGAGCTGTGATCGTGCCATTGCACCCCAGCCAGAGGGAGACCCTGTCTCAAAAAAAAAAAAAAAAAAAAAAAGAGAGAGGCAATGGTAAGAGCTAAACCAGCAGGAACAAGAGAGGCAAAGGTCCCCCTTTTTTTTCTTTTAATTGAAACTGGGTCTCCCTCTGTCACCCAGGCTGGAGTGCAGTGGTGCAATCATAGCTCACTGTTAGCCTGGAACTCCTGGGCTCAAGCGAACCTCCCACTTCAGCCTCCTAAGCAGCTGAGAACACAGGCACATGCCACCACAGCTGGCTAATTTCATTTTTTTTTTTTTTAAGAGATGGGGTCTTGCTATGCTGCCCACACTGGTCTCAAACTCCTAGGCTCAAGTGATTCTCGCCGCTCCTGGGCAAATGCCCTCTGACATCCCTTATAAGGACACCCTTTGAAAAGGTTGTCCCCCTCTCAAACATGGAGAGCCTTGCCAGGGCCTTCCCCACTCACTGCTGTAACTAATTCTTATGCTGCATGGACATCTGCTTCCCAGAACCTCCACCCACCAGCCTTGCCCCTGACCTTTGTGGCAGCCCCAAGGCTGCCCACCCCTTCCCCTGCTGCAGCCCACTTGGCCTCTGAAAGCAGCACTGTCTGCCTGCACCTTGCCCTCTCCAGGGCCGTCAGGCTCGCCACCTTCAGGAGCCTAGTTTTCAGGTCCTTCACCAATGCCCTCGTCCTGTGGGTGGACATGAGGCCCTCCAGAGCTGAAGGCAGTGTGTGCTTCAGTTTCTGCATCTGTAAAATGGAGATAGTATTTGCTACCCAGGGGTGCTATGAGGATTACATGAACATAGTATAGTGTCTAGAACAGTGCCCAGCACATAGTAGGCACTCAATAAAAGCCAGTTATTATTCCTGTCACTTCTGTGGGAGACGGCACATCAGAGTACCCACCTTATCTCGGTCTAGTCCCGTCCAGTCGCAGGCCTTTGAGTACAGTACAGCCCTAAGGTTTTTACAATTGAATAATCTATAAAAGATTTACAGATTTATTGTCTCATTTGAGCCTAGTAACTTTTTTGTTGTTGTTGAGATGGAGTCTTACTCTGTTGCCCAGGCTGGAGTGCAATGGCACAGTCTTGGCTCACTGCAACCTCTGCCTCCTGGGTTCAGGCGATTCTTCTGCCTCAGCCTCCCGAGTAGCTGGGACTACAGGCGCACACCACCATGCCCAGCTAATTTTTTTTTTTTTGAGACGGAGTTTCACTCTTGTTGCCCAGGCTGGAGTGCAATAGTGCCATCTCAGCTCACTGCAACCTCCGCCTCCCAGGTTCAAGCAATTCTCCTGCCTCAGCCTCCAGAGTAGTTGGGATTACAAGCATGCACCACCATGCCCGGGTAATTTTTTTTTTTTTTTTTTTTTGAGATGGAGTCTCGCTCTGTCACCCAGGCTGGAGTGTAGTGCCACGATCTCGGCTCACTGCAACCTCCGCCTCCTGGGTTCACACCATTCTCCTGCCTCAGCCTCCCAAGTAGCTGGGACTACAGGCGCCTGCCACCATGCCTGGCTAATTTTTTGTATTTTTAGTAGAGAGGGGGTTTCACCATGTTAGCCAGGATGGTCTCCATCTCCTGACCTCGTGATCTGCCCGCCTTGGCCTCCCAAAGTGCTGGGATTACAGGCGTGAGGCACTGCGCCCGGCCAGAGCCTCATAACTTTGTGAGGTGGGCAGTTCAAATCTTATTAATTCCCCATTTACCAATGACAAAATGAGGTTCAGAGAGATTAGCCCTCTTGGCCAAGATCGCACAGCCAGTCAGTGGCAGAGGTGGGACTTGAACCCGTCCCTTGCTGTTCCTTGAACTTCTCCACACGACAGGGCTGTCCCTCAGCCTACAGGTCACCCCTCTAGCCTTGCCTGTTGGCTCTTCCTAATCCTTTCAGGCCCAGCCCAGATACTTTTTAAACAAGAATGATGAGAGCTAACTTTTTTTAAAATGAGACGGTCTTGCTCTTTCACCCAGAGAAGACTGGGTGATAACAGTGGCTCAATCTTGGCTCACTGCAGCCTCTGCCTCCAGGGTTCAAGCTATTCTCATGCCTTAGCCTCCTCAGTAGCTGGGATTACAGGGGTGCATCACTACACCACGCTAATTTTTGTATTTTTAGTAGAGATGCGGTTTTACCATGTTGGCCAGGCTGGTCTCGAACTCCTGACCTCAGGTGATCCGCCAGCCTTGGCCTCCCAAAGTGCTGGGATTACAGGCGTGAGTCACTACGCATGGCTGAGAGCTAACGTTTATTAAGCACCCGCCACTTTCTAGATGAGGTCCTTACTGACTTCCTTGGGTTATTTTAGGTAATCATCCCCATACCTCTTACGTGGCAGGTATGACTGTTACAGAGGGAGAAACCGAGGCTGAGAAAGGCTAAGTAGCGGCCACACCTCACTCAGCAGGTGACAGGCTGCGGTCGCACTCATGACATAGTCTGACTCTAGAGCAGGCCTTTCCTGCCCGCTGTTGCTGCCTCCAGAAGCCTCTCTGAATCCAAGGGTGGGAACTATTCCTCCTTGCCCTCGAGCCTTCGCCAAAGCCAGGGCTTGGAGCGGCCGTGGGCTCCTCCTCCTTCCCCCAGGCTGGGCTCTTCAGGGGCGGAAACCTGCCTGGCTTGCCTGCCTTGCTCGACCCTGTAGCCCCTGGCACGAAGTAGGTGCCCGTGATGCCGGATTATTTCAGCAGGAGGGCAGGGGTGTTCCCGATGAAGCCAGGAGATCCAGGGAGGAGAAGCGACTCCCGGGGCCACCCATGCTTAGATCTCAGAGCCAGGCAAGAGCCAGGTCCCGGGGGTCCAGGAGCGCGCTCGGGGCTCCTCCTCGCCCGCGCCCCCCGCGCCCCTCGCGCCCCCCGCGCCCCCCGCGCCCCCTGCGCTCGCGTCTGCGGGGCCGGGAGGAAGGGGCGGCGCAGCCGGGCCGGGGCGGGCACCGAGGCCTGGCGGGCGGGCCTGGGGCGCTTTCGTGCCTGCCAGGGAAAGGCTGGCGAGGAGGCTGGGGGCGGACGCAGGGAGGAAAGAAGCAATGGGGTGCTCTTGCGTTTTGACATTTTAAAAAGAAGTTTAGATTCGCTTCCCGGAGCCGGGATGGCAGCCTGCGCTATGGTTGGGGACCAACGTGGTGCACGGGCAGGGGCCGGGGAGAGAGGCGGCCGCAGCGGGAGCCCGGGAGCGCAGGGCGGGCCTGGAAGAGCTCCGCCCCAAGGGGCGCGGCCACCCCGGAGGCGGGCGCACGGCTGCTTCTCATTCATTGTCTTGACAAGAGCATCTTCAGCGGGCGAGTCCCCGGCTCCTCCAGCTCCTTCCTCCTCTTCCTCCTCCTCCTCCACCTCCGGCTTTTGGGGGATCACTGTCCTCTCTCGGCAGCAGGTGAGGCTGGGCCTGGGAGGCGCGGGTGGGCCGGGGCGAGGGCCACCTGTGGGGCGGCGCGCGCGTGGGAGCCGCGGGCTGCGGGGGCGCGCGGCTGTCACCGCGACCCAGCCAGCGCCGGGGCCAGGTAGCGGGCGCAGCAGCCCGTGGGGGGACGCTGCTTGGAGTGGGGGCCGCCGGGGCCCCAGAGCGCTCTGCGGAGGCGAGGGCTAGGGACCACCGCGGCCAAGATGGAGGTGGGTGGCCGGGGGTCAGCACAGTGTCGAGGGCCCGACTCCCCACGGAATTGAGTCTCGGGGAGGGTGGGGACGAGGGCAGGGTGGGGTGAGCGGGGCAGCTGCCCTGGGCTTGGAGACAGGAAGGGGTTGAGAGCAAAACAAGAAAAGACCAAGTTCCCCTTTCCGTGGTTTCCGGGCCTGGTACCTGTGGTGGGGGAGGAGGCAGGGTGGGGCGATGGCTTCCTGTCCCCCACCTCTGGTCCGGGGCTCCCCTCTCTCCAGATACAGGCTGCTCCTCAAGACTGGGGCTCTTCACATACGCTCCTCACCGCTCTTTGGGCAGGCCGACCTAGCAGCCTCTTCGGGAGTCCTGGGGTGGCCGGGGGTGCTGGAGCCCCCAGTGAGTAGGCGAGGCTGAGGCTAGGGGCAGAGGCTCTGGGCATGGCACCCTCCAAGCGGCAGCACAGGCCCCTTCCCTGAGCAGGAAGGTGATGCGGTGGCACAAGGTCGCCCCTGGAGTTCCTTGCTCCCCACCCAGACACTGGGGGAAACCATCCTACCTGGACCTCAGAGCAGTCGGAGTGGCCTCTCCCTTCCTGTGTGCAGTTTACATGGGGGTGGAGATGGCTCTTAAGGGCACCTGCTTTTCTGAGCGGAGGCGAGAGGCAGAGGTATGGGGAGGAGGAGATACCTGGACCTGAGCCAGAGACCTGCTGGGGAAGCTATCCTGCCGCCTCACTCCCCTCAGGCAGCCCCCACGCCACTTCCTCCTGTGTCCAGCCCCATGCCAGCAGGCGAGGGAGGCCAGCTCCTGTCCCTGCCTTTAGGAAGCGCTGTGTGGGTGTGAGGGAGGTGGGCTCTGGACACGGTAACTAAGAGAGAACCCACCCTCGGAGCCATCTGGGCTGATGACGCCTGAGTCTGAACCATTAGGAAGGACGGGCTCTGCATCCATCAGCCAGTCAGTCAACAAACATGCAGTGGGGCAACACCACGCCAGGCTCTGTTGCAGAGGCTGAGGGTACAGATTGAGAGGGTGGCTCAGAGTGGCCTGGGGCCAGGGAGAAGGGGGCTTGCAGGTTAGAGGGAAGGAGAGGCTGGGGAAGGCAAGCAGGCATCAGCCACAGAGGGAAGAATAGGGAGCCCCTGGAGATGATGCTGGGACCTTAAAAGCCAGACTGAGGGGTGTCCTGGGGGAGGTGGGGACCACTGGAAGATCAGAGTTGACCTGAAGGGAGAAATGCTCTTATGCTGTGTGCCCCCAGAATGAGCCGGCAGGTGGTCCGCTCCAGCAAGTTCCGCCACGTGTTTGGACAGCCGGCCAAGGCCGACCAGTGCTATGAAGATGTGCGCGTCTCACAGACCACCTGGGACAGTGGCTTCTGTGCTGTCAACCCTAAGTTTGTGGCCCTGATCTGTGAGGCCAGCGGGGGAGGGGCCTTCCTGGTGCTGCCCCTGGGCAAGGTGAGCCCCTGGGGCCCTGGGGGGAGCAGCTCCTCCACCGGACCCATGGCTCTGTGCAGGTCCTGATTAGGTGACGGTCACCAGGCCTTCCAGGGCCTGTGTTGCCATCTGGAAAACTGAGCTGGGCCCCATGAGCCTTACACTTCCTCCAGCTCCTCTGTGCTGTGGCTGTGTGGAAACTGACGCTCAGAAGGAGCCAACACAAGATGGGTCACACCAGTGACCAGGACTACAGACAGTCCTGCAGACCCATGATCAGCCCTCCTGAGCCTCAGCCTGGGGCTTTCTCCCCATGGAAACACAGAGGGGGTTGGGATGGGGTCTGGGGGCCCTGGCAGCGTTCTCAGGGTTGGGAGGGACTCTGGCTCTGGGCCTGTCTGAGGACCTAGCAACTCTGTCCCCCAGCTCGCAGGCAGGGATGATGCAAGAGGTGCTCTCCCCCACCCGCAGCCCTGCCCTCCCCTGGAGCCTGCTGCCCCCTCCGCTGGCTGGCTGCTGCCCCGCACCCCCAGCACACTCCTGTGCTCTTTGGGGGGTAAGACAGGAAGGGGAGATGGGCCCCAAGTTGTTACCTTAAAAGGGCTGATGGAAGCAAAGAGAAGAGGAAGTGGTTGTCGGGGTGAGAGCTGGGCCCGCGCCCCACATGGCTGTCACACAGGAAGCCCTGCTGAAGCAGCTGTCCCCGGAAGAAGCCATTTCCAAACCTCTGCTCCTGCCTGGGGCCAGTTGGGACAGGCTCCCTGGCCCCTCTCCTTTTGGGAGGACCCACCCCTGCAGCCCCACCACTCACACTCGCTCTCTGGGGAGCTGCCTCCACCCCCCCAGCCCCCATACACCTGTCCTGGCTCCAGGGCCAGTTGTGCCCATGGAAGCCTCACTCGGGGAAGCTGGGGTGGGGGTGCCAACCCTAAGGGCAGAGACAGACTGAGACAGAGACCGGCGGGAACTCTGCCAGGGTCTTGCACGGCCCCCAACCTCTGCCATGCGTGGCCAGCCCTCCTGGGGTTTGCCCAGGCCATTTTGGGACTGGAACAAGAGAAGAACAACCCGCCCCCGTCCCCACCCCAGGCCCTGGTCCAGCTCCCAGGGACACCACAGCTTTCCTCTCTGGGCCTCTCTGAAGGAGGTGTGGGGAGGTTGGATTGGGTTTGGGAGGCAAAAGCACCTCCAAGGCCCTGCTGTGCCTTTAGACTGGACGTGTGGACAAGAATGCGCCCACGGTCTGTGGCCACACAGCCCCTGTGCTAGACATCGCCTGGTGCCCGCACAATGACAACGTCATTGCCAGTGGCTCCGAGGACTGCACAGTCATGGTGAGTGGTGGTGGGGACCCAGGGGCTGGGAGAGGGGCTCTAGGATGGGATCTGACATTTGGAGTCCTGAAGACTCACTGGCCCCTCCTCTGCAGGTGTGGGAGATCCCAGATGGGGGCCTGATGCTGCCCCTGCGGGAGCCCGTCGTCACCCTGGAGGGCCACACCAAGCGTGTGGGCATTGTGGCCTGGCACACCACAGCCCAGAACGTGCTGCTCAGTGCAGGTGCTGCGGGAGGAGGGGCTTGGGGGTGGCTCGTGGCCTGCAGTGGATGAGGGCAGGAGGCTCATGGCTTCTGACACTGTGGGGAACGTGCAGGTTGTGACAACGTGATCATGGTGTGGGACGTGGGCACTGGGGCGGCCATGCTGACACTGGGCCCAGAGGTGCACCCAGACACGATCTACAGTGTGGACTGGAGCCGAGATGGAGGCCTCATTTGTACCTCCTGCCGTGACAAGCGCGTGCGCATCATCGAGCCCCGCAAAGGCACTGTCGTAGCTGTGAGTCGCCATCTACCCTGACCTTTGACCCTACAGCCTTTATCCTTCTTATCCACCATCAGCCAGGCCCTTGGATGCTGCCCTCCCTCGCCTCCACCTGGGACTGGCCCCGTAGGGTATGTACGGGTGCCTGACCTACCACCTCCCTTTCCTTGCAGGAGAAGGACCGTCCCCACGAGGGGACCCGGCCCGTGCGTGCAGTGTTCGTGTCGGAGGGGAAGATCCTGACCACGGGCTTCAGCCGCATGAGTGAGCGGCAGGTGGCGCTGTGGGACACAGTGAGTGCTGGGGCAGGAAGCCGAGGGCCCCCAGGCTGGGAACCAAGACTGGAGGTTTCGTCCCTGCTCTGCCACTCACCTGGCAGGATGGCCATGGGCCTCAGTTTACCCAGGCGTGAGATGGTTGTTCCCACTGGTTGGTCGGGAGGGCCCTCACAGGTCACTGCCCAGGGAAGACCACCATCCCAGGGCCTGGGATGTTACCTCTCACCTGTGTCTACAGAAGCACCTGGAGGAGCCGCTGTCCCTGCAGGAGCTGGACACCAGCAGCGGTGTCCTGCTGCCCTTCTTTGACCCTGACACCAACATCGTCTACCTCTGTGGCAAGGTGGCCTCGTCGGGCGGGGTGGGGGTGGGAGGTGGGCAGGATGGGCCTGGAGAGGGCCAGGGCAGTGGGCATCCGCTGGTATTGACCCTCCCTCCACACCTGCCACCTACAGGGTGACAGCTCAATCCGGTACTTTGAGATCACTTCCGAGGCCCCTTTCCTGCACTATCTCTCCATGTTCAGTTCCAAGGAGTCCCAGCGGGGCATGGGCTACATGCCCAAACGTGGCCTGGAGGTGAACAAGTGTGAGATCGCCAGGTGACTGACCCCCGGCCCTGACCGCAGCATGCTCCTTGGGCAGTGGGCAGTCCCAAGCCCACCCAACCAGACTGTGGGCCCCGCTCACCTTCCCCTTCCCACAGGTTCTACAAGCTGCACGAGCGGAGGTGTGAGCCCATTGCCATGACAGTGCCTCGAAAGGTGATGCTCCCCCGCCCCACCCTGGGCTCCAGGCTGGGCACTGACTTTGCGGTCTTGTGGGGGGTGTCCTGGCATAAGCGCTTTCCTCACTATCCCTGGCCTTGCCCACAGTCGGACCTGTTCCAGGAGGACCTGTACCCACCCACCGCAGGGCCCGACCCTGCCCTCACGGCTGAGGAGTGGCTGGGGGGTCGGGATGCTGGGCCCCTCCTCATCTCCCTCAAGGATGGCTACGTACCCCCAAAGAGCCGGGAGCTGAGGGTCAACCGGGGCCTGGACACCGGGCGCAGGAGGGCAGCACCAGAGGCCAGTGGCACTCCCAGCTCGGTGAGAGGGCTGGGAAGCCAGGGAATAAAACTGGGAGGGTGGGGTGGGGCTGGTGTTTGGGGCACCTCAAACTCACAACATTGGGAATCTTTGTGGGTCCGGGAATGGTAATCCTGAGGCCTCAGAACACAGGTTTCAGATTGATAGGCCTGCAGGTCTCCAGGCAGCAACCAGCTGAGCGACTAAAGGGCCCAAGGCCAGGGCTCTAGGGATGGGGCTCAGCAGAGGCTGGGGTAAGGGGAGCCAGGGAGGAGCTGGGCCTAATGCAGCACCGGGTCCCCAGGATGCCGTGTCTCGGCTGGAGGAGGAGATGCGGAAGCTCCAGGCCACGGTGCAGGAGCTCCAGAAGCGCTTGGACAGGCTGGAGGAGACAGTCCAGGCCAAGTAGAGCCCCGCAGGGCCTCCAGCAGGGTCAGCCATTCACACCCATCCACTCACCTCCCATTCCCAGCCACATGGCAGAGAAAAAAATCATAATAAAATGGCTTTATTTTCTGGTACCTCCCAGACTCTGATGACTGGTCCCCTAGACACGCAGTTTGCTGAACCAACCAGCCCTAGAGCTTCCCCTCCACCGCGCTGAGGGGACTGACCCATGGCAGGGGATGTGGGATGCCCCCTGACTTACTACATCACAGGAACAGGGCCTTCGTGGGTAGAAACCAGCCATGCTGATGTGGGCCAGGAGGCTGCTCTCCGTTTCCGAGCTCCTTCTCAGAGCTGACACAGCTGAACTATTTAAGGCCCTAGCTTAGAACCTCAATAATTCCCAAATTTACCAAAAATCTGCCTTTCCTAGTCAACCAAAACATCACGTTGCACGTGACTCTGCTGGCACTGTTGCTTGTGAGGAAATGAACCAACCATCACTTACAGGGTAGGCATCTTTTAAACTGCAGGTCCAAAGATAAAAATAACGAGGGAGGCTGGGCATGGGGACTCACGTCTATAATCCCAGCACTGTGGGAGGCTGAGGCGGCAGGATCATTTGAGCCCAGGAGTTTGAGACCTGCCTGAGCAACACGGCGAGATACCGTCTCTACGAAAAATAAAATAAAAAATTAGCCAGGCATGGTGGTGGGCACCTATAGTTCCAGCTACTCAGGAGGCTGAGGCAGGAGGATCCCTTGAGCCCAGGAGGTCGAGGCTGCAATGAGCCATTGCACCACTGCACTGCAGCCTGGGTGACAGAGCAAGACACTGTCTCTAAAAAATATAAATAGGCCGGGTGTGGCAGCTCACGCCTGTAATCCCAGCACTTTAGGAGGCCGAGGTGGGTGAATCACCTGAGGTCAGAAGTTCGAGACCAGCCTGGCCAACATGGTGAAACCCCATCTCTACTAAAAATACAAAAATTAGCTGGGCATGGTGGCAGGCGCCTGTAATCTCAGCTACTCAGGAGGCTGAGGCAAGAGAATTGCTTGAATCCGGGAGGCAAAGGTTGCAGTGAGCCGAGATCATGCCATTGTACTCCAGCCTGGGGGACAGGAGTGAGACTTCGTCTCAAAAAAAAAAAAAAATATATATATATATATATATATATATTTTTTAAATGTATAAATACATCATATATATTTTAATATATAAATATATTATATATATTATATATTTTAATATATAAATATATTATATATAATATATTTTAATATATAAATATTATATATATTATATTTTAATATATAAATATTATATATATTAATTATATATTTTAATATATAATATATATTATATTATATAATAATAAATTATATATTATATTATATAGTAATAAGTTATATATTATACTATATAATAATATAGTATAATATATAATATATATTATAATATATATTATATTATATTATATTATATTATATATTATAATATAAATTATATATATTTTATATATATGTTTTATATATTATATATTTTAATATATGAAACAGGGGAACTTCTTCTAAGGAAAAGACAGAATTAAGGCAACAGGCTGATCCTAGTTTACCAGAGAAGAAACTGAGGCCGGGAGCAGGAGCCCAGCTCACTGAAGGGCAGATCCCAAGTCAGAGTCCAAGTCTCCCCACTTTTTTATTTATTTAATTTTTTCTGAGATGGAGTTTCATTCTTGTTGCCCAAATTGAGTACAATGGCACAATCTCGGCTCACCGCAACCTCTGCCTTCTGGGTTCAAGCCATTCTCGTGCCTCAGACTCCCAAGTAGCTGGGATTACAGGCATGTGCCACCACGTCCGGCTAACTTTTGTGTTTTCAGTAGAGGTGGGGTCTCACCATGTTGGCCAGACTGGTCTCAAACTCCTGGCCTCAAGTCATCTGCCTGCCTCAGCCTCCCAAAGTGCTGGGATTACAGGCATGAGCCGCTGTGCCTGGCCTTATGTCTCCCCTTTTGAATTCAGAGCCTTCCCCCGTGTAGTGAGTGCTTCTGCCTCTCTAGCCCTTCCTGTGGGTTCTGCCTGGGCCTGACCTCTGTGAGAGACCTGGCAGGAACAGGTCTGTCAGGCCTTGTGGGGAGTGGGTGTGGGAATAGGTTTTGATACCCAACTTAGCAGGTGATCCTGAGATGGGAGGACACAGGGCTGTTTGGGATGGGCGTCTTAGCCATAGTAAGGTTTGGTTCATATCAAGCAGGGACCACCCATGGCGTCATTTCCAGGCCCCACCTCTTCAGTATGCCATAGAAAACTACTTGGGCAGTAGAGGTGTGGGAAGAAAACAAAAAAGAAAGCTGGGCATAAGTGGCACACGCCTGTAATCCCAGCACTTTTGGAGGCCGAGGCGGGTAGATCACCTGAGGTCGGGAGTTCAAGACCAGCCTGAACAACATGGAGAAACCCTGTCTCTATTAAAAATACAAGATTAGCCGGGCGTGGTAGCACATACCTGTAATCCCAGCTACTTGGGAGGCTGAGACAAGAGAATCGCTTGAACCCAGGAGGCGGAGGTTGTGGTGAGCCGAGATCGTGCCATTGCACTCCAGCCTGGGCAACAAGAGTGAAACTCTGTCTCAAAAACAGACAAACAAACAAACAATAAAAAACCCCCAAAAATTAGCTGGGCATGGTGGCGTGTGCCTGTAATCCCAGCTACTAGGGAGGCTGAGGCAGGAGAATCGCTTGAACCCGGGAGGGGGAAGTTGTAGTGAGCCAAGATCATGCTACTGCACTCCAGCCTGGGCAACAGAGCCAAGACTCTGTCTCAAAACAAACAAACAAACAAACAAAAAAACGCAGGAAAAGAGTGTGTGATGGCTGAAACTTGCAATTTCTCACTCTCAACGAGCCCTGGCCCCAACTAGGTTATTTGGGCTCCCTCCCTAGGTCTCAGGGACCTCTGTTCAAAGTCCTAGCAATCTGGGCCAGGTACAATGGCTCACGCCTAAAATTCCAGCACTTTAGGAGACCAAGGCGGGCAGATCACTTGAGGCCAGGAGTTTGAGACTGGCCTGGCCAACATGGTGAAACCCTGTCTCTACTAAAAGTACAAAAATTAGCCGGGCATGGTGGTGCACCCCTGTAATCCCAGCTACTCAGGAGGCTGAAGCACAAGAATCTTTTGAACCTGGGAGGCAGAGGTTGCAATGAGCTGAGATGGCGCCACGGCACTCCAGCCTGGGCGACAGAGCAAGACCCTGTCTCAAACAACAAAAAACAAATAAAACAAACAAGGTCCTAGCAACCCTACTAACCTGTTATGAAGACTGATACAGGGGCATCACCTGCCCCAATTTTCTGACTCAGGTCAGCCTTATATTCCTACTCTAATCTCACCCCTATCCCCGTCCCACACCCACTATTCTTAAAACCTCCATGGTCCTCCGGGGGCAGCTGTAGACACATTAAGCCCAGGGCTATGGGGCCACTGGAACCTTCTCCAGTGGGTCTGAAAACATCAGCATTCCAGGAGTTGATGAGCCCCTACCTGGGCACCACTCCCTCTTGGGCCTGAGAAGGCCGGGGGGAACCTGCAAGGAATATGTGGAATTCTATATGGTGCCTCTGATACTGCGGTAATGTCAGGGAGAGGTTTGTTCAACTGGTCAGGGCCCTGAAACCCCGATCACTTTCTCATCTCTGCATCTTGAAGGCTAGCAGAGAGGAGGAACCCTGAGCTCTCTAGGAGGTGGGTAGGTGGTGGCAGTACAGACTCCTAGATGTCTAAACGGAGTTGCAGAGAGAAGGCTTTCTCGGTAGACCCTGGAAGGGACTTTTACGGTAGAACTTTCATTTTACAAGCAGGGATAGAGGCCTAGATGGGGACAGAGACGTGTCCAAGGTAAAACAATGGACGGAGGCAGGGCAGGGAGAGGCCAGGTCCTAGACTCGGCCTCAGCACCCCTCCCACACACACATCGACACAGAAGCTGGTCCAGATTTATAATTTAATGGCTGTGCAGATCCCAGTCCCTCATTTCTGTCGCTCACGTGCCCACTGGTCTGGGGTCAGGGTTTTCTGTTCAAAGGCATGGATGTGCGGGAGCTCTTCTGCTAGGCACGCGTTCACCAGCCTGGGGCGAGAGATGGGGTTAGGAAAAGGCCAGCGGTGATCGCACACCCCGAGGCTAGGGTGACCCAAGAGACTGGTGTCCCCAAGGTTGTAGTCCCCAGGCCGTGGGAACACGTACTTGGAGAGAGGGTCTACATCGAAATACTCGAAGCAGGGGTCACGAAGGCGGGATCCTCAAGGTCCCTGAGCCACGCCAGGGGGAGTGCGGGAGTCAGGTTGCAGGGGTAGGGGGAGTGGCTGGGGTTGTGGTACAGGAGCTAGGCAAGGTGCTCCCAGGGCCTTACCTGTGTCTCTGAAGCAGCGGTTTCCCCTCGAACTTGGCCGACACCACCAGGACTCGGAAGCTACAGGAGCAACGGTTGAGGGTCGTGTCCTCCACCTCCTACCGAGCGGAAGAATATGAATGGTGCCGAACCCGCCCCCCGAGCTCTTTTCCCCTTGTCCGGCGGCTCAACTCACCACATGCTCCGCCTCCAGGTCCCGCTGCAGCTTCTCGCGGAGGTATTCGGCGCTGAGTTCCATGGCGGCAGTCCAGCTGGAACGGCAGCCCAGCAGGGACACAACCCCAGCTCGGGCGCCGGCCACGCTACCTTGCTGCCTTACAGGAGCCACTTCCGCTGGAAAACTCACTTCCGCCCTTACTAAGGCGTACGTCAACGCAGTACTTCCGCCCTCAAGCAGCCGGGCTTTCCAGCGGTCCAGGCTTTTCGCGCTTGCCATGTGTCAGCCAATCAGAGCCTGAGGAAGGTGGGACTCGGGCGGAGCCGATGCTGAATGGTACGCGCTCGCCGACTGGACAGCAGTCTGGCTTCCGCGGTCGGACTTCTACACCCGCCTCCAGACAGGAGAGGGGCACGTACCGGCGCTACGGCTTCCTGCAGGCTGCCTCCGGATAGTCCCCGAGAGCTTGTTCCGAAGCAAGCACCCTGCAGCCCTAGCGATCCAGCCCTCCCCTGGACCCTAGGTCACGGCAATCAACCCCCTGCTGTGGTTCCCGAACCCCAAGGCCCGATGGGTCCCGCGGGGGTCGCGGCGAGGCCAGGGCGCTTTTTCGGCGTCTACCTGCTCTACTGCCTGAACCCCCGGTACCGGGGCCGCGTCTACGTGGGGTTCACTGTCAACACTGCTCGTCGGGTCCAGCAGCACAATGGGGGCCGCAAAAAAGGCGGGGCCTGGCGGACCAGCGGGCGAGGGCCCTGGTGAGAGGGGGAGGCCTTCTGTGCCGGGAGGAAGGCGTCCCAGAGGAGGCGGACCCCGCGGGGCACAGGCCTGTTGAGAAGGACCGGCCAGGACTGTGACAGAGGCGGGGCGTCTGTGGTGGGGACGGGGCCTGTCGCAGGGGAGGAGCGTGACGGGGAGGCGGTGCCCGGGGCATCTCCGCGGCGGAACTCAGGGAAGGAGCTAGCTGGGGCGGGGGTGATGATCCAGGCTGGGTTCCAGCATAGGGCTCTTGGTGGGCACGCTGGGGTCGGGTGGAATGCAGGAGAGAGAGGAGGTGGGACAGGTGGGTACCTGGGCTGGAGGCAGGGCCTGAGGTGGGCAGGTGCAGAGGGCTGCACTTCTCGGCTGAAGCCGGGAATGAGGACCCCGCTCTCGGGTGGGATTGGAGGGGACCCGCGGCTGAGGCGCTGGGCTGCGACAGGGACATCACCGTTCTCCTCCTCAGGGAGATGGTGCTCGTCGTGCACGGCTTCCCGTCCTCCGTGGCCGCCCTTCGGGTAAGGAAGGAGACCGGGCAGCGGCGGCCGGGTGAGGGCTTGGGTTCCGCCCCTCGCTCCGAGCCGCCCTGATGCCCCTGTACGCCGCCCGCAGTTTGAGTGGGCTTGGCAGCACCCGCACGCCTCGCGCCGCCTGGCGCACGTGGGGCCTCGCCTGCGAGGAGAGACAGCCTTCGCTTTCCACCTGCGCGTGCTGGCGCACATGCTGCGCGCACCGCCCTGGGCTCGCCTCCCGCTCACGCTGCGCTGGGTGCGCCCAGACCTCCGCCAGGACCTCTGCCTCCCGCCGCCGCCGCACGTGCCTCTGGCCTTCGGGCCTCCACCGCCCCAGGCCCCGGCCCCAAGGCGCCGCGCAGGTCCCTTTGATGACGCGGAGCCTGAGCCAGACCAGGGGGATCCAGGGGCCTGCTGCTCCCTGTGCGCCCAGACCATCCAGGTGAGGTCCCCCCGAGGAATGGATGGCTCTAGAGTCCAGACGACTTCGGATCCAGCTCTTTCTTGAGGGAAACCCACTGACACGCTTTGGCCACCCTATCCCCATCTCTAAGATGCTGATGCTATAGGACTTACGGCCATTCCTGAGCAAAGCAGGCCCTGCTCAGGGCCTTCACCATTTCCCCTTCAAAGAAAAGGTTCTTCCCTAGGCCATCAGTACTCCGCTGCACTCCAGTGTGGTCGACAGAGCATGACCCTCTTTTTTTTTTTTTTTTTTTTGAGATGGAGTCTAGCTCTGTCGCCCAGGCTAGAGTGCAGTGGCGCGATCTCTGCTCACTGCAAGCTCCGCCTCCTGGGTTCACGCCATTCTCCTGCCTCAGCCTCCCGAGTAGCTGGGACTACAG
The DNA here is from genome assembly GCF_000001405.40 of Homo sapiens. Taxonomy (NCBI): domain Eukaryota; kingdom Metazoa; phylum Chordata; class Mammalia; order Primates; family Hominidae; genus Homo; species Homo sapiens. Next base: position 30,195,631 of record NC_000016.10, read on the forward strand.
GCGCCCGCCACCACGCCTGGTTAATTTTTTGTATTTTTAGTAGAGACGGGGTTTCACCGTGTTAGCCAGGATGGTCTCGATGTCCTAGCCTCGTGATCCGCCCGCCTCAGCCTCCCAAAGTGCTGGGATTACAGGCATGAGCCACCGCGCCCGGCCCTTTTTTTTTTTTTAGACAGAGTCTTGCTCTGTTGCGGAGGCTGGAGTGCAGTGATCTCAGCTCACTGGAAGCTCCGCCTCCTGGGTTCAAGCGATTCTCCTATCTCAACCTCCCAAGTGTGCCACCACACCTGCCGAATGTTTGTGTTTTTAGTAGGGATGGGGTTCGCCATGTTGGGCAGGCTGGTCTCAAACTCCTGACCTCAAGTGATCTGCCCGCCTCGGCCTCCCAGAGTGCTGGGATTATAGGCGTGAGCCACCATGCCTGGACATGACCCTGTCTCTAAAACAATGTAATGAACTGCAGCTCATTCTTGTGTGCACTTTTCTGCACCCCCTTTCCCTTAACACTTACTATTGTCTGGCATGCTACGTGTTTTCTTGATCTCATTAGCCTCTCCCACCCCAACTGCCACACTGCACTATCAGAGGGCAGCACTTATCACTGCTGTAGAACAAAGTCCTGCACTGAGCCGATGGCCCAGAAATTTTCTTTTTATTTATTTATTTATTTTTTTTTTGAGACAGAGTCTTACTCTGTCGCTCAGGCTGGAGTGTAGTGGCGCGATCTCAGCTCACTGCAACCTCTGCCTCCTGGTTTCAAGCAATTCTCCTTCCTCAGCCTCCAGAGTAGCTGGGATTACACGCGCCTGCCACCGCGCCTGGCTAATTTTTGTATTTTTAGTAGAGATGGGGTTTCAACCATGTTGGCCAGGCTGGTCTCAAACTCCTGACCTCAGGTGATCCTGCCCACCTAAGCCTCCCAAAATGCTGGTATTACAGGCATGAGCCACCGTGCCCGGCCTAAATATTTAATAAAATAATGGACGATGGGTGCCTTCTACTGAGCTCCCGGTAATTGTGAGTGAGTAGAGGACTTGCCCTGGGGACATTCAGTGACCTGCTGGGTGTTGCTGAGCTGTGAGGAAGTTCAGGTCTGGCTGCAGTGGTGAGGCTGTGACTCAATCAATCACTGCTGATGCTCCCAGGACCTGCACCAGCTTAGTCCTAGGGGCAAGGATTTTAACTGTCCACCTCAGTTTCTTCATTTGTAAGATGCAAATAACAGTCACCCCTGCCTCATGGGATGGAGCTGTGTAATGCCCGCAACAGTGCCTGCTGCATAGAGGGGTTGCTGCCAGCTGCCTCTCCCTCCTTGTCTCTTACCTGCCTGCTGCCTGGGTCAGGATGAAGAGGGGCCCTTGTGTTGCCCCCACCCTGGCTGCCTGCTAAGGGCCCATGTGATCTGCCTGGCAGAGGAGTTTCTTCAGGAAGAACCAGGGCAGCTTCTGCCCCTAGAGGGCCAATGCCCTTGGTGAGTGCAGTCCCCTGGCCCCAGCCTGGTCCACCTCTGGGAAGAGGGTGCCCAGTTGTGCAATCCAGGCCCAGGCAGCTGAGCCCTCATCTCAGCATGCAGGGCGGATACTGGAGGGGGCTTGTGGCATCTGACTCTGTATCTCCTACCTGCCCCTCTCCTTGGTAGCTGTGAGAAGTCACTGCTTTGGGGAGACCTGATCTGGCTGTGCCAGATGGACACTGAGAAAGAAGTAGAAGACTCAGAATTAGAAGAGGTGAGTGGGCTTTGGTGGCGGGCTCCCTACCCCACTCCCTGCCCTGGGCTGCCTGTGACCACACTGCTTGCCTCTGCAGGCACACTGGACAGACCTGCTGGAGACCTGATCCTCAGTGTCCTTACCCCCTCCTACCTCTTTTCTGTGCCACCTGCTGTGGGTCCAGCAGGTTTTTACTTGAGTACAATAAAAAGTCTGAGTCAAGGGTGCCTTATGGTGGATGCTGAGGGGAGGGGCGGAGCTAGTAGCCCAAGGTCCTGCCAGTCACGGGGCTTCCTCAGGGGCACAGAGGAGGCAGGAGGGGCCCCTGGCCCTAGCACGTGAACAGCTTCTACTCTGCCTGGAAACCCCATGCCTCAGCTTTCCCCTACTTGCCTCTGAGCTCATGCAATTCTTGGAAGCCTGGGAGACTTACCTTGAAATTGAATGCAAATAGGACAAAGACCAAGGAGGATGGGGGGATGCCCTCCTTCCACGGGGCCCTGTGGCTTCCAAGTCTTAATCTCCTCTAGTCTCTTGTCTACGGAGCCTCCTTCAAACCCAGGGAAAGAAAATCACCTGCCAGGGTTGTTTTTCTTCTAGGATCTTCTATTGATGCTCTGTGAGGTCCCCCAGGAGCCATGAAGCTAGGGCTGGCTCCTAGGGCAATGGGACTACAGTGTCCTTGTCCTTTCTTATTCTTTCTGTTCTTTCTTTCTTTCTTTTTTTTTTTTTTTTTTTTTTTTTGAGACAGAGTCTCACTCTGTTGCCCAGGCTGGAGTGCAGTGGTGTGATCTTGGCTCACTGAAACCTCCGCCTCCTGGGTTCAAGTGATTCTCTTGCCTCAGCCTCCTGAGTAGCTAGGATTACAGATGCCCGCCATCATGCCCAGCTAATTTTTGTATTTTTAGTAGAGACAGGGTTTCACCATGTTGGCCAGCTTGGTCTCGAACTCCTGACCTCAGGTGATCCTGCTGCATCGACCTCCCAAAGTACTGGGATTACAGGCGTGAGCCACCACGCTCAGCCTCTTTCTTGTTCTATATGTCCATGCTCTGCTCCACTTCTGCCCCTTCACTCTGCCCCCACACATCACTCCAGACTGGCCTTGTGGTCAGAGCCTGGAATGCCTGGGCTGCTGGGGGCCTGTGGACTGCACTGGGCCAGAACCCCTGCCGCCTTCAAGACTGGCCTGTAGCCAGCAGGTAGGTGACTTTTCCCAGGCCGGCCTATCCCACCTTTCCCCTCCACTCACTCACCTCCCTTGCCTGGGTCAATTAGAGAAAGCTTGTCGGCCAGGCATGGTGGCTCATGCCTGTAATCTCAGCACTTTGGGAGGCCGAGGCGGGCGGATCATCTGAGCTCAGGAGTTTGAGACCAGCCTGGCCAACATGGCAAAACCCCGTCTCTACTAAAAATACAAAAATTAACCGGATGTGGTGGTGTGCACCTGTAATCCCAGCTACTCGGGAGGCTGAGGCAGAAGAATCGCTTGAACCCAGGAGGGGGAGGTTACAGTGAGCGGAGATCGTGCTACTGCATTGCAGCCTGGGCGAGAGAGCGAGTCTCCATCTCATATAAAAAAAAGAAAAAGAAAGAAAGAAAGCTTGTCTGTTGGCCTGCCCTGCAGGGTGGAGTTCAGAGGGAAGGTCAGGAGCCTAGTGACAGCTCAAAAAAAAAAAAACCCAAATACCAATGTTGGCCCCTTTTGCCTTTCATTCATGTGTTTTCTATACACTAAACTCACATATTGGGTTTGCAGATCACTCCAAGCTTGGCTGGAGCTGTGGTGGTAAGGAGGGTAATAGAGAAGCTTCCCCACCCTCAACCCCACCCCTTCCTTCCTGGAGTTCCCAGCCCTGACTTTAGATCCCTCCCACACTGGACCTTCAAAACCCTCAGGGCAGAGAGCAGCCCTACACTCCCTACACCACACCCATACTCAGCCCCTGCAGGCAAGGAGAGAACAGGTCAGGTTCCCGAGAGCTCAGGTGAGTGACACGTTGGAATGGCCCAGGGCACCTTCACCCTGCTCAGCTTGTGGCTCCAACATTCTAGAAGCCGAGGCCTCTGCCATCCCTGCCCTTTCCCATGGATATTCCATTTCAATTAGACAACCCAGCCTGGCCGGAATCCCCCTGCGTTCCTTCTTTTCCTTTGTGTATTTTTGAGACAGGGTGTTGCTCCGTCACCCAGGCTGGAGTGTAGTGGGATCCTGGCCCACTGCAGCCTCAAATTCCTAGGCTGAGGCAATCCTGCCGCCTCAGCCTCCTGAGTAGCTGGGGTTACAAGAGCAAGCCACCACACCCAGCTAATTTTGAAAAATATTTTTTGTAGAGGAGAGGTCTTGCTTTGTTGTCCAGGTTGGTCTCAAACTCCAGGGCTCAAGGGATCCTTTCCCGTTGGCCTCCCAAGGCTCTGGGATTACAGGCGGGAGTCACCCTGCCTGGGCCCCTCCTTTTGATGAGTCATCAGTTTTCATTCCCGCACGAGGCTCTAGCCCCTGGTACCAGCTTAGTTGCTCAATGGGCTGTGTTTGTTCTGGAGCCCAGATGGACTGTGGCCAGGCAAGTGGATCACAGACCTGGCCGGCCTGGGAGGTTTCCACATGTGAGGGGCATGAGGGGGGCTCAAGGAGGGGAGCATCGGGGAGAGGAGCGCACTGGGTGGAGGCTGGGGGTCCCAGCAGGAAATGGTGAGACAAAGGGCGCTGGCTGGCAGGGAGACAGCACAGGCAGGCCCTAGAGCTTCCTCAGCACAGCTGGACTCTCCTGGAGACCTTCACACACCCTGATATCTGGGCCCCGCGCTACGAGGGTGCTTTCACTGGTCTGCACTATGCCCCAGGCCCTGGGATTTTGAACAGCTCTGCAGGTGACTGAAAGGTGCGGCCAGGCTGGGGAACGACCTGGTTTCAGCCCCAGCCCCGCCACTGACTGACTTTGTGAGTGCGGGCAAGTCACTCAGCCTCCCTAGGCCTCAGTGACTTCCCTGAAAGCAAAAACTCTGCAAAGGGGCAGCTGGGTGCTGGCTCACACCTGTAATCCCAGCACTTTGGGAGGCTGAGGTAGACAAATCACTTGAGGCCAGGAGTTCTAGACCAGCCTGGCCAACATGGTGAAACCCCATCTCTACTAAAGAAAAAAAAAAATTAGCTGAGCATGGTTGTACATGCTTGTAATCCCAGCTACTTGGGATGCCGAGGCGGGAGGATTGCTTGAACCCAAGAGGTGGAGTTTGCAGTGAGCTGAGATTGTGCCACACTGCACTCCAGCTTGGGTGAGAGTGAGACTCCATCTCAAAAAAAAAAAAAAAAAAGAGAGAATCCCACTTTCTTGCTGTTGTGATGGTGGTAAGGGAACGGGCCTGGCTCTGGCCCCTGATGCAGGAACATGGAGCTGATCCAGGACACCTCCCGCCCGCCACTGGAGTACGTGAAGGGGGTCCCGCTCATCAAGTACTTTGCAGAGGCACTGGGGCCCCTGCAGAGCTTCCAAGCCCGACCTGATGACCTGCTCATCAACACCTACCCCAAGTCTGGTAAGTGAGGAGGGCCACCCACCCTCTCCCAGGCGGCAGTCCCCACCTTGGTCAGCAAGGTCGTGCCCTCAGCCTGCTCACCTCCTATCTCCCTCCCTCTCCAGGCACCACCTGGGTGAGCCAGATACTGGACATGATCTACCAGGGCGGCGACCTAGAGAAGTGTAACCGGGCTCCCATCTACGTACGGGTGCCCTTCCTTGAGGTCAATGATCCAGGGGAACCCTCAGGTGCATGGCTGGGTCCTGGGGGTAAGGGAAGTGGAGGAAGACAGGGCTGGGGCTTCAGCTCACCAGACCTTCCCTGACCCACTACTCAGGGCTGGAGACTCTGAAAGACACACCGCCCCCACGGCTCATCAAGTCACACCTGCCCCTGGCTCTGCTCCCTCAGACTCTGTTGGATCAGAAGGTCAAGGTGAGGCCGGGCTCAATGGTTCACACCTGTCATCCCAGTTTGAGACTGAGGAGGGAGGATCCCTTGAAGGCGAGAGATGGAGACCAGCCTGGGCAACATTGCTGTAGAGATGACATCCCATCTCTACAAAAATAAAATTAACAACCTGGTATGGTGGCATAGACTGTTCCCAGTTACTTAGGAGGCTCAGCGGGGAGGACTGTTTATGCAAATAGGAAGCTGCAATGAGCCCTGATGATCCTGCTGCTGCACTCCAGCCTGGGCAACACAGCAAAACCATCTCTACGAAAAAAAAAGTTCCCACTGACTGGCAAGGAAAGCCAGGAAGGGGGGCTCAGGTGCCCTCTCAGCCATGTACCTGTTCTTCTGGAAGGGCCTCCTCGCTTCTGCCAGGCTCATCACATCTTTTTTTTTTTTTGAGACAGAGTCTTGCTCTGTCACCCTGGCTGGAGTGCAGTGGCATGATCTCAGCTCACTGCAACCTCCGCCTCCCCAGTTCAAGTGATTCTCCTGCCTCAGCCTCCTGAGTAGCTGGGATTACAGGCGTGTGCTACCACACCCGGCTAATTTTTGTATTCTTTTTAGTAGAGACGGGGTTTCACCATGTTGGTCAAGTGGATCTCAAACTCTTGACCTTGTGATCCTCCTGCCTCGACCTCACAAAGTGCTGGAATTACAGGCGTGAGCCACCGCGCCTGGCCCTTTTTTTTTTTGAGACAGTTTCACTCTTGTTGCCGAGGCTAGAGCGCAATCGTGTGATCTCGGTTCACTGCAACCACCGCCTCCTGGGTTCAAGCAATTCTCCTGCTTCAGCCTCCCAAGGAGCTGGGATTACAGGTACCTGCCACCACGCCCGGCTAATTTTGTATTTTTAGTAGAGATGGGGTTTCACCATGTTGGTCAGGCTGGTCTTGAACTCCTGACCTCAGGTGATCTGGCCACCTTGGCCTCCCAAAGTGCCGGGATTAGAGGCATGAGCCACCACGCCCAGCCTTCATCACATCTTGAGAGAGGACACTGTCTGCCTCTTGCTCTGATGAGGGTCTGATGCAAGGATAGTGAGTCTCTACAGTGCACACTTAAGAAAGGCAGCATGTGGGTGCTCACAGGTCAGCGGAGGAGGGGGAGCTGGTGGGGACCAGGCATGCCTTGCTCCAGATCAGGATATGATGGCATTGGTGCAGATTATATTAGTATAGAATATGGTCTCAGGAACCAGGCAGGACTTTGGCTTCCGAGCAGGGTTCAGATCCCAGCTTGGCCCTACCTGTGCAGTGAGATCTCAAGCAAGTCAGCCTCTAAGCCTCAGGTTCCTCCTTTGCCAGTTCAACAGATGAGCTGGCCTGGGGTGGGCTGTGTGGTGATGGTGCTGGGGCTGGGTCCTCTGCCCCTGCAGGTGGTCTATGTTGCCCGAAACCCAAAGGACGTGGCGGTCTCCTACTACCATTTCCACCGTATGGAAAAGGCGCACCCTGAGCCTGGGACCTGGGACAGCTTCCTGGAAAAGTTCATGGCTGGAGAAGGTGGGCTTGACTGGAGGAAGGAGGGTGTGAAGCCGAGGGGTGGTGGCTATAACGTACAGCAACCCTGTGTCGGTGCCCCCTGCCCGCTTCTCTAGTGTCCTACGGGTCCTGGTACCAGCACGTGCAGGAGTGGTGGGAGCTGAGCCGCACCCACCCTGTTCTCTACCTCTTCTATGAAGACATGAAGGAGGTGAGACCGACTGTGATGCTTCCCCCCATGTGACACCTGGGGGCAGGCACCTCACAGGGACCCACCAAGGCCACCCAGCCCCGTCCCTGGGCGGCTCCCACAGCAAGCCCGGATTCCCCATCCTACCTCCCTGGCCCAGGCCCCCCCACTGCAGCCCCACCTGGCAGCAGGCTCGGCACAGCTTTCATCTTCTGCACCTGAGTCAGCTGCATGGGTGGCCACGGATCAGATACTTAGTCCTATTGCTTATCCTCACCAAAGGGTGTGCCACCCAGGGCCACAGTCATGGAAGAAGACCATCCCGGTCCTCACCCATAGGCGCCAAGCCCTGTTCATGATGGGATCACAGGGCAGAGATCAATTCATTTTACTCCAGAGACTAGGGCCCCAGGGGTTGAGGCTCTTTGGGGTTTCTAGGGGAAGTGGCCAGATCCCCTCTGAGGTTAGAGAGGGGGACCCGTTTTGTTTTGCTCCACTGAGGAGCCCTCTGCTGCTCAGAACCCCAAAAGGGAGATTCAAAAGATCCTGGAGTTTGTGGGGCGCTCCCTGCCAGAGGAGACCATGGACTTCATGGTTCAGCACACGTCGTTCAAGGAGATGAAGAAGAACCCTATGACCAACTACACCACCGTCCCCCAGGAGCTCATGGACCACAGCATCTCCCCCTTCATGAGGAAAGGTGGGTGCTGGCCAGCACGGGGGTTTGGGGCGGGTGGGAGCAGCAGCTGCAGCCTCCCCATAGGCACTTGGGGCCTCCCCTGGGATGAGACTCCAGCTTTGCTCCCTGCCTTCCTCCCCCAGGCATGGCTGGGGACTGGAAGACCACCTTCACCGTGGCGCAGAATGAGCGCTTCGATGCGGACTATGCGGAGAAGATGGCAGGCTGCAGCCTCAGCTTCCGCTCTGAGCTGTGAGAGGGGCTCCTGGAGTCACTGCAGAGGGAGTGTGCGAATCTACCCTGACCAATGGGCTCAAGAATAAAGTATGATTTTTGAGTCAGGCACAGTGGCTCATGTCTGCAATCCCAGCGATTTGGGAGGTTGAGCTGGTAGGATCACAATAGGCCACGAATTTGAGACCAGCCTGGTAAAATAGTGAGACCTCATCTCTACAAAGATGTAAAAAAATTAGCCACATGTGCTGGCACTTACCTGTAGTCCCAGCTACTTGGGAAGCAGAGGCTGGAGGATCATTTCAGCCCAGGAGGTTGTGGATACAGTGAGTTATGACATGCCCATTCACTACAGCCTGGATGACAAGCAAGACCCTCCCTCCAAAGAAAATAAAGCTCAATTAAAATAAAATATGATTTGTGTTCATGTAGAGCCTGTATTGGAAAGGAAGAGAAACTCTGAGCTGAAAGAGTGAATGCCCGGTGGGGCCACATATGGTCACCTCTCCCCCAGCCTTCAGCTCCCCAGGTCACCATATCTGGGGAGGGGAGAAGGGTTTGGAGAAGTAAAACCCAGGAGATGTGTGGAGGGGGGATGTCTGTTTAATCCCAGCACATCCTCTGCTGTCCTGCCCCAAGATGGTGGAGGACGTCGAGTCCGCCGGGCAGCGTCACTTTTTCTTGGGCTCCTTAGAAGCTACCAGGTACCTCTGGGCCACACTGAGATGAGGGGAGTAGCCGTCTGCATAGGAGGTGTCTTCAAACAGGATAGAATAGTCCTCCTGGGGCTGTGGGGCAGGTGGACAGGAAGGGCAGAGAGCAGCCCCGGGGCTGGTGTCACTCACTTGTTGGTGGCATGGCTGTAACTGACCACCTCGGCCAGGATCCACTGCTCATCCCCATCCACGGCCTTCACCCGGGCAGCCACCTTGTCTCCAGGTCTGGCCACGTAGTCTCCTGAGGCAGGGATGGCCCCACAGAGGGGTGGGGGCCTGTGAGTGGAACAAAGGATCAGTCCCAGCCCCTGGGCACCAGCCCCTTCCTCGCAGCTGCTGCCCTCACTTGTCACCAGGCTTCCCAATCCACAGGGGCAGGGTCATGGCCGACTGCTGCAGCAGGGTCATCAGCACCCCTCTGCGCATGGTCTTCCGGGGTGGCTCCAAGTCATTGTAGAGACCCGCGATCTTGGCCACTGTGGGAAGAAAGGGAGGCCTGAGGCCCCAGGGACAGGGGCTGGCCCTGACCCCCCAGCATGCTGAACTGAGCTGCTGGAGGAGCACCTGGGAGCCCCCAGCTCCCGAGTGAGCCCGAGGGCACAGCAGGACTGTGACCTGATCTGCCAGGTGTCCTACAGGGGCTGCTGCGCTCAACTACATATGGGTGAGACGGCAGCACACCAGGCACCCAGGGGAAGGAACCAGGGAGGGACAAAGCGGGTTCTGAGGTGCTGGTGAGGTTCTCTTCTTGATGTCGGTGCTGACACAGAAGTGTGTTTCGTTAGTGAAAAGTTCCTAAAATTCGAAGGGTCCCGCGGGAATCGGGGCGAGGCCGGGTGCCTCTTCAGCGTCCAGCTGCTCTACTGCCTGAATCCCTGGTACCCGGGCCCTGTCTACGTGGGGCTCACTGTCAACCCTGTTCGTCCAGCAGCACAATGGTGGCCGCAAAAAAGGCGGGGCTTGGCGGACCATTGGCCGAGGTCCCTGTTAAGAGGGGGAGGGTCTCTGTGCCCGGAGGAAGGCTCCCTGGAGGAGGCGGAACCGGGGGGCACAAGCCTGCTGAGAGGGACCCACTAGGTCTGTGACGTGCGCGGGACGTCCCGGGCGAGGCCTGTTGGTGGGGGGAGGCTGTCGCAGGGGAGGAGCCTAACGGGGAGGCGGTGCCCTGGGAATCTCGGCGTTAGAACTCCGGAGAGCAGCTGGCTGAGGCGAGGGTGATGATCCAGGCTGGGGTCCAGCGCAGGGGTCTTGGGGGGCACGCTGGGGTCGGGTGGAGCGCAGGAGGGAGAGGAATGAGAACAGGTGGGTACCTGGGCTGGAGGCGGGACCTGAGGTGGGCAGGTGCAGGGGGCGTGCCTTCAGGCAGTTGCGGGGCCAGGGCTCGGCTGAAGCTGGGAGTGAGGACCCCGTTCTCCGGTGGGATAGGAGGGGACCCGCGATGCTGGGCTGCGCTGGCGGTAGGGCGCGGCGGGGCTCACAGGAACATTCCTGTTCTCCTCCCCATGGAGATTGTGCTCGTCGTGCACGGCTTCCCATCCGCCGCGGCCGCCCTTCGGGTAAAGAAGAAGACCGGGCGGCGGCCTGTGGCCTGGATTTGGGGTCCGACCCCCGCCCGGAGCCGCCTTGACTCCAACCCCGCCGCGGTTGGAGGGGGCCTGGCACCCCCGCCCTGGGCGCTCCTCCCGGTCCCGTTGCGCCCCGACCTCCGTCAGCCGCACGGCACTGGCCACTGACCGTCGGGCCTCCTCCGCCCCAGGGCGCCGCGCAGGTCCCTTTGCTGACGCCGAGCCTGAGCCTGAGCCGGTCCCGGGGTCCAAGAGGGCTGTGTGCACCCTGCGCGTCCGCGCGCTCCAGGGGAGGTGCGCTCCAGGGGAGGTCCGCCCCAAGCAGAGCGGCACATCCTCCAGACGACTTCGGATCCTGCTGTTGAGGAGCCAGGAAACGCCCTGACACTGTTGCGGCCCTGTCCACATCTCTAAGATGGGGATGGATGATAGTACTTCTGGCCATTCCTGAGCACAGCAGGACCTGCCTTTTCCCTTTGACTGGAAGGTTCTTCTCTACATCTTCAGTCTTGATAACCTGCCACCTCCACAGGGAGGTCTTCCCTGGCTCCCAATTTAAAATTGCAGCTCTGAGAAGCCGGGCATGGTGGCATATGCCTGTAGTCCCAGCTACGGGGGAGGCTGAGGTGGGAGGATCGCTTGAGCCCAGGAGTTGGAGGCTGAAGTGAGCTATGATCACTCCATTGCACTCCAGCCTGGGGGAAACAGCAAGACCCTGTCTCTAAAAAAATAAAATACAATAAAATTGCGGCTCTTTCTTGTGCACTTCCCTGCCCGCCCCCCTTTCCTGAACCCTTATTATTTTCTGCCATACTACAAATTTTATGCATCTCATTAAACCCCTTCCGAACCTGTGTACTAAACTGCCTGGGGGCAGCTCTCATCACTGCTGTAGAACAAAGTCCCACATAGAGCCAATGGCCAAGAAACAGTTAATAAAATAACAGACGATGGTCCTGGCCTCTACTGTGAGTGAGTAAAGGGCTTGCCCTGCAGAGATTCAGTGATCTGGCGGGGGTTGCTGAGCTATGAGGAAGTTCAGATCTGGCTGCAGGGGTGAGGCTGTGACTCAGTCAATCACTGCCCATGCTCACAGGACACTGGCCAGCTTAGTCCCTGGGGGCAAGGATTTTACCCCCCCCCCACCTCCATTTCCTCATCTCTAAGATGTGAATAATCGTCGCCCCTGCCTCACAGGATTGAGCTGTGTAACCCCCCTCCCACCTTTTTTCTATGCCATCCACTGCGGGTCTGGGGCTTTTTACTGGAATGCAATACAAAGTCTGAGTCAAGGGTGCCTTCTGTTGGTTGCTGAGGGCGGAGGCAGAGCTAGTTGCCTGTGGTCCTGCCAGTCAAGGGGCTTCCAGAGGAGGGAGGAGGGGCCTGTGGCCCTAGCATGTGAGCAGCTTCTCCTCTGCCTGGAAGCCGGACGCCTCAGCTTCTCCCACACTCCCACCTGCCCGCTTGCCTCTGAATTCACACAATTCTTGGAAGGCTTGGGAGACTCACCTTTACTCAAATGGTTACCTGTCTCGTGTCTCGTGCCCAGCTTGACCTTTTTTTTTTTTTTTTTTTTTTTTGAGTTGGAGTCTTGCTGCGTCACCCAGGCTAGAGTGCAGTGGCGTGATCTCAGCTCACTGCAATCTCCGCCTCCCGGGTTCAAGCAATTCTCCTGCCTCAGCCTCCCCAGTAGCTGGGATTACAGGTGCCCACCACCGTGCCTGGCTAATTTTCGTATTTTTAGTAGAGACAGGGTTTCACCATGTTGGCCAAGCTGGTCTTGAACTCCTGACCTCGTGATCTGCCCACCTTGGCCTCCCAAAGTGCTGGGATTACAGGCGTGAGCCACCATGCCTGGCCCCAGCTTGACCTTGAACTTTAAATAGTGAAGACAAAGAATGAGGAGGGTGGGGGGATGCCCTCCTTCCACAGGGCCCTGTGGCTTCCAAGCCTCAACCTCCTCTGGTCTCTTGTCTGTGGAGCCTCCTTCAAACCCAGGGAAACAAAAGCACCTGCCACGGGCTGCTGTTTTTCTAGGATCTTCTAGCGAAGCTCTGTAACTTCCCCTGAGAGCCATGAAACTGGGCTGGCTCCCAGGGTGATGGGACTCCAGCGTCTTTGTTCTTTCTTGTTCTATGCATCCATGCTCTGCTCCACCGCTGCCCCTTCAACTCTGCCCACACATATTACTCCAGACTGGCCCTGTGGTCAGAGCCTGGAATGCCTGGGCTGCTGGGGGCTTGCATGCAGGCTGCACTGGACTAGAAGCATTGGCGCCTTCAAGACTGCCCTGGGAAACATGACCTGCCCTGTTTCTGTCTAGTGAGTACCCATTTTTCCCCACTCACCGGCTCACTTCCCTTGGCTGGGTCAATTAGAAAAAGCTCTTCTGTTGGCCTGCCCTGCAGGGTGGAGTTCAGAGGGCAGCTCAAGAGCCCGGTGACAGCTCAAAAAATAAAAAAAGCCGCCAGGAGCAGTGGCTAATGCCTGTAATCCCAGCACTTTGGGAGGCCGAGGCAGGCGGATCACCTGAGGTCAGGTGTTCAAGACCAGCCTGACCAACATGGTGAAACCCCGCCTCTACTAAAAATACAAAAATTAGCCGGGTGTGGTGGCGGATGCCTGTAATCCCAGCTACTCAAGAGGCTGAGGCAGGAGAATTGCTTGAACCCAGGAGGTGGAGGTTACAGTGAGCCGAGATCCTGCCACTGTACTCCAGCCTGGGCGACAGATCACGACTCCATCTCAAAATAAATAAATAAATAAATTATACATTGGGCTCTTTTGCCTTTTATTCTTGTGCTTTCTAATCACAACTAAACACTAAACTCACATCTTGGCTTTGCAGATCACTCTAAGCTTGGCTGCAGCTGTGGTGCTGAGGAGGCTAATAGAGAAGCTCCCTCGTTCTCAACCCCACCCCTTCCTTCCGGGAGCAAACCCAAGTCTGGTCCCGACTCCGGATCCCTCCCACATTAGACCTACCACACCCTCAGGGCAGACAACAGCTCCACACACCCCACACTCAGCCACCAGGGCAAGGGAGCAAAATTCCAGAAAGCTCAGGTGAGTACTAGAGTGGAATGGCCCAGGGCGCCCTCACCCTGCTCAGCTTTTGGAGCCAACATTCCAGCAGCCAAGGCCTCTGCCATACTGGCTGTTTCCCCACGGATATCCAGTTTCACTAGGGGAACTCCAGCCTGGCTTCCCTTCTTTCTTTTTTATTTTTGTTTTTTTGAGACAAGGCTTGGCTCTGACACCCAGGCTGGAGTGCAGTGGCCAAATTGTAGCTCACTGCAGCCTCAAAATCATGGGCTCACATGATAATCACGCCTCAGCTTCCCTGGTAGCTGGGTGTACAGGAGAGAGCCACCATGCCCAGCTAATTTTTTAAACTTATTTTTAATTTATTTTTTATTTTTTTGAGACGGAGTTTTGCTCGTGTTGCCCAGGCTGGAGTGCAATGGCATGATACAGCTCACTGCAACCTCCGCCTCCTGGGTTCAAGCGACTCTCCTGCCTTAGTCTCCCAAGGAGCTGGGATTAGAGGCATGCGCTATCACACCCTGCTAATTTTGTATTTTTCATAGAGAAGGGGTTTCTCCATGTTGGTCAGGCTGGTCTTGAACTCCCGACCTCAGGTGATCCGCCCCACCTTGGCCTCCCAAAATGCTGCGATTACAGGTGTGAGCCACCACACCTGGCTGCCCAGCTCAGTTTTAAATATTTTTTTTCTAGAGATGGGGTCTTGCTGTATTGCCCAGGTTGGTCTCAAAGTCCAAGGCTCAAGTGATTCTTCCCCACTGGGCCTCCAAAGCTCTGGGATTACAGGCATGAGCCATGGTGTCCCCTCCTCATTCTGCGGAATCATCAGAGTTTTGTTCATTCCCACACCAGGCTCTGGCCCCCAGTACCAGCTCAGTTGCTCAATGGACCATGCTTGTCCTGGAGCCCAGATGGACTGTGGCTGGGCAGGTGGATCACAGGCCTGGCCGGCCTGGGAGGTTTCCACATGTGAGGGGCCTGAGGGGCTCAAGGAGGGGAGCATCGGGGAGAGGAGCCCACTGGGTGGAGGCTGGGGGTCACAGCAGAAAATGGTGAGACAAAGGGTGCTGGCTGGCAGGGAGACAGCACAGGCAGGCCCTAGAGCTTCCTCTGTGGGCGGCAAGCCACCCAGGCACCGAGGCAAGAGACAGAGGACACGATCTGTTCCAGTATAATAAAATATAAAACAAGAATAGTTATACCAGATATAGATCTTAGATATGATTATATATGAATATCATTAATCATTAGTTTGTAGCAATTACTTTTTCTTCCAATATTATAATAATCCTTGCTCTATAATCATAGCCTAGGAAAAACCAGGCCATACAGAGACAGGAGCTGAAGGGACATAGTGAGGTGTGACTGCAAGACAGGAGTGCGAGCCTTCTGTTATGCCCGGACAGGGCCACCAGAGGGCTCCTTGGTCTAGCGGTGACGCCAGCGTCTGGGAAGACGCCCGTTACCAGGCGGATCGTGGTCCAGCGGTAGCAAAAGGTGTCAAGAAACAACACCCGCTACTCAGCAGACCAGGAAAGGGGGGTCTCCCTTTCCCTGGGGGAGTTTAGAGAAGACTCTGCTCCTCCACCTCTTGTGGAGGGCCTGACATTAGTCAGGCTCGCCCGCAGTTATCCGGAGGCCTAACCGTCTCCCTGTGATGCTGTGCTTCAGTGGTCACACTCCTAGTCCACCTTCATGTTCCATCCTGTACACCTGGCTCTGCCTTCTAGATAGCAGTGGTAAATTAGTGAAAATACTAATAGTCCCTGATATGCAGAAATAATGGCATAAGCTGTCTTTCTCTTTGTCTCCTCTCCCTCTCTGCCTCGGCTGCCAGGCAGGGAAGGGCCCCCTGTCCGGTGGACACATGACCCACGTGACCTTACCTATCATTGGAGGTGACTCACATTCTTTACCCTGCCCCTTCTGCCTTGTATCCAATAAATAACAGCGCAGCCCGACATTCGGGGCCACTACCAGTCTCTGCACATTGGTGGTAGTGGTCCCCCGGGCCCAGTTGCCTTTTCTCTTGTCTCTTTGTCTTGTGTCTTTATTTCTACACTCTCTCATTGCCGCACTTAGGGAGAGACCCACCGACCCTGTGGGGCTGGTCCCTACAGAGAATGACTTGAACCTGGGAGGCAGAGATTGTAGTGAGGTGAGATTGCACCACTGCACTCCAGCTTGGGTGACAGAGCAAGACTCTGTCTCAAAAAAAAGATGAGGTGAGTTCAGTTTGGGAAATGTTGAATGCCAGATGCCTTTGGCCTATTCAGAGGGAGATTGCCGAAGCACAGAGGAGAGTTCATGACAGGGTTTAATTATTTTTAGTGCTCTCATGTCCCAGATTCGGCCAATTGGAGTCCCTCCACGCTGGTTCCTGTGTCCTGTGACATCACCCATCTTCTTTCTCCTTTTCTTCTTTCATAAGCCACTTCCTTCCTGGCATGACAGTGTGTTCCAGGACCATCTTGTACCTTGCACCTGCCCTGCCCTGGCCCTAGAATCAGCCAATTCTCTGAGGCATCCTGATTCCTTTTTGTGGGGGAACGGTTTGAGAACAAAATATACTACTACATGATACTATATTCTGACAGGAAAAAACACAGCCATAAGAAATAAAGCCATGGCCGGGCACAGTGGCTCCTGTAATCCTAACACTTTGGGAGGCTGAGGCAGGAGGATTGCTTGGGGCCAGGAGTTCAAGACCAACCTGGCCCACATAGTGAGCCCTCATCTCTATTAAGAAAAAAAAAAAAGAAAGAAGGAAAGCCATATTTGGATGAGTTTAGTCTTCTGATTATTTTTGCTGAAGTTTTAAATTATTATTATTATTATTTTTTGAGACAGAGTCTCGTTCTGTTGCCCGGGTTGGGGTGCAATGGTGCAGTCTCAGCTCACTGCAACCTCTGCCTCCCAGGTTCAAGCAATTCTCCTGCCTCAGCCTCTTGAGTAGCTGGGATTACAGATTCCTGCCATCACGCCCTGCTAATTTTTGTATTTTTGTTAGAGATGGGGTTTCTCAATGTTGGTCAGGCTGGTCTCAAACTCCCGACTTCAGGTGATCCGGCTGCCTTGGCCTCCCAAAGTGCTGGGATTACAGGGGTATATTTTATATTTAAAGTATATTTAAAAATTAAGGGCCAGGCTCAGTGTCTCACGCCTGTAATCCCAGCACTTTGGGAGGCCGAGGTGGCTGGATCCCATGAACTCGGGAATTTGAAAGGCACAAGAGCGAAACTCCGTCTCAAAAATATATGTAAAATATATTTTATGGCCAGGCATGGTGGCTCACAACCGTAATCCCAGCACCTTGGGAGGCCGAGGTGGGCAGATCACCTGAGGTCAGGAGTTCAAGACCAGCCTGGCCAATATCGTGAAACGCTGTCTCTACTAAAAATACAAAAAATTAACTGGGCGTGGTCGTGTGCACCTGTAATCCCAGCTGCTCAGAGGCTGAGGCAGGACAATCCCTTGAACCCGGGAAGTGGAGGTTGCAGTGAGCCGAGATCGCACCATTGCACTCCAGCCTGGGCAACAAGAGCGAAACTCCACCTCAAAAACAAAACAAAATAAAACAAAACAAAACAAAACAAAATATATGTATATACACACACACATTATATGTAATATCTACTTTTAAATATAAACATAAATATTATAAAGCTTTTATTGCAATTGTTCATTTTAGAAACTTCAGAAAATACAAATTAGTAAAAAGAAGAAAATAAGTCTGTAATACCACTTTTAAGAACTATTTTAAAATCCTCTAGCTTTTTTTTGAGATATAATTTACATACCAAGACTTTTTTAAAAAAAAAAATTCATAATGGTGACTTTTTTATCGGACTGTATAGAATAAAGCTTGTTAAAATGTCTAAGATATTTTGTAATATATGAAAATTTCAGCTAAACTTGTGCTATAGCATCCCATGGTTTGAATATATTATTGAAAATCATTCCATAAACAATGGTTTGGTATATAGTTTTAACAATTCAAGGCTGGGCACAATGGCTCACGCCTGTAATCCCACCACTTTGGGAGGAGGAGGCAGGCAAATCACCTGAGGTCAGGACTTCAAGACCAGCCTGGCCAACATGGTGAAACCCTGTCTCTAATAAAAATACAAAAATTAGCCGAGCATGGTGGCAGGTGCCTGTGATCCCAGCTACTGAGGAGGCTGAGGCAGGAGAATCACTTGAACCTAGGAGGCAGAGGTTGCAGTGAGCCGAGATCTTGCCACTGCACTCCAGCTTAGGCGACAGAATGAGACTCCATCTCAAACAAAATAAATAAATAAAATAATTCAGCAGGATGAGGTGGCTCATGCCTATAACCCCAGCACTTTGGGAGGCTGCGGTGGGACTATTGCTTTTGCCTGGGAGTTCAAGACCAGCCTGGGCAACATAGAGATACCATGTCTCAGAAAATATATATATAATTAATTTTAAAAAAGAGAATTCATTGATGATTCTGTATTTACAAATATATTCCTGCATCATTTGTTCATGGTAACCAGGAAATTGCAATGCATAAATACATGCTGTCATTTCCAAAGCGGCTCTCTTCCAGAATTGGTACTGATTCTAGTAGACTTTTCATTCTGATGTTAAAAATATAATTAATAGAAATGTCTTGTACCTAATAGCTTTTTTCCCCACAACTCCCCAACCCCCTCACTCTAGAGGCCTTAGTAGTCTAATTTAATCAGCTTAGTCTGAAATATAATACTACCTTGGCATCTTGTTGGCCTAGTATTTCTTACTCTTTTATGGAATGAACTGTGCAATTGTTTTGTGTGGCTAAAAGGTATTCTAGGTCGAGTATAGTGGCTCACACCTGTAATCCCAGCGCTTTGGGATGCCGAGGTGGGCGGATCACCTGAGGTCGGGAGTTCGAGACCAGCCTGGCCAACATGTTGAAAACCCGTCTCTACTAAAAATACAAAATTTAGCCAGGTGAGGTGGTGTGCATCTGTCATCGCAGATACTCAGGAGGCAGAGGCACGACAATTGCTTGAACCCAGGAGGCAGAGGTTACGGTGAGCTAAGATTGCATCACTGCACTCCAGTCTGGGCAACAGAGTGAGACCCTGTCTCAAAAAATAAAAAACAAAATAAATAAATAAAAAATAAAAGGCATTCTAATTAAGTTGTTGCTTTTTTTTTTTTTTTTAATTCCAGAGCGGACTGATGTACTGGCCCTTAGTACAGGTGAGTTCCGCCTGCTCAGTAATATGAACTCAGGGCTTTGGTTTCCATGTGGCCCTAATGGACTCACTCTCCCTGTTCCAGCTAACCAACTTCAGCCTTGTTCCTGTTCAATGGAGAACAGCTTACGCTGGAGTCTGTGGTTTTCTCTGGGCCACCTTCATCTGTTTTTCCCAGCAGAGCGGTGACGGCACATTCAAGTCAGCTTTCACCATTTTATATACAAAGGGGACCAGTGCCACAGAAGGGTCCCCGGAGAAATGAGAAGTCAAGGACTCTCTTAAAGGGACCACATTTTGACCTAAAATGCACAGAATTGCCTGCAGACAAAATATTTGATGTGCCAATTATGCACTTCATTTTGAGGAATTACTACTATTTATAGACCCACTTTTAAAAAAATTATCAATGATTATTTTTTAATTGTATTCAGACATTTTTTCCTGATCTAGTCTGAAATATTACTTCTCTGATATTTTGGTTAATATGAATAACAGTGGCAAAATGGCATTTTAGAATTATTAATATTTCTAATATTTTAATGCAAGTTTCAGGAAACTTGGTTTCTTGGTTTTGATTGTTTACATTTCTATTCTAAAATCTCAGGTTATCTCCTGAACACTTTTGGACAGATGAAGTTTTACACCAAAAAATAGTTCTTAGAGTGAATTTTAATTTACATAGAACTCAATCGAAATGAAGATTTAATAACCAGATTTCTTTCCCCAAAACATACATAATTTGTTATTTTGATACTAAAATTTAGTAAATACCTTTTTTTTTTTTTTTTTTGAGATGGAGTCTGGCTCTGTCACCCAGGCTGGAGTGCAGTGGTGCCATCTTGGCTCTCTGCAACCTCTGCCTCCTGGGTTCAAGCGATTCTCCTGCCTCAGCCTCCCAAGTAGCTAGGACTACAGTCGCCCAGCACCACGCCCAGCTAACTGGTGGTGGTAGAGACAGGGTTTTACCATGTTGGCCAGGCTGGTCTCCAGCTCCTGACCTCGTGATCCGCCCTCCTCAGCCTCCGAAAGTGCTGGGATTACAGCAGTCAGCCACTGCGTCCTGCCCCCAAATTTGCTTTGCATGGAGAAAACTCTAACAAGTCCTCTTGAACACAGTTTTCTGATAACCCAGATCAATGAACTACCCAGGCTTCACCACTATGCGATATAGGCATGTGAGAAACTCGTACTTATACCCCCTCAATACATTAAAACTAAATATATATATATATTTTTAAATCAATGGGCCAGGTGCAGTGGCTCACGCCTGTAATCTCAGCACTTTGGGAGGCCAAGGCGGGTGGATCACTTGCGGTCAGGAGTTCCAGATCAGCCTGGCCAGCCCGCCTCTACTAAAAATACAAAAATTAGCCAGGCGTGGTGGTGCATGTCTCCCACCACGGCTGGGAGGTGTGCCCAACAGCTCATTGAGAACGGGCCATGATGACAGTGGCGGTTTTGTGGAATAGAAAGGGGGGAAAGGTGGGGAAAAGATTGAGAAATCGGATGGTTGCCGTGTCTGTGTAGAAGGAAGTAGACATGGGAGACTTTTCATTTTGTTCTGTAGTAAGAAAAATTCTTCTGCCTTGGGATCCTGTTGATCTGTGACCTTACCCTCCCTCCACTATTGTCCTATGACCCTGCCAAATCCACCTCTGCGAGAAACACCCAAGAATGATCAATAAAAAAAAAAAAGAGTTCTGGAGATCAGTAAAAAAAAAAAAGAAACAGGGTTTCTCCATGTTGGTCAGGCTGGTCTGGAACTCCTGACTTCAGGTGATCTGCCCACTTTGGCCTCCCAAAGTGCTGGGATTACAGGCATGAGCCACTGTGCCTGGCCCCAAATGTGTTTTACATTTTCTTCCTATTTGATTCATCTTTGTCCTGCAACATAAATATGCTACTTTTCTACCGATAAAAAGACAAAATGGAATTTAAATCTGGCCTGGACTTCTCAAAAAAGTCAGTGTGATGAAAACATGTTCTAGATAAAACAGAAATGAGACTGGGCATGGTGGCTCATGCCTGGAATCCCAGCGCCTTCGGAG
The DNA here is from genome assembly GCF_000001405.40 of Homo sapiens. Classification (NCBI taxonomy): domain Eukaryota; kingdom Metazoa; phylum Chordata; class Mammalia; order Primates; family Hominidae; genus Homo; species Homo sapiens. Next base: position 30,216,486 of record NC_000016.10, read on the forward strand.
GCCAAGGCAGGAGAATCACTTGAGGCCAGGAGTTTGTGAACAGCCTGGGCAACATAGTGAGACCCCAGATCTACTAAAAATTTAAAAATTAGCTGGGCATGGTGGTGCATGCCCATATGTCTGGAGGCTGAGGCAGGAGGATCGCTTGAGCCCAGGATTTGGAGGCTGCAGTGAGCTATGATTGTGCCACTGCACTCCAGTGTGGGTGACAGAGTGAGACCCTGTCTCTAAAAAAAAAAAAGAGAGACAAGATGATCAGGATGAGCGCAGTGGCTCACGCCTATAATCCCAGCACTTTGGGAGGCCAAACCAGGTGGATCATATGAGGTCAGGAGTTCGAGACCAGCCTGGCCTAGATGGTGAAACCCCGTTTCTACTAAAAATACAAAAATCAGCTGGGTGTGGTGGCGCACACCTGTGATCCCAGCTACTCGGGAGGCTGAGGCGGGACAATTGCTTGAACCTGGGAGGCAGAAGTTGCTGTGAGCAAGATTACACCACTGTGCTCCAGCCTGGGCAACAGGAATGAGACTCTGTCTCAAAAAAAAAAAAAGGGGGGATGATCAAACACAATGCATCAACCTCCCGGAGCCATATAAACCCTAACCCTAACCCAGGAAGCAGGCAAGCCTGTGTGTGAGTTTCCACTCTATTGCTGGTACCACTCGGCTCTGGCAACCCGGAAGGCCACCTTCCCCTGTTGTTACTGTGTAAGGAGGAAGGAGCACTGCTTTGCAAGTCAGAAGCCTGGGTTGAAGCCTCTGCTCGGGTTCCTGCTGGCTGTGGGAATGTGGGGTTACCTTTCCCGGCTGGCCTCGTTTCCTTCATGTCCAATGCAGGGGTTCCAGTCACATGCATTGGGCACCATTACATGTCCAAGCTGTGCCAGGATCTAGAAAAATGGCTGGACTCAGGCCAAGGGGCCTTCCTGTCTGGCAGTGAAAATAAGAGGAGATACCAAGGGCCCTGAGTCTGGAGGGGAAGTCATGAGCACAGGGCAGTGCCAGGGCCCGGGAGCTGCCACAGAGGAGCCCACCTTGGTGACAGACACCTGTAGGCACATCCGTGATGCCCAGTGCCCAACACAGGGAACTGGACAAACGTTTCATGCACGACTCTTTTTTCCCTTCTTGGCTACCTTGAGGACCTTGATTATAATAGTTATCCTTTTTTTCTTTTTCTTTTTTTGAGACTCTTGCTCTGTCGTCCAGGTTGGAATGCAGTGGCAAAATCTTGGCTCACTGCAATCTTCACCTCTCAGGTTCAAGTGACTCTCCTTCCTCAGCCTCCCTAGTAGCTGGGATTACCGGTGTGCACCACTAGGCTCAGCTAATTTTTGTATTTTTACTACAGATGGGGTTTCACCATGTTGGCCAGGCTGATCTTGAACTGCTGACCTCAGGTGATCTGCCCACCTGGGCCTCCCAAAGTCTTGGGATTACAGGTGTGAGCCACTGAGCCCAGCCGGATTATAATAGCCTTTTCATGCACCAGGGGCTTTATACTCATTATCTCATTTCATTCATATGAGTTGAAGTCAGCTTACCCCCCATTTCACAGATGAGGAAACCAAGGCCCAGAGAGGTTAGGAATTCGTCCAAGGTCACACAGCTAGGAAGTAGGATTCAAACCCAGACAGCCAGGCTGTAACACCTAGGCTCTTCTCAGGCTCATGCCCTTCCCAGGGGTCTGGGAAGCCCTGACCTGCAGCCTGTCACCTTCGTTTACCCCCCAGCCTCCAGGATATTATGTGTGCACCGGCGTGGGATCCTGGAACTGGCAGGAATTGTGGGTTGTGTTAGTCCCTAGACTCCCATCGCCTATATGAAATATGGTTCCTTTTGTGGCTTGGGAGGCCATGGCCAGCCCTGCGATGCCATTGACTGGTGAGTGCATGCCTGGGACCAGGCTACAAAATCCCTCACACTCTGGGGTAGTCAAGGCTTATGAGGAAGTACCCAAAACTGAAGCTGGGGTTTGGTCCAGGGAGATCCCAGTGTGCAGTACTACTTTGCAGGCAGGCAGAGGCCTCTTGGATAACATGGCCAGTGAAGCCAGATCTTGGTACCAGCTGCCCCTTACCCTGGCCATGGGCTGAAAACGTTGCCTTAAAAAATTGGCCAGGAGCGGTGGCTAACTCCTGTAATCCCAGCACTTTGGGAGGCCGAGGTGGGCAGATCACTTGAGGTCAGGAGTTCAAGACCAGCCTGGCCAATATGGTGAAACCCCATCTCTACTAAAAATGCAAAAATTAGCTGTGTGTGGTGGCAGGCGTCTGTAATCTCAGCTACTGGGGAGACTGAGGCAGGAGAATTGCTTGAACCCGGGAGGTGGAGTTTGCAGTGAGTTGAGATTGCACCGCTGTATTCCAACCTGGACAACAGTGCCAAACCCTGTCTCAAAAGAAAAAAATAATAATAATATAAAGTGGCCAGGTGTGTTGACTCATGCCTGTAATCCCACCACTTTGGGTCGAGGCAGGAGGATCACTGGAGCCCAGGAGTTTGAAACGAGCCTAGGCAACAGAGTGAGACCCTGTCTCTATATTAAACACACACACACACACACACACACACACACACACACACACACACACACACACACACACACACACAAAGGCAGCCAGACTATGCACTAGGAACTGCCCTGGGAATCCCTTTGTGTTCTCACAACAATCCCATTTCACAGATGAAGAAACCTAGGCACAGAAATATTCAGTAACGTGTCCAGGTGCGGTGGCTCACGCCTGTAATCCCAGTACTTTGGGAGGCTGAGGCAGGCAGATCATGAGGTCAGGAGTTCGAGACCATCCTGGCCAACATGGTGAAACCCCGTCTCTACTAAAAATACAAAAATTAGCTGTGTGTGGTGGCAGGTGCCTGTAATTCCAGCTACTCAGGAAGCTGAGGCAGGAGAATTGCTTGAACCCGGGAGGCAGAGGTTGCAATGAACCGAGATCACACCACTGCACTCCAGCCTGGGTGACAGAGCAAAACTCCTTCTGAAAAAAAAAAAAAAAAAAAAGAAATATTAAGTAACTTGTCTGAGGCCACTTAGTTACCAAGACGTGGGAGCTGGGACTTGAACCCAGGCAGTCTGGCTGGATTCATGCCTGCAGCCTCTGCACTCCTGCTACTTACTGTGTGAGAAGCGCCTGTTCTGTGGAAGGTTGTGGGCTGAGATCTTTCCATGAGTTCCACTCATTTACCCCCAAGGCTGTTCTTAAAGACGGGCATGACAGTTATGCCCATTTTACAGATGGGGCCCTGAGGCTCACAGGGGCATGCCACTCACCCATTTCCACAAAGCTATAGTTAGTTAGCAGAGGGCAGAATTCGGCCGCCTCTCCCCTAGCTTGAAGGCTGTGATTGACACAGAGGTTTTTTTGTTGTTGCTGTTGTTTGTTCCTTTTTCTTTTTTTTGAGACAGGGTCTTGCTCTGTCATCCCAGCTGGAGTGCAGTGGTGCGATGTCAGCTCACTGCAAACTCTGCCTCCAAGATGCAAATGATTCTCGTGCCTCAGCCTCCCAAGTAGCTGGAATTACAGGTGTGCACTACCACGCCCAGCTGTTTTTTGTAGAGATGGGGTTAGTAGAGATTTGTTTTATAGAGACGGGGTTTCACCATGGTCTCTACTAAACCCTGTCTCTACTAAAAATACAAAAATTACCCAGGCGTGGTGGCACATGCCTGTAGTCCCAGCTACTCAAGAGGCTGAGGCAGGAGAATCACTTGAACCTGGGAGGTGGAGGTTGCAGTGACCCAAAATCATGCACTCTAGCCTGGGGTCTCGCTTTTGCCCAGGTTAGAGTGCAGTGGCACAATCATAGTGGCTCACTGCAGCCTCAAACTCCTGGGCTGAAGGGAATCCTCCCACCTCAGCCTCCCAAGTAGCTAGGACTATAGGCATGTGCCATCATGGCGAGTTAATTTTTTGTGTGTTTTTATTGTCTTGAGACAGAGTCTTGCTCTGTTGCTCAGGCTGGACTGCAGTGGCATGATCTTGGCTCACCGCAACCTCCACCTCCTGGGTTCAAGCAATTCTCCTACCTCAGCCTCCCGAGTAGCTGGGATTACATGTGTGTGCCACCATGCCTGGCTAATTTTGTATTTTTAGTAGAGACAGGGTTTCGCCATGTTGGTCAGGCTGCTCTCGAACTCCTGACCTCGTGATCCACCTGCCTCGGCCTCTCAAAGTGTTGGGATTACAGGCATGAGCCACTGAGCCTGGCCTGGTGAGCTAATTTTTAAATTTGTTATAGAGACAAGAGTCTCTCTTATGTTGCCCAGGCTGGTCTCGACCCCCTGGCCTCAAGTGATCCTCCCACCTCAGCCTCCCAAAGTGCTGGGATTACAGATGGGTGTCACCGCACCTGGCCTCCGAGGAGGATTTCATTATAAACCTGCCCTGAAGGGAGGGAATCCAATTTTACGAGAGGGTGTAGCCTGGTGAGGCCTGGATGACCTCCGGAGGCAGGGGCTTGTGCCTGGGCTGAGGCTTAAGGGACAATGGGCAGACATGAAGTTGCCCCAGGCAGAGGGTACAGTGTGGGCAAAGTCAGGAAGTGGCAGGGCTTGGATCACTCCAGGAAGAGAGAGGAGTCATGTGTCACAGGAGCTCGAGACCCAGAGAGTGAGGCAGGCAGGCAGGGACCAAGCTTGGGCACAGCCAGGAAGGCAGGACAGGGCATGGTGGGGCCAATGGAATCATTACCCAAGACGGGCATTTTCAGGGAAACAGCTTAGATAAGGCCAGGCGTACAGTAGCTCCCACCTGTAATCCCAGCATTTGGGGAGGCTGAGGTAGGAGGACTGCTTGAGCCTGGGAGTTCAAGACCAGCCTAGGCAACATAGACCCCATATCCACAAAAAATTTAAAAAAGGAGTTTGTGTTCCTGTAGTAGCATACTTGGGAAGTTGAGGTGGCAGTATCACTTGAGCCCGGGAGTTCAAGGCTAAAGTGAGCTGATTGAGCCATTGCACCCCAGCCTGAGCGACAGAGAGATATGCTGTCTCAAAGGAAATACAAATTAAAAAACCAGCCGGGCATGCTGGCGTGTGCCTGTAGTCTCAGCTACTTGGGACACTGAAGTGGGAGGATCGCTTGAGCCCAGGAGTTCAAGGCTGCCGTGAGCTATGATTGTGCCTCTGCAGTCCAGCCTGGGCGACTGCAGACTGCAGGACTTTTTTAAAGACCCTGTCTCTTAAAAAAAAAAAAATCTTAGATAAGAGGATGCTGTGCCTCCCTGGGGGTCTTCAGTCACCCATGGTCCTGGCAAGAGAGGAGGGCCAGGAGAGAGCTTCACCCACCTGCTGTCCTGCCCATGTGACATCCGCAGGTGCTGCCATGGCCACGACTGTTGTTACACTCGAGCTGAGGAGGCCGGCTGCAGCCCCAAGACAGAGCGCTACTCCTGGCAGTGCGTCAATCAGAGCGTCCTGTGCGATGAGTCCCCAGCAGCACCATGCCACCCACCCCGAGTATCCCCTGGGCACCCTGGCATAGCCAGATGACTTCCGTGCCCCTGTTGCAATAACCACTGCTTCCAAGTCTCTGTAGACCACCCCTTGGGTATATCTCATGTAAGTGATATTTATTTTATTTATATTTTTTGAGTCAGAGTCTCACTCTGTCACCCAGGCTAGAGTGTGCTGACGTGATCTTGGCTCACTACAACCTCTGCCTCCTGGGTTCAAGCGATTCTCATGCCTCAGCCTCCCAAGTGGCTAGGACTACAGACATGCACCATCACGCCCAGCTAATTTTTGTATTTTTTTCAGTAGAGGTGGGGTTTCACCAAGTTGGCCGGGCTGGTCTCAAACTCCCCACCTCAAGTGCTCTGCCCGCCTCGGCCTCCCAAAGTGCTGGGATTACAGGCATGAGCCATGGTGTCTGGCCCTAATGTGAGTGATCTTTAACACTGAGCACTTGAAAAAGAAAACCCTGAAGAAACCTAATTATTCGATGTCTGGACGACAAGGAAGAAGATAGAAATGGCATCAGATAATAAACAGTGTAAATGTTTGTTTATCAGAAAGGGGCTGGTGGTCGGGACAAGTAGGAGGATCGCTTGAGTCCAGGAGTGCATCTCTACAAAAAAGTTAAAGGATTTTTTAACATTGGCCAGGCGTGGTGGCACACATCTGTGATCCCAGCTACTTGGGAGGCTGAGGCAGGAGGATTGCTTGAAGCCCAGGAGGTTGAGGCTGCAGTGAGCTGTGATCGAGCCACTGCACTCCAGCCTGGGTGACACAGCAAAATCCAGTCTCAAAAAAAATAATAATAATATTTTACATAACCAACCACTTCTAAAGATTAAAAAAAAACCCCTATGATTAAAAACCTCAGGTCCCTCAGGCAATCATACCAGATATCGAAACAAAGCAATAACATAAGGACTGCAGTATTTATTTTATTTTTATATTATTTATTTATTCTTTGTTAGTTTTTGGAGTGTGGGTTTTGTTTTGTTTTTTGAATTTTTTATTTTGTTCTACTCGGTTTTATTCTTATTGCTCAGGCTTGAGTGCACTGGCCTCTTCTCAGCTCAACCTCCGCCTCTTGGGTTCGGGTGATGATGGTTCCACGTCAGCGGCCCTCCGCCTCTTGGGTTTGCGTGACGGTTCCACGTCACCGACCCTCCGCCTCTTGGGTTCGGGTGATGATGGTTCCACGTCAGCGGCCCTCCGCCTCTTGGGTTTGCGTGACGGTTCCACATCACCGACCCTCCGCCTCTTGGGTTTGGGTGATGATGGTTCCACGTCAGCGGCCCTCCGCCTCTTGGGTTTGCGTGACGGTTCCACGTCACCGACCCTCCGCCTCTTGGGTTCGGGAGGTGGTTCCATCTCAGCCGCCCTCTGCCTCTTGGGTTTGCGTGGTTTTTCTGCCTCAGCCTCCTGAGTAGCTAAGGGAGGTGTCTTGAGATTATCATCGGCTGAGGGTGGAAGCGGCCCCCGCAGACGCTCGGCAGGTGTCTTGATATTATCATCTGCTGAGGGTGGAGCTGAGGGTGGAAGGGGAGTGAGCTGACGCTCAGAAGGTGTCTTGAGATTATCATCCGCTGAGGGTGGAAGCGGCCCCCGCAGACGCTCGGCAGGTGTCTTGATATTATCATCTGCTGAGGGTGGAGCTGAGGGTGGAAGGGGAGTGAGCTGACGCTCGGAAGGTGTCTTGAGATTATCATCCGCTGAGGGTGGAAGCGGCCCCCGCAGACGCTCGGCAGGTGTCTTGATATTATCATCTGCTGAGGGTGGAGCTGAGGGTGGAAGGGGAGTGAGCTGACGCTCGGAAGGTGTCTTGAGATTATCATCCGCTGAGGGTGGAAGCGGCCCCCGCAGACGCTCGGCAGGTGTCTTGATATTATCATCTGCTGAGGGTGGAGCTGAGGGTGGAAGGGGAGTGAGCTGACGCTCGGAAGGTGTCTTGAGATTATCATCCGCTGAGGGTGGAAGCGGCCCCCGCAGACGCTCGGCAGGTGTCTTGATATTATCATCTGCTGAGGGTGGAGCTGAGGGTGGAAGGGGAGTGAGCTGACGCTCGGAAGGTGTCTTGAGATTATCATCCGCTGAGGGTGGAAGCGGCCTCCGCAGACGCTCGGCAGGTGTCTTGATATTATCATCTGCTGAGGGTGGAGCTGAGGGTGGAAGGGGAGTGAGCTGACGCTCGGAAGGTGTCTTGAGATTATCATCCGCTGAGGGTGGAAGCGGCCCCCGCAGACGCTCCCCGCAGACGCTCGGCAGGTGTCTTGATATTATCATCTGCTGAGGGTGGAGCTGAGGGTGGAAGGGGAGTGAGCTGACGCTCGGAAGGTGTCTTGAGATTATCATCCGCTGAGGGTGGAAGCGGCCCCCGCAGACGCTCGGCAGGTGTCTTGATATTATCATCTGCTGAGGGTGGAGCTGAGGGTGGAAGGGGAGTGAGCTGACGCTCGGAAGGTGTCTTGAGATTATCATCCGCTGAGGGTGGAAGCGGCCCCCGCAGACGCTCGGCAGGTGTCTTGATATTATCATCTGCTGAGGGTGGAGCTGAGGGTGGAAGGGGAGTGAGCTGACGCTCGGAAGGTGTCTTGAGATTATCATCGGCTGATGGTGGAAGCGGAATCCGCAGACGCTCAGCAGGTATCTTGATATTATCATCTGCTGAGAGTGGAGCTGAGGGTGGAAGGGGAGTGAGCTGACGCTCGGAAGGTGTCTTGAGATTATCATCCGCTGAGGGTGGAAGGCAGGTGTCTTGATATTATCATCTGCTGAGGGTGGAGCTGAGGGTGGAAGGGGAGTGAGCTGACGCTCGGAAGGTGTCTTGAGATTATCATCCGCTGAGGGTGGAAGCGGCCCCCGCAGACGCTCGGCAGGTGTCTTGATATTATCATCTGCTGAGGGTGGAGCTGAGGGTGGAAGGGGAGTGAGCTGACGCTCGGAAGGTGTCTTGAGATTATCATCCGCTGAGGGTGGAAGCGGCCCCCGCAGACGCTCGGCAGGTGTCTTGATATTATCATCTGCTGAGGGTGGAGCTGAGGGTGGAAGGGGAGTGAGCTGACGCTCGGAAGGTGTCTTGAGATTATCATCCGCTGAGGGTGGAAGCGGCCCCCGCAGACGCTCGGCAGGTGTCTTGATATTATCATCTGCTGAGGGTGGAGCTGAGGGTGGAAGGGGAGTGAGCTGACGCTCGGAAGGTGTCTTGAGATTATCATCCGCTGAGGGTGGAAGCGGCCCCCGCAGACGCTCGGCAGGTGTCTTGATATTATCATCTGCTGAGGGTGGAGCTGAGGGTGGAAGGGGAGTGAGCTGACGCTCGGAAGGTGTCTTGAGATTATCATCCGCTGAGGGTGGAAGGGGATGGAGCAGACACTCGGCACGTGTCTTGAGATTATCATCCGCTGAGGGTGGAGCTGAGGGTGGAGCTGAGGGTGGAAGGGGAGTGAGCAGACACTCGGGAGGTGTCTTGAGATTATCATCCGCTGAGGGTGGAAGGGGAGTGAGCAGACACTCAGGAGGTGTCTTGAGATTATCATCCGCTGAGGGTGGAAGGGGAGTGAGCAGACACTCAGGAGGTGTCTTGAGATTATCATCCGCTGAGGGTGGAAGGGGAGTGAGCACACACTCGGGAGGTGTCTTGAGATTATCATCCGCTGAGGGTGGAAGGGGAGTGAGCACACACTCGGGAGGTGTCTTGAGGCTCAGGGAGTTATCAGTTATAGAATGTTGTTGAGTTGGAGGAGGTGGCTGGTGGCCCATCCTGTTTTTTAAAGTTTCAGCTGTGAGGTAGGGCCAGTAGGGCAATCCTGAAGAATGACGATGCTCCGCTGCCGCCATTCTGACCTGTAGGGCCAAAGGAGGGAATGTTTTCACACATATTCATTTGATGGACAAAATTACCGCCACCAACACAGTCTGCACCTTCTGTTGCTGGTGATAGATTTTTGCACCTTTCCATCCTCCAGGTTTCAAAATAGCAGTATCAGTGTCATAATATCACCCTTCCACTGAGTACTGCCGACAGCTGGAGGGTAAAGGAAAGTCATTGGGACACACTGTTGTCTCCACATGCCACTGTGTCTGTCTGCAAATGTAGGCAGGCTGGGGTCCTGCCCCAGGGAAGACAGAGTCATAACAGAGTAATAAAGAAGCATGTTTGAGACACAGGAGTGTCTATGTCTATCCTCATTCCTCCCTCACAGCCATCACCAGAGCATGTTTCTTGCACCAGGTCAACAGACAGTAAGAGACAGTAAGAGAGGCATGAAAAGCCCACTGTCCACACATGTTGCAGCTTCTTTTTGGAGAATGTTTTCCAGGCCTTTTATGTTCTGTCTCTGACTCTCAGAACTCTGCAAGGTCAGTGTGACCACCCTGCTCCAAATCTAAGAAAACAGAGGTTTCCAGAGGAAGGAGAAATTGTGCCCAGGGTCACACAGCTTGCAAGAGGCAGAGTGGAAGTTGATTCCAGCTCTGCCTGCAGGACCCTCTCATTTCCCCTCTGTTTCCCTTCTTGACAAAGGATCTTCTTCACTCTGGAGGTGCCACCCATGAGAACAAAGAGCTCTGGAGAGATGTGGATTCCTGAAGAGCTGCAGGGGAACTGGGAGAGGGTTTTCTGACAGAACAATCTCACCTCAAGAAGTCACTTAGGCACGGCTGTAATATTTCTTTTCACTCCCAGGTAATACCAAATTGTAAGTGCACTAGGACATAAAGAATACTTTTGTCCATGGAAAAATGAGGTGGGAATTCTAAACAAAGCAAGTTTTAAAACTGTGTTTCACTTCAAGTGTACAAGTCCCATCACGTGTAATCATAGGACTCGGCAGCTTTTGAAGGTACAGAGGCCACACAAGAACCAGCTTAGCTGAGCATCATTTAAGGCCTTCATTTGGAATTGTCCCTGTGGGTAATAAGTTACATTCACTCTTCACTAGTTTACAGTCAGGGCCCATCTGCTATTACAAATACGGAACCTCTGACACTTAGAATATTAGATCAGGGGCCCCACTGGGTGGGGATGAAGGTGTTTTTGCGCAACACGGTTACCAACAGGGATGGGACTGTGATGCTTGTAGGCAGCCTTTCTCTCTGCCATCTCCCTCTGCAGGGCTTGAGCACAGAGCTGTAGGGAGAAAAATGTATCCATGTCCTGACCTGGCAGACTATGTCCAAAAGCAAGGAAAACAAGCAAACTTACCCAGTTGCAAAGAGCCTTTCTTGCAGAAGGGGGGATCTGAAAAAGCCAACACATGAGAAATTGAATGTTGAGAGAGTCTAAGGGCCGTGGCATCATCTGCATCAGCACTGAACTATCCTGCAACTGCAGGGAGGAAGCTCCTTACTTTGCATTTGTGGTAGTCCTCTGCCCGCCGCCGCAACTCTTGCGCACGTTGAAACATTTTCCTATGGATTACAATCACTTTCATCAGATAAAGCACCACTTTCAGGATGATTTTAAATAATCTGCCATGTTTCTGTTATCCTCACAACTGTACCCTTACACAATCTATCTCTACCTAGAAAACGTATTTCAGATGGCTATAAGAGTACAGTCTGAGCCGGTCACGGTGGCTGACGCCTGTAATCCCAGCACTCTGGGAGGGCGGGGCAGATGGATCACGAGGTCAGGAGATTGAGACCATTGTGGCTAATATGGTGAAACCCCTTCTCTACTAAAAATACAAAAAATTAGCCAGGCGTGGTGGCAGGCACCTGTAATCCCAGCTACTCGGGAGGCTGAGGCAGGGGAATCACTTGAACCTGGGAGGCGGAGGTTGCAGTGAGCCAAGATCACGTCATTGCACTCCAGCCTGGGTGACACAGCGAGACTCCATCTCAGAAAAACAAAAACAAAAAAACTGTACAGTCTGATCCAAACTGTTGCTGTATTGATTCCTCCTCTTGCTTACTGCCTGCTGACTTCTGAGATGATAGTTTCCTTCCCCATTCTCAGTACATCCCTAATTCATCCTTCATTGAGCATCTTTTATCATAAAGCTGTATTCTCTTTGTATTAATATCCTTACCGTGTTTCACAGGGCAGAAACAGCTGGGCTTATAAACAGGCATAGTCCTTTTGAAGGATGTGGTTGATCCTACAACAACACACTTTCCTAAGGATGACAACAACTCACCCCACCCCTAGAATGGCTGGTATGAACCGAGTTTCCACACAGTCTAGCTGGCAATGGGGTCAGGAGACGTTTTGCTACTTCACATCTTTTGGTCACTGGTAAATATTAAGGTACTTTGTTTTCTGTTTTGTGAACTCTCTCTCGCTCTCTCTCACGATATGTCTTCTGACCGTTTGTTTCTATTTCTGCATTTACTGGGTCTAAATACTGTACAAAGGTTAAAAACAACACTCCAATGGGCGTTTCCCAGGAGGGTGGGGTTCAGTTTCTGAACTCACTTGTAGGTGTGTATTTCTTTCATATCCAATTTCCCATTTTCCTCTGCCTCTGATACCTGCCTCTCCTTTTCTGCATGCTCACATTCTTTCACGCTTAGTTTCCTCAGATTAGAAGGGAGAGAAATGCACACACATGATCCACCAGCCCGTGTGGGATTCCCTCTGCCCTTCTGGCATCTGAAGGCTGTGATTCAAAGATCCCCCCTGCAACCTTCCCACAAATGAACCAACTGATTCTCACAACCGAAGGGAGAATTGACACCTCCCATTGAGGGACAAAAAAAAGTCACACTCTGGCCTGCTGGCAAGTCACCTGTCATTTCCAGCTCATCTTCATAGTTCCATAGTTAGTCCTATTCTTTAGTAAATATAAAGACTATTAAAAGCTTCTATGAGGTGCACTATGTGTGTCTCTGGGGTCAGTCTTGTGCTTGACACAGCGAAAGCTCATTTTAGTTCAGTGTGAAAAACCAGACCTCACCAATTCATCACAACTAACTCCATCGGAAGCAGAGGATTGCTCCTCATCTGACTCCTCCTGTGTGAGACCTTATTCTCAGTCAGAGGCTGATGCCGGAACTGAGACCATCAGCCATAGAGAGATCCTTCCAGAATAACCCCGCAGTTCACTACTGCACTTTGCCATGATTCAGGACTGGAACTCTTGTCATCGACTTTAAAGATCCTGGTTGAGAGAAAAGGCAATCTGAATGCTGGGCGCATCTATTGAATTAGAAATGATCGGAATGGCTCCTAAGTCAGGGTGTTATGTCCTGAAAATAGGTGACAACGGCAAACCATCCACCCTGGTGTTGACTGACTTTAACAAGGTTCAGTTCACAGAGATTGAGGGCAGAAAAAGGAAACGGCCTAAAAAGGGTAAGTTTGCTGTGTTGCCCTCACTCCACTTGATTCATGGTCCTGATCCTAAGGATCTCACCTGATACTTGGTTTTATAGGAAGGATGTGTAAAATTCCCAGAACGCTAGGAAACAGGGGCGAAAACACTTCAAAGAGAAAGTTAATGAACTTGTTTCTGACCACAAGGCATCCTTCAGCACATGCTGTCTGGAGTGGCCTCAAACAAGGAGTGTGTGGTGTGGTGCTGAGAATGCAATGGGAGCAGGGTCCTGTCCCCACGCTAAAGAAGCTCACAGCTTAATGCAAATGAGAAGCCAGTGAGGACATCACTACTCCTGCTGTGCACTTGGGAACTAGAAACACAAAACCTGACTCTGGAGGGAAGCTAAGGAAGCATTCTACTCTTGAGTTGACATAAGTGCATCTGAAGCTTCTGATCTCCGATGAGAACAATGGGGGACACCAAACAGAATATAAAACCCATGATTGAATACATCAAATTGCTAACATGGCAGTAAACAGACATGAGGTGAAGATGGAGAAGAAGGAAACCCAGGACGAAAGTCAGCCTCGCATTTGGAACCCATTTCCCTGAGTTTCATTGCTGAATTCCAGAAGGAACTACTGAGATGCAAAGAAGCACAGCAGCTTTTGCACACATGCGTGGGATTAGATGGAAAACAAGTGGATTGAGGGTCTGCCAATGAAAGCGACCCGTACTGAAGTCCACTGGCTCTGGTTGAGACCCAGAAGAGTCATGCATCAGAATAAAGGTGGACAGGAAATACCCTGGCCTTTGTAGGGACTGAGCCTGCACCGACGACTTCAATTGCAGCCTGTATGGAGGACCCCTGACCATCCCCCAGAAGTAGACTCCCATCTCTTCTGCAGCAAGATAACATGCTACTAGGCCTCAATTCATTGCTAAACATTTTTTAACAAGTATCTCACATTTAACAAAAAAAGATCAGTCATATGGCAGCAAAATACAATGTCATATGACCAAAACATGAAAGACTGTGAAAATGAATCTGGAGGTGACCCAAGCATTGAATTCAACAATCCAGGCTGGGTGCGGTGGCTCACACTGGGAGGCTGAGGTAGGCAGATCACCTGAGGTCAGGAGTTCAAGACTAGCCTGGCCAACATGGTGAACCCGTCTCTACTAAAAATACAAAAATTGGGCCGGGCACGGTGGCTCACGCCTGTAATCCCAGCACATTGGGAGGCCGAGGTGTGCGGATCATGATGTCAGGAGTTCTAGACCAGCTTGGCCAATATGGTGAAACCCCGCCTCTACTAAAAATACAAAAATTATCCGGGCATGGTGGCATATGCCTGTAGTCCCAGCTACTCAAGAGGCTGAGGGATAAGAATCGCTTGAACCTGGGAGGTGGAGGTTGCAGTGAGCCAAGATCATGCCACTGCACTCTAGCCTGGGTGACAGAGTGAGACTCTGTCTCAAAAAAAAAAAAAAAAAAAAAAATTGGTCAAATGTGGTGGCACACACCTGTAATCCAAGCTACTCGGGAAGCTGAGGCAGAATTGCTTCAAACTGGGAGGCAGAGGTTGCAGTGAGCCAAGATTGCACCATAGCACTCCAGCCTGGGCGACAGAGCGAGACTCTATCTCAAAATTAAAAAAAAAAAAAAAAAAAAAAAAGGCTGGCTGTGGTGGCTCACGCCTCTAATCCCAGCACTTTGGGAGGCTGAGGCAGGTGGATTACCTGAGGTCAGAAGTTCGAGACCAGCCTGGACAACATGGTGAAACCCCATCTCTAGTAAAAATACAAAAATTAGCTGGGCGTGGTGGTGGGCACCTGTAATCCCAGCTACTTGGGAGGCTGACGCAGGAGAATTGCTTGAACCCAAAAGGCAGTGAGCTGAGATTGTGCCATTGCACTACAGCCTGGGCAACAACAGCAAAGCTCCATCTCAGGAAAAAAAAAAAAAAAAAAAAGAGAAAGGAAAACCAATGCCAGTACTAGCAACTCCTCTTCCTCCGAAAAAATGAAAACAAGAATGTAGGAAGGGAAAGGAATTATACAGCTTAAACTAATGAAGCAGAAAGGACAAACTCAATTTTGAACCCACTGAATTTGCCACAAATATTGTAGAAAATATTCTCAAGGACTTTACAGTTGTCTACTTTGATTGGCACATGGTTCATACAACAGTATTTGTGTCAAGGCACATCTTACTGTTTTCTGGCGGTCTTCCTCTTTCCATTGATTTTGTCATGATGGTTGATTTTCGTTGTCACCTTCCTCTTACGGATTTTAGCTCTAACTTTTGTTTCCACATGTCTCCGTAGAGTAATGACGTCTTTCAGGCCAATTTTATTTCCTCGAAAGGAAGAAACTCTTTTCTTTGTGTGCATACAAATGGACCTCAGCCCTTGGTGAGAGTGAGGAGAGGAGAAGGTGAGAAACCTGAGGGCAAGAAGCTGTTCTTTCCCTTTCCAGGGCAAACTCATTTCCACACTATGCGGATTCCAACAGAGCCATACCTTCCTGTCTACGGCGGTTGGACCTCCAGGCTCTCTGCTGTACATCCGTGGATCCATCATGTCCATTTCGAGACCAGAAGATAGTCTTCAGGAGAGACACCTAGGAAATAATAATATAAGAATGACGGCTGGGCACGGTGGCTCATGCGTATAATCCCAGTACTTCGGGAGGCTGAGGCAGGTGGATCACGGGGTCAGGAGTTCAAGACCAGCCTGGCCAAGATGGTGAAACCCCGTCTCTACTAAAAATACAAAAATTAGCCGGGCATGGCAGCGGGCGCCTGTAATCCAAGCTACTCGGGAGGCTGAGGCAGAGAACCGTTTGAAGCTGGGAGGCGGAGGTTGCAGTGAGCCGAGATCACACCACTGCACTCCAGCCTGAGCGACAGAATGAGACTCTGTCACATACACACACACACACACAAGAATGACATGAGGCTGGCACGGTGGCTCACTCCTGTAATCCCAGCACTTTGGGAGGCCGAGGCAGGCGGATCACCTGAGGTCGGGAGTTTGAGACCAGCCTCACCAACATGGAGAAACGCTGTCTCTGCTAAAAATGCAAAATTAGCCAGGCATGGTGGTGCATGCCTGTAATCCCAGCTAGTCGGGAGGCTGAGGCAGGAGAATCACTTGAACCCAGCAGGAAAAGCTTGTGGTGAGCTGAGATTGTGCCATTGCACTCCAACCTGGGCAACAAAATTGAAACTCTTGTCTCAAAAAAAAAAAAAAAAAATAGGCCAGATGCGGTAGCTCACGCCTGTAATCCCAGCACTTTGGGAGGCCGAGGCAGGTGAATCACAAGGTCAAGAGATGGAGACCATCCTGGGCAACATGGTGAAACCCCGTCTCTACTAAAAATACAAAAATTAGCTGAGCATGGTGATGCACGCCTGTAGTCCCAGCTACTCGGGAGGCTGAGGCAGGAGAACTGCTTGAACCCAGGAGGCAGAGGTTGCAGTGAGCCAAGATCCCACCACTGCACTCCAGCCTGGTGACAGAGTGAGAATCCGTCTCAAAAAAAAAAAAAAAAAAAATGACATGAATATACTTCACACAACTGAACTGTACACTTCAACACGGTTAGATGGTAATTATCATCTTATAAGTATTTTACCACAGGTTAACATGTTTCACAACTTGAAAAGGAAGTAATTACCTTCAGCTCTCTGAGTTCTAGAATTTGTAACATTTCATCCCCTGCTCCTTCCTGATCTGCACTGGAGCATCTTCCTTCTGTCCCTGCTCTACTCAGAGTTCACTTTCCCTTCCCTCACATCAGCTTCATTGAGGCTGGTTTGAACTTAACGCAAAACATTCTCACTAATGACTGAATTCCCACCAAGATTTCCATATTATCACAGTATGCTTTTAATCTTCTAAGATATTAAATATTTCTTCTCATCATAGCTAAAATGCAATGCAAATCCCATCTCAGATGTGGGTCAGATACCTATGAATCTCCTGAGGTGGTCATTGAAATGACTTTTTCTTGAGACAGAGTGTCACTCTCAACCATGCTGAAGTGCAGTGGCGCTACCTTGGCTCACGGCAACCTCCACCTCCCAGATTCAAGCGATTCTTGTGCCTCAGCCTCCCAAGTAGCTGGGATTACAGGTGCCTGCTACCATGCCTGGCTAATTTTTGTCTTTTTAGTAGAGATGGGGTTTCACCATGTTGGCCCATCTGGTCTTGAACTCCTGACCTCAAATGATCCATCTGCTTCAGCCTCCCAAAGTGCTGGGATTACAGGCATGAGCCACCACACCTGGCCTGAAATAATATCTTTCAAATTCTTTGTAGAATTTGTTTTTTCCTGATTTCTGCACATAGGATAAAAAAAAAATCATGTACTAGGATTTCGAGAGAAGCAATGGGTAATCTAAAAAGATGAAAAGAGCAACCACGTCAATCCCACAGCTACTGCTAGATTTCATAGGAAAGGTAGCTGGCCCAGTTTGGAGCTAGGGGAAATGTCAAACACATGAAGAAATGAGAAGCCAAGAAATGCCATCACGCATGAATGCTTCATGGCACCCATGATGTCCCTGCTTAGGAGGTAATGGTATAGATGACTAGATGACAAGGACAAAGATGAGAGGTGCGAAGTTGTCCAAGTCCAACAGCTCAACTGAACTTTCCTAAGTGGAATTGTTAAAAAGTGGTAAATTTAAAAACTTCCCCTGGCTCACGTGGTGGCTCACGCTTGTAATCCCAGCACTTTGGGAGGCTGAGGTGGGTGGATCATTTGAGGTCGGGTTTTGAGACTAGCCTGGCCAACATGGTAAAACCCCGACTCTACTAAAAATACAAAAATTAGCTGGGCATGGTGGTGGGCACCTGTAATCCCAGCTACTTGAGAGGCTGAGGCAGGGGAATCACTTGAAGCCAGGAGGTGGAGGTTGCAGTGAGCCGAGGTCACACCATTATACTCCAGCCTGGGCAACAGAAGGAGACTCGTCTTCGGGGTGAGAAAAGAAAAAAAAAAAAGAAAAAAGCTTCCTCCAATTTATACCGAAAATTCTCTGTTCAGGACTAAGTGGCATAGAGAATGTTAAATGTGCCTAGATATCTTCATAACTCATATATTTTCTGTTTTCTACATATCTTGAAAGGCAGTGCCAAATGACGTGTAATTATCTAGGTGGTAAAACTGAAACATACTTCCTCTTCCCTTGAATATAAAAAAGCATTGTGGTATTAGTACTTTTATCTTGGATCATTGTTCAGAAGGAGGTTCAGCCCCCAGACAACCACATTTTTACTGTCATGAATGGCAAGACAAAATGTAGAGCTCAACTTACCCAAAGGAAAAAAGGCTCAAAAGACAAATTATGGCACAACTTAGCAGCCAAATTCTTACCAAGTACAGACTTTTGACATACTGATCTCTCTCCAGTTCCAAGTCGGAACATGCACTTTGAATGATGTCATTCAAAATTACCCTGCCCAGACACACTTTTCATTGATTCTCTTGGAGGGCAGTTCTAAGAGTCTCTGGGGCTTTCTCTGCATCATGAGACGCAGTGCAGTTCTGCCCTTCACCTTCCGGCAGTTTGTCACCTCGTCCCTATGACCTCACAGGAACTTTGTCTCAGGCCAATTGTTTGTTCCTTGGCCTCTTTCATTTCCCCTAAAAATCATTTGCTGCCCCTCTAAATGGCCTACATCTCCATCTATCTCCCTCTCCCCTCAGAAGAGGGTGCTCTTTAAGCATCAGCCATCCGGCCCTTCTAGCAGTCTCATTTTTCAGCTGGTTCCCATGTTTATGCCTGTTCTATGTTTTTCTTTTCCTGTTAAGCTGTCTGTTGTCAGCTCATTTCTGCAGTGAATCTTCAGAGAGGAGATTGGAAGCTTTCCTTCCACCCATACGATAGAACTATAAAGCAGAAGAGTTTAGAAAGAATTTCCTATTTAAGTGACGAAACCTCATACTCCATTTGTGATAAATAGCACAAAGGTTAAAAAAACTTATTTTTGACCAAAAGCTCTGTTGACATTCTATTAAACAAACACCGACCTATTTAATTTTCATAATGCAAATGGCAGATGTTTTCATAATTCTTATACTAATAAATCATTTCCCTGATTTTTTGGGTAAAACCACATATTCATAATGAAGTCCAGAAATGTGAATTGTTTTATATAATTTATTCTTATTTGTGATTACAAGTATACCTCTACAGAAAGTTAGTATACTCACCCAAAGGTAAACTATCCAGAGGGTAATGACAACTTTATAACTTGTCGGAAACGCAATAATGACATGTAACCAAGGACTTCCACCAAAGTCAGTCCCACGATGATGATGGTCAGCCAGAGTATTGATAACCTGGAATAATAATAGTTGAAATAATGAAAAGGTCAATGACACTGACAATATTTCACTCAGAAAGAATCATCCTTAGAAACCGTCAACCTCCTCCAAAAGGTAACCACATCCCTCAGATATCACCGTGGGATTCCACTGCTACAAAAAAGAACAGAAGTTAGAAGTCACATGTTTTTCAGATGGCTGGTAGTGTTTTCAGGCATTGCAAATGTGGGGTGTTGTCTTTCTTGGTATAAAGCAGGGATATCCAATCTTTTGACTTCCCTGCCTATATTAAAAGAAGCAAAGTTGTCTTGAGCCACACATAACATACACTAACACTAACAATAGCTGATGATCTAAAAAAAACCTCTTTTTTTTTTTTGAGACAGAGTTCCGCTCCACTCAGTCGCCCAGGCTGGAGTGCAGTGGTGCAATCTCGGCTCACTGCAACCTCCAGCTCCTGGGCTCAAGCCATTCTCCTGCCTCAGCCTCCCGAGTAGCTGAGATTACAGGTCTCTGCCACCATGCCCGACTCATTTTTGTATTTTTAGTAGAGATGAGGTTTCACCATGTTGGCCAGTCTGGCCTTGAACTCCTGACAGGCGATCTGCCTGCCTCGGCCTCCCAAAGTGCTGGGATTACAGGTGTGAGCCACCGTGCCCAGCCATTTTTTTGTTTTTGTTTTTGTTTGTTATTTTTGAGATGGGGTCTCACTCTGTCACCCAGGCTGGAGTGCAGTGGTGTGCTCCCGGCTCACTGCAACCTCTGCCTCTCAGGTTCAAGTGATTCTCCTGCCTCAGCCTCCTGAGTAGCTGGGAGTACAGGTGCCTGACAGTGCACTCAGCAAATTTTTGTATTTTTTGTGGAGATGGGGTTTTGCCATGTTGGTCAGGGTGGTCTCGAACTCCTGACCTCAGGTAATCTGCCCGCCTCAGCCTCCCAAAGTGCTGGGATTACACGCATGAGCCACTGTACCTGGCCAAAATCTCCTAATGTTTTAAGAAAGTTTACAAATTTGTGTTGAACTGCATTCAAAACTGTCCTGGGCCACATGCAGCCCGTCACTCATGGGTAAGACAAGCTAAGTATAAAGTAATTATCTTATCTTTTCTTTTCTTTTTGTTTTGAGACAAAGTTTTGCTCTGTCACCCAGGCTAGATTGCAGTGGCATGATCTCAACTCACTGCAACCTCCGCCTCCCGGGTTCAAGCGATTCTCCTGCCTCAGCTACTGAGTAACTGGGATTACAGGCGCCTGCCACCACGCTCGGCTAATTTTTGTATTTTTAGTAGAAACAGGGTTTCACCATCTTGGCCAGGCTGGTCTCCAACTCCTGACCTCATGATCCACCTGCCTTGGCCTCCCAAAGTGCTGGGAATACAGGTGTGAGCCACTGCACCTGGCCAGTAGTTATCTTTTCTTTAAAGTTATTTACTTGTTTTTTAAATTGATGTATAACATTGGATGCATTTATTATATATCACATGGTAAAAGAATCCCTCTAAATAATACTTCTCTCTTGGATTATATGAATCTTTGTCATTTAAATCTCAGCATAAGTAAAAAAAAAAAAAAATACAATGAAGAGATTACTTCATTCACAAATAAGTATCAAATTTTAGTGCTTAAAAATTAACAAGGTGGGCTGGGCGTGGTGGCTCACGCCTGCAATCCCAGCACTTTGGGAAGCCGAGGTGGGTGGACCACGAGATCAGGAGATTGAGACCATCCTAGCTAACACGGTGAAACCCGTCTCTACTAAAAATACAAAAAATTAGCAGGGCATGGTGGCACGTGCCTATAGTTCCAGCTACTTGGGAGGCTGAGGCAGAAGAATCACTTGAACCCGGGAGGCAGAGGTTGCAGTGAGCCGAGATCGCACCACTGCACTTCAGCCTGGGTGACAGAGCGAGACTCTGTCTCAAAAAAAAAAAAAAAAAAAATTACCAAGGTGGAGATCATGAAAATGGCATGAATAGTGTGGGATTTCTCTAAGATTGTTGATATTAATTCCATTAGACTCTTATGTGAGTGAAGACGAAGACTTCCCCTGAGTAAGTTCAGACAGCTTGTGATAACATTTCTACGTCGATTCCTCAGGATTTAACTATATATTCTTGAAAACATCTCAATTTTAAATGTTTCTTTCAAGATGGTGAATTAAACAGAGATAGCCCTTCAACAGGTTGAACTCAGCATATGCTGAGTCTGAAATGGAAATGATGAAGTTAGAGAACCATACAACAATGGTAATGATTTCAGAAACATGGTGTTGAGCAGAACAAAGCAGACACAAAAGAGTACCTATGGCATGGCATGCATCTGTATACGCGAAATTCCAGAATAAGCAAGCTAACCTATGATAAGAAAGAGACTGGCTGGGAAGACTGAGAGTTCACTTTCTGGGGTGACATAATAGTGTAGATCTTGGCTGGGCACGGTGGTTCACGCCTGTAATCCCAACGCTTTGGGAGGCCGAGGCGGGCGGATCACCTGAGGTCGGGAGTTCAAAACCAGCCTGACCAACATGGAGAAACCCTATCTCTACTAAAAATACAAAATTAGCTGGGAGTGGTGCCACATGTCTGTAATCCCAGCCACCCGGGAGGCTGAGGCAGGAGAATCGCTCGAACCTGGGAAGCAGAGGTTGCGGTGAGCTGATATTGCCCCATTGCACTCCAGCCTGGGCAACAAGGGAGAAACTGTCTCAAAATAAATAAATAAATAAATAAATAAATAAATAAAATAATGTAGATCTTGAAAGGGGGTTGGTTTATGCTGGTGTATGTACTTTCCAAAGTTAGTAAACTTACACTTAAGGTTATATATTTTGGCCAGGCGCGGTGGCTCACGCCTGTAATCCCAGCACTGGGAGGCTGAGGCAGGCAGATCACGAGGTCAAGAGATGGAGACTATCCTGGCGAACATGGTGAAACCCCGTCTCTACTAAAAATACAAAAAATTAGCCGGGCGTAGTGGCGGGCGCCTGTAGTCCCAGCTACTTGGGAGGCTGAGGCAGGAGAATGGCGTGAACCCGGGAGGCGGAGCTTGCAGTGAGCCGAGGTCCCGCCACTGCACTCCAGCCTGGGCGACAGAGCGAGACTCCGTCTCAAAAAAAAAAAAAAAAAAAAAAAAAAAAAAAAAAAAAAAATTAGCCAGGCGTGGTGGTCTACTAAAAATACAAAAATTAGCCAGGCGTTGTAATCTGAGCTACTCAGGAGGCTGAGGCAGGACAATTGCTTGAACCCCAGAAGCGGAGGTTGCAGTGAGCCGAGATCTTGCCACTGCACTCCAGCCTGGGCGACAGAGTGAGACTCTGTCTAAAAAAAAAAAAAAAAAAAAAAAAGTCATCAAACCAGATGACACAAATCAAATGACATTTCACTTTGTTTTGGTCCATTTTCTTTGTTAAAAACAAGAGTGCAGCGGGGCCATCTCGGCTCACTGCAACGTCCAGCTCCTGGGCCCAAGCGATCCTCCCACCTCAGCCTCTCCAGTAACTGGGATAACAGGTACGCACCACCAGGCCCGACTAATCTTTATTGGAATTTTTTGTAGAGATGGGGTTTCGCTATGATGCCCTGGCTAGTCTTCAACTCCTGGACTCAAGTGATCTGCCCACCTCGGCCCCCTAAAGTGCTGGGATTACAGGCCTGAGCTGTGTAATTTCATGCCACGTGATACAGCCCAGTAAAAAGGAAGAAACCCCACGGGTCCAGCGTCTACTCACAGAGATGCACTGATGGCTGATAAATTCCAGTAGGAGCCCAAAGAGGAGCCAAAAGAGCATCCACCGCACCCGCATGTCCTGGTCCTTTCAGGGCGCCCTGAGGCGGCCAGGACAGAGGTGGAGGTGGCTTAGGGCAGGGGGGAGGGAAGGGGACGGGACCGGGGCCGGATCTGAGTTGGGGAGGGGGAGGGGAGGGGGAGGGGAAGGGGAGGGGAAGGGGGGAAGTAAGGGAAGGGAAAGGAGGAGAAGGGGGCTGTTGGGCACCTGGAGGAGGTGGAGGAGGAGGAGGAGAAGAAGAAAGGGGTCTGGGAAAGGATCCGGTTCAAATTAAGTTCTCAAGCGCTGGTGGAAGGTTTAGCTACAGGTCACGGAGAAGATCAGGGAAGCAACAGGACACGCGGGGCAAGGGAGCGTGAGGCTTAGGAGCAATCAGAGGGAGACAAAAAGGTTCTGCTATCCACCAAACCTTCTTCGGTCTGGGCCCTCCCTTACCAACCCTGGGGCTTTATACTCCCTCTCCACCAATCCCTGATGACCCCGGTGGTGCCTCACAATGGACAGTGCCTCACAATGGACAATGCCAAGTAGCGCCCGCATCATTCCAATGACCCCTCCCCCATCTCAGTCTCCCACACTCCTCCCAAAGACAGGTCCTCTCTGGAACCTTCACAAACCTGATTTCTGGTCCTCCCCAACCAGCTCCCTGTCCCTGCTTCTGGGCGCTCCTTCCTTCCTGAGCTCCCAGGGTTCCTCAAGGTCACTTATGGCGACAAAACATAAAAAACAAATGATGGCAGGATGGCAGGAAGAACCTCATACCCAAGCAGAGTGCCAGGTTTTACAGCCTCCGCTCAGCCATTCATATCCTAAGCAACAAAACATCAGCAGGGTGCGGAAGGTCCCGATAGTAAACCATCTCCATCACATCCATGTAGCCATCCGTCCATCAACCTGTATCTCAGGAACAAATGTAGATACATTCATTTTAAGCATGCCTGGTACATTTACAAAAATTAACCTGACTTATTTTGTTCCAGCAAATCTCAATATATTTGAGAGCAATCAAATCACACAGCATGTTTCTGATCATATAACTGTGCTAGAAGTCAATGATTAAAAGCTAATTCAAAATTATTATTTGCTTGGAAATTCAAAGTGCCCTTATAAGACATAAACATAAGAAAGAATCCAAAATGAAACAAGATTGCCTTTCAACTCAATGATGAGATCATAACATGGCAATAAAATGTCTCCCTCTGGCCTGGGAATTCCTCTTTGTGGCACAAGGTTGTGTGATCTCAAATCACCGCTAACCCACCTAGACATTTTAACATCCGAAACCGAGTGATGACGTCCTTATCTATATCATCTTACTGCCTGTGTGTGTGGACT
Organism: Homo sapiens; assembly: GCF_000001405.40. Taxonomy (NCBI): domain Eukaryota; kingdom Metazoa; phylum Chordata; class Mammalia; order Primates; family Hominidae; genus Homo; species Homo sapiens. The sequence goes on from NC_000016.10 coordinate 30,240,684, forward strand.
TTAAATTCTGAACCCAAATGAGGGGGAGAAAACCAAGTTGACTTTCATGACTGAGCTCTCAGGGACGTCCAAGGAATCTGTGCATTTCAAGAAACAAAGTTCATCAGCTTCTCTCCTAAGGTATTTGCCCACAATACCCAGAGGGCTTGGCAGCATCATGTGTGATGGGTGGGGAGCTCCAAGCAGGTGGGCAGGACCCAGGGGCCTGGTGACCAGGACAGACCCCCACTGTCCATCAACTTTCCTGGCCCTGTCCTCTGCTAAACTTCCCACAGGCCTTCTGCCCGATCACACAGAGTATGCCCAAACTCTCTCAGGCCTCTGGCAGCTGAAAACCACTGCTTTAAATCCCTTTACCATTTACTATGACATAAGGTTATTGTAAACAGGAAATATTCTATTGATGCTACAAATGGAAAGCCAATGCCTTTACCATAAATAGAAAAACAACCCTAAGAAGCAAGCAAAACAAAAACAAAACAGGGGCTGGGTGTGGTGGCTCACGCCTGTAATCCCAGCACTTTGGGAGGCCGAGGTGGGCGGATCACAAGGTCAGGAGTTCCAGACCAGCCTGGCCAATATGGTGAAACCCTGTCTCTAATAAAATACAAAAATTAGCCGGGTGTGGTGGTGGGCGCCTGTAGTCCCACCTACTTGGGAGGCTGAGGCAGGAGAATAGTTTGAACCCGGGAGGCAGAGTCTGCAGTGAGCCGAGATTGCACCACTGCACTCCAGCCTAGGCGACAGAGCGAGACTCTGTCTCAAAAACAGCAACAACTACAAACAAACAAAAAACAGGGTTAACAAAAGTATGGAATTCAATTCTTTTTATATGCTGCAGCCATGTTCCTGCCCTAGATTTGGCTGGGCATGGTGGCTCACGCCTGTAATCCCAGCACTTTGGGAGGCTGAGGCAGGCGGATCACGAGGTTAGGAGTTGGAGACCAGCCTGACCAACATGGTGAAACCCCATCTCTACTAAAAATACAAAAATTAGCCAGGCATGGTGGCACACGCCTGTAATCCCAGCTACTCAGGAGGCTGAGGCAGGACAATCCCTTGGACCCGGGAGGCGGAGGTTGCAGTGAGCCGAGATTGTACCATTGCACTCCAGCCTGGGTGACAGAATGGAATGAGACTCTGTCTCAAAAAAAAAAAAAAAAAAAAGCAGCCCTAGATTTCGGTTGTGGTGGTTGTAAAAGGAGAGACCAAGTAAGTGGGGGTTGAAGTCAGATTAGAGCAAAAGTGAATGGCAGAGAGTACTATAATGTCCATGAAGGGCTGCTAGAGTCACCGTGATCATAGCCCAAGCAGAGATAGGGAAAGGAAGATGTGAGCAGAGTTTGGGGTCTCGAACAATGGAGGTTATTCGTGCAGCCCAGGAAAGGCTCCCCAAAGCCAGGATCAACCTCCCTTGGAGGCGGTCCCTCATGGAGGCATGGTCAGGCACCTTAGATTTGAGAACAGCTATGTTGCTGCTGACCAGCTGTGTGACCCTGGGCTGGTTTCCTTCCACACAATGGGAGTGCCAATGGCTGCATGCATGCAAAGACCGTCTGAGGATAGGAGGAAGCAATCTGTTGAGCACCCGTGTACCTGAGTGTCATCACCTCCCAAGGGCATCCTTCGTTCCAGAGCTGGCGCCTTGGAAGGCCCTTGGTCACTGAAGGCAGTGATGATGGTAACAGCAGTAAATCATCATTTACGGCTGATGAGGGAAGGCCAGGGGTAGGGCTCCTAGGTCCTGGATAAGAATGAGGGTCTGGGCACTCCTGGGGACAGCTGAGTGGTAGGACTCCTGGGTCCCCAGGGGGAAGGTCCATCTTCAGTGGCATTGGGCCTAGGCTGGGATGCTGAGTTATCCACTGGAGCATCAGCAGTACAGGCAGGCACAGAGGCAGTGGATCCATCGGAGGTGGCAGGTGTAGGATCGTCTGGTGAGCAAGTAGAGTCACCAAATCTGGCTGACCACTACCCCCACTACCCCCACTATCCCCACAGACGATGCCCTGTCCCTTGCCTCATGCTCCGGCAGGGTACAGGCTCGCACCTGGGGCCTCAAGGAGCATCTCTCTAAGACCTCTGTGTCCTGGTCATTGAATGGGCACTTGAGTCACCCAGGGCCATTGGAACAAAGAGGAAGAATCAGGCCCCACGATGTTTTGGGAGAGTGTTTAGCACAGGAAAATGCGCAGAATACATGCACGACACGGGGGCACTGTCAGTGTGGGAGCAATGGTTTACAACCTCCAGCCCTAATCTGAGCACTCTCACCTGTGCAATCTGAAAGGAACAGGAGACTTGCAGGAAAGACAGTGCCTGGATTTAACTTAAAGGAACTAAAAATGTTGGAATTTTTACTCTTGATATCCTTCCAAATCAACTCTCTCAATGTTCCCATCCTCAAAACTATCATATGGGGTAACTGAGGCAGTCAGAGATTTACTGACTCAATGTCACTCAATTGATTCTGAGTTCACTGCTGATTACATCCGACCAAACTGCTTTTTCTGAAGTCTACTCCGTTTAATCATGCTGGTGATGATTTTGTGCGGCTCTGGGACAAACTCCACCTGGCTGAAGATAAAGCAAATCTGCGGTGACTTAGTCCTCCTGTCATTTCCCATCAGTTCCCCACTCTCCTCCTCTGCCCCTCCACAGTCTCCCATGCAGGCTGACACCATATGACGGCCTTAATGGAGTCCACCGAGTATTTCAGGTTCTCTCCTGGGCCACTTGAAAGTGGATGTACCCATGGGATTTGCTTTGACCCAGGAGATGTGAGTGGAAGTGAAGCGTGTCACCTCGAGGCAAAAGAGTTGGGAGCCATTGAGACGGGCCACTCTCTCCTTCATCTCTTAGAGCAGCTGACAGCTCCCATATGGAGGCTGCTCCTTTATTCTCGTGGCAGGATGAGGGCATGTGGGGCACAGGGCACAGGAGAGCCATGGAGGATGTGCAGCATGGGCAGGAAAAGAGCCTTCAGTGGTGTACATTTCCATAGTTTGGGGCTGTTTCTTACCTACAGTGATACCTAGCCCATCCTAGCAGGCATGCACCATCTACTCCACACTCTGTGATGCAGACTAGCCTGCCGTCAGAACACGAACTGGTGGTCAGACACAGGTAGGTTTCAGTTCCAGCTCTGCCTCTTATTGACTGCAACCTCAGGCTTAACTTTCAGTCTCTGAGCCTCAGTTTCAACTCTGTAAAATGAGGTGGCTATACCATCTCAGGTTGCAGAGAGAATTAAATGAAATATAAGTGCATGTAGAGCATTGAACCCAGGGCCTGGCACACACAGTGAGTACACAATGTTAGCCAGGTAGCTTCATAATGCATACTGATTGTCAATATTCAGACAATGCAGTAAAGTGTTACCAAAAATAAAAGTAAACTTATTTGCATATGTATTCTTTCAATCTTTATTTTTAAACAGGGTAAAACTATGCATATTCTTTCATAGCCAGTGTTTTTCTCTTCATAGTATATTGTTAAAATAATTTTACTTGGACCGGGTGCAGCGGCTCACACCTAAAGTCCCAGCACTTTGGGAGGCCGCGGTGGGCAGATCACGAGGTCAGGAGTTGACACGAGCCTGGCCAATATGGTGAAACCCCATCTCTACTAAGAATACAAAAATTAGCTGGGCATGGTGGCACACACCTGTAGTCCCAGCTACTCAGAGGCTGAGGCAGAGGAATTGCTTGAACCCGGGAGACGGAGGTTGCAGTGAGCCAAGATTGTGCCATTGCACTCCAGCCTGGGGGACAGAGTGAAACTCTGTCTCAAAAAATATATGTGTGTGTGTGTGTGTGTGTGTGTGTGTGTGTGTGTGTGTGTGTGTGTGTGTGTATCTATATAAATCTCAAAAATAAAAGATCATTTTTGAGATTATCATTTTAAAAGACAAGATAATGTTCAACTTAATGACTAATTTAATTATTACTATTGGACTTTTTGTAGACTAAACAGAGCATTCAAAACAAATGAAGGAGAATAAAAAATATGTATTACATGTTGTAAAATAAATGTGATGTGGTTAACTCTTTTATTCAAAGTTATAGAACATATATATGTACTATAGAATGTATTTCTTATTATGAGTCATGTTAAAAAGTAGTTTAGAAGCTGTTGATTTGAATTTCCTTTTCAAATTTTGCAGGATAATTTTTTTTTTTTTTTGACAGAGTCTCGCTCTGTCGCACAGTCTGGAGTGCAATGGCGTGATCTCGGCCCACTAAAACCCCCACCTCCTGAATCTAAGCAATTCTCCTGTCTCAGCCTCCTGAGTAGCTGGGACTACAGGCTCACACCACCATGCCCGGCTAATTTTTGTATTTTTAGTAGGGACGAGGTTTTGCCATATTGGTCAGGCTGGTCTCGAAGTCCTGGCCTCAGGTGATCCACCAGCCTCAGCCTCCCAAAATGCTGGGATTACAGGCATGAGTCACCATGCCCAGCCTAAACTTGGCAAGATAATAAATCACCTTTTTAAGTGTCGTTGGGCACTTGTCTGGTTGTTTTTCTTTAGGTTACCATGCCAGCAATGATTCCTTTTGAGTTTCTGACAGAAGATAGTGGTTTTCATCCAAATAAGTCAACTACTCTACCCCATCCCTAAGCCACTTGTATGGAAAGAAAAAGAGGAAGAAGCCAGTACTGTGACTGCGTAAGCTTCCCCCAGCATCACCCGCTATGAGATGTGTGGCAGCTGAGACCCGGGAACTGCTCAAGGGCACCAGGCCCCATCTGTCTGCACTCACTCACCTTCCTCAGGTACTCGCATGGGCATGTCACTGACTTTACATGCTGCTGCAGCTCCTTGGTGAGCTGGCCCTGGTCATGGGACAGGAACTGTGGGGTCAGGACAATAGAGAGCTTCACCATTTGCAGAATGAGAACAGGGGCTCATGATGAGTGCCAACCTATTAGATAATTTAAAAAAAAAAGTGTTGAATGAGTGGAAAAACAAGGTGATGTTTGAGTCTATAGTGGTCAAGGGCTTCAGAAAAGGACAGAACCAAGTTCAAATTCCTGTACTTTGAATTTCTACTTCATGCCATGCAAAATTACTTTACCCCTTTTAACCTCAGTTTTCTTCTGTGTGAAACAGGAACAATAGTTTCATTCGTCATTCAGTTTCTCTCAAGGTTTCACGAGATCATACCTATAAAACATCCAAGTCATTTAAATGTATCATCATTTCTGTCATAATTAGTGGGATCCATTTCACTATTATTGGATATACAGTTCTGTGCCTGAAACCTACAAAAAAAGAAAATGTTAAGTCTAAAAAGCATTAGTGATTTCTCATTTTTATATTACTAATTATAACCCTATTTAATCACACAAGGCCTTGTCCGTGGCAGGTGCTCAATAAACACTTGTCGAATCAATGCATGTGGGCTCCGGAGCCACACTGTTTAGATTCTATTCTGCCTCCACCACTTATCAGCTGTGTGATCTGGGTAAGATAATTCACCTCTTTATGTCTGCACTTCCCTCTCCATAAACTATATATAATGAGAATCCTTAGCTCATTCGGTTGTGGTGAGGGGTGAATGATTTGGCACACAGGAGGGGCTTGTTAACATTAGCTGTGATGATCTCCTTCCAAATCTTCATTTTCAGAGCCACAGATGAGGCCACAGTGCAACCAGGTGACCTTAGAGTGTAAGTACACATGATTGCCAGCTATGCTCTATCTCCACCATAGGTCCAAGACTGGGTAGTTCTGGCCTGGAGGTTTCTGCTACATCTGCCTTCTCAGTGTTCACCTAAGGACTTTTGTATTTTCCTCCTCGCATCCCCACAGATGGGGTTCAGGCTGCCGGACACAGCTGGGTGATGCCAGGGCAGTGGTCACCTGTGCCAGCCCCGTGAGGTAGCTGGAGGATCATTGTTCCTTCCTTCTCGGGCTCTGGGCAGATGCCAGGGCTGGGGTGACCCATGCCCTCAAGTTTCTTGCTTTGGTGGGCCACATTTTCCCTTGGCAAAGAGGGTAAAGGTCACAGGATGCCAGAGAGCTGTGACTTCTCTGTGCCCTGGGCCCAAACTATGAAGACCTGACACACTATGCTAAAAGTCCAAGGCTGGGTGCTCCCCAGAGCTTCTTGCCTCACCGCTTCTGCTGAGGGAGGAATGAATACTATGTCCTCCCAGAGCTTTGGGAGCTTGTAGCAAGCAGCCTCCCCAGCGCAAAATCTCTTGGAAACCTCTAACTGTGTCTGAAACATTAGTGCAAATGTTGCATCCTATTTCCCATATGTCCGCATGTTTTAGAAAAAAATCCTCAATTTCCTAAATATGCAAGAAAAATCGGTATTGTAGGACAATGTGACTTTTTAAAAAATGTTATTTAAAAATCTTCCCCACCTCCTTTTCTGCCCTCCAAGACTGCCAAATACTTGTTGAACATATATTATTAAATGCCTACTACATGCCAGCCATGATTCATGGTCTTGGGGACACAGCAGAGAACGAACTGACAGGACTCCTCTCTTATGTAACTCACATTCTTATATGATAATGATAAGGGTTAACATTAATTAAGCTGTCACTGCATGTTAGTCACGGTGCAGTCATTCCCACACATTATTACACTTAAACCTGCCAGCAAGCTTGCAAGGTAGTTGTTTTTCCTTTAAAAACTGAGTCTCGGAATGATGAAGCACTCTGTCCAATGTCACACAGCTAGTAAGTGTGGAGACCTTGCATCCAATCAATGCCCGTCTCATTCTAAAGGCCATGTTATGTGTTCTCCAGCCCATGGAGAATAATTTTAACACAGTCAATGAAATTTCTACACAACAATGTTCTTGTCTCAAGTCCAAGAATGCCTCCTACACCTCCTATAATACTGGCTTTCTGGTGAGTAAAGATGCCATTCTCATGTGTAATCAGGTGGCAAATGGAGATATGACCAAAGTAACCATCTGCCTACACTCATAACCCTGTACACACTCTTCCTGTGTCGATTCAATTCAAGTACCCCTTTTGATCACTTAGCAAATCTGACCTTTAAAAGGGTTAGGGTTTTTATATCCATGTAAGTTTCTGTATTGCTTTGGAAGTCTCTGGTTAAATTAATACTCTTTTAATAGTGACCTGTGATTCTGTTTTGATCAAGTGTTTTCAAACTTGACGTCTTTGATGGGTTTCTCCAGTGTCAAAATCCTAAATCAAGTCTTTTTGGCTTAAAACTAACTTTGGGATTTTTTTCAGCTGCATCCCTTGGGGAGTCTAAAGAATGTATCTCTCATCTTGTAGAGGTATTAAGTGATTCGATTTATTTGGTAGATTAAATGGGCAGGCATTGTCAAATGTGGCGATACTGCATGGGAGGGCACTGTCAAGTGAGGTGACATTAGATCTCATCTCAGTTATATTTATGGGTATGTTGTTGATATGCGTGTTCCAAAAATTGCATACATTTATACAAATTTAATATGATTTGTAATTTTGATAGTTATGCTAAATATTTGCTAAAGTTATATTTGTATAAACATGTCACGAATGGCTGGGCACCGTCACTCATGCCTGTAATCCCAGCACTTTGGGAGACAAAGGCACGTGGATCACCTGAGGTCGGGAGTTCCAGACCAGCCTAATAGAGTGAAACCCTGTCTCCACTAAAAATACAAAAATTAGCCATGCCTGGTGGCACATGCCTGTAATCTCAGCTACTCGGGAGGCTGAGACAGGAGAACTGCTTGAACCCAGGATGCGGAGGTTGTAGTGAGCCGAGATCATGCCACTGCACTCCCGCCTGGGTGACAAAGGTAGAATCTATCCAAAAAAAAAAAAAAAAAAGTTATTATTTCTGAAGATTGTATGAAATTCATAAAAGTCTGCTGGCCCTGATATGATGCTGTCAGTCATGATTCTGATTACTGTCTTAAAATGCTGCACATAAGTAATTAAATTTCCTTGTGAACTGGGAAGTTTCATCAGACTTTTATCATAACTATTGTTTCCATCATCCACAGTTACTGTTTTGAATTCTTCTCTAAAAATATTTGTAATTGGCAATAGTCCAAATTTTCTTTTGTTTTCTTTCCTGTTTTTGAGACACAGTCTGGCTCTGTCGCCTAAGCTGGAGTGCAGTGGTGGGATCTCGGCTCACTGCAAACTCTGCCTCCCGGGTTCACGCCATTCTCCTGCCTCAGCCACCCAAGTAGCTGGGACTACAAGTGCTGCCACCACATCCAGCTAATTTTTTGTATTTTTAGTAGAGACAGGGTTTCACTGTGTTAGCCAGGATGGTCTCAATCTCCTGATCTCGTGATCTCCGCGCCTCGGCCTCCCAAAGTGCTGGGATTACAGGTGTGAGCCACCGTGCCCAGCCTAATTTTTGCATTTTTAGTAGAGAGGAGGTTTCACCATGTTGGCCAGGGTGGTCTCAATCTCCTGACCTTGTAATCCGCCTGCCTCAGCCTCCCAAAGTGCTGGGATTACAGGCGTGAGCCACTGCAACTGACTTTTTTTTTTTTTTTTTTTTTTTTTTGAGACAGAGACTCACTCTGTCACCCAGGCTGGAGTGCAGTGGCATGATTTTGGCTCACTGCAACCTCCACCTCCTGAGTTCAAACAATTATCCTGCCTCATCCTTCGGAGTACCTGGGATTACAGGTGCGTGCCACCGTGCCCGGCTCATTTTTGTATTCTTAGTAGAGACGGCATTTCACCATGTTGGCCAGGCTGGTCTCAAACTCCTGGCCTCAACTGATCCACTCTCATTGGCCTTCCAAGGTGCTGGGATTATAGGCGTGAGCCACCACAACTGGCTCAGTAAATACATTTTTTATTATCAAAAAAGAGTAGTGTATGGTTGGCGTATTCTGTGTAGAATGTATTTTATTGATGTCTCCTATTTTTATAATTTCTGAGTTAAGTACTTTTTAATTAATGCTTTTTAGTTTTGGGCAGATTCAGTTGACTAAAGCACCTCATTTCCCAGATACATGAAATAAAATATTTGGCTTCTTTTCCAATTTCACACTGATGTTATTTTGTGAAAATCAGTGCTTTAAGATAAATCGTTATACGTTAAGATAAACATGAGAAACTTGATCTAATATTTAATATTTATTCAGTTCTACACTTTATTAACTTCTACACCAGCAGATTTAGACATTATGTAACCATCTCAAGAAGTTTCACTTGGATGTAATGCTTCACGCTTGTAATCCCAGCACTTTAGGAGGCTGAGGTGGGAGGACTGCTTAAGGCAAGGAGTCTGAGACCAGCCTGGGCAATACAGCAAGATCCCATCTCTATTTTAAAGAAAAGTTTCACTTTGGGAGGCCAAGGCGGGTGGATCACAAGGTCAGGAGATCGAGACCATCCTGGCTAACATAGTAAAACCCCATCTCTACTAAAAATATAAAAAATTAGCTGGGCGTGGCGGTGGGCGCCTGTAGTCCCAGCTACTCGGGAGGCTGAGGCAGAAGAATGGCGTGAACCCGGGAGGCAGAGCTTGCAGTGAGCTGAGATTGCGCCACTGCACTCCAGCCTGGGCGACAGAGCGACACTCCATCTCAAAAAAAAAAAAAAAAAAAGTTTCGGCAAATTCCATCTAAGAATTCCACCAGAGTTCTGTTGTCTCCAATGTCATCTTCCACAGATTTCAAGTTGTGAAGCCCTGAACTGTTAATTTATCTTGAGAATGTATATTTAAGCTTAATTTAAGACTATATACCTAAAAATTGAGCATATAATTTCTATAATTTGTTTATGTAAGTTTCTGTAAGTCATAAGTATGTGGTTTCCAAGTGTATAATTTATCTGAATGTAATAGGCATTAATATATTTTACATTACTGGGACCATAGTACAGAAATTTCTAAATGGTTTGTAAAATAACTTGTTATTTGTGTTGTTGTAAAAGCAGTTAATACAATGGAAAAACTCGTAATAAGAAGATACAGTTTAACATCAAAAAGTTTACCCAAGGTAATTATGAGTACTACCTGGCAAAACTTCACGGAAGCTGTGGTATCACTTTTATGATGGAAGAATGGTGTTTGCATTTTGTGTAAAAGTACTTGCGGCTGGGCGTGGTGGCTCATGTCCCAGTGCTTTGGGAGGCGAAGGCAGGTGGATCATCTGAGCCCAGGAGTTTGAGACCAGCCTAGGCAACGTGGCAAGAGCCTGTCTCTCCAAAACCTACAAAATTTAGCCAAGCTTGGTGGTGTGAGCCTGTAGTCCCAGCTACTTGGGAGACTCACGCTGGAGGATCTCTCGAGCCCAGGAGGCAGAAGATGAATAAATAAATGGAAGCAACTGAATGGGATGAGGTCTCTCTTGAAGGAGAGAGCAAAAGAGATTTAAATAGTAACAATTATAATAAGGCTGGGCGCGGTGGCTCACGCTTGTAATCCCAGAACTTTGGGAGGCCAAGGCAGGCGGATCGGTTGAGGTCAGGAGTTCAAGACCAGCATGGCCAACACGGTGAAACCCTGTCTCTATTAAAAATACAAAATTAGCCGGACATGGTAGTGCGTGCCTGTGGTCTCGGCTACTCAGGTGGCTGAGACAGGAGAATCGCTTGAACCTGGTAGGCACAGGTTGTAGTGAGCCGATAAATATAAAAAGTATTAGAGTACTAACAGAGGAAAGTTTCCACTGATCACCTTTTAGCTTTAAATAATGCAGAAGCATTTGCCCAGTTTACTTGTAATTAAAAATCATGCATCATTCACAATTTATATCTTTTTTGTTTGTACAAAAATGAACACAAGTTATTCTCTTTTATCTGTATTGTGATTGGTTTGGTGAGAGGGAATTAGGCCACTTGAGAGTTTGTGTGTGTTTACAATTTTCTGGCCAGGCACGGTGGCTCATGCCTGTAATCCCAGCACTTTGGGAGGCCAAGGCGGGCGGATCACTTGAGCTCAGGAGTTCGAGACCAAATTGGGCAACATGGTGAAACCCTATCTCTACGAAAAATACAAAAATTAGCTGAGTGCCGTGGCTTGCGCCTGTCCTCCCAGCTACTTGGGGGGCTGAGGCAGTAGGATCGCTCAAGCCCAGGAGGTGGAGGTTGCAGTGAGCCAAGATCACGTCACTGCACTCCAGGAAGGGCAACAGAGCAAGACTCCTTCTAAAAAAAAAAAAAAAAAAAGAAAGAAAGAAAAGAAAATTAACTTTGGTATTTCAGGTTGTATTTAAATGGAGACTTAACATGAACTATGTTCATAACACTTGACCAAATTAAGTGTAGATCGTCTCTTTAATAAAGAGATCATCTGGAACTGCAATTTCTAACTCATACATCATTGCTACAAACCTTATTTGTTTACTATTTCTCTTCCAAGGACCATCAGTCATCCTTTAAAATTCATTTCAAGCTCTGAAAAGATATTTTTTGTTACATGGGCAATTTACTTTTAGTACAGTAAAATGTTATGTGAATTTCTACAGTATGTTTGCCAAAATGAATTATATCTAGAATACGCTTAACAATATATTCTGGAGGCAGCTTTCATTTGAAATTAGGTTCACCTTCTGAGAGTATGAAAAAGTTAATGGGTTTTTGTGCCTGAAGATTTTGATGTTGCATTTGGCTACATTTAATCCACTTTCACCCATAAGTTTTAACATCTAAAAAAATTAAATCACTGCTAATGCAATTAAAATGCATTATGAAATGCATTTCTGTCCAGGCTGGAGTGCAGTGGCACAATCTCGGCTCACTGCAAGCTCCGCCTCCCTGGTTCACACCATTCTCCTGCCTCAGCCTCCCTAGTAGCTGGGACTACATGTGCCCGCCACCACGCCCGGCTAATTTTTTTTTTTTTTTTTTTAATGAGGCGGAGTCTCGCTCCGTTGACCAGGCTGGAGTGCAATGGCATGATCCTGGCTCACTGCAACCTCTGCTTCCTGGGTTCAAGTGATTCGCCTGCCTTGCTGGGATGACAGACGTGCACCACAATGTCCGGCTAATTTTGTATTTTTAGTAGAGACATGGCTTCACCATACTGGCCAGGCTGGTCTTGAACTTCTGACCTCAGGTGATCCCACCTTGGCCTCCCAAAGTGCTGGGATTACAGGCATGAGCCACTGTGCCCAGCTTAAGATCTCTGTTTTAATGTTAATGCTGGTCAGTTGTGTCTGGATTCCAGAGGGAGGAAGGTAGAATGAGGCATGTTGACACCTCCCCTTCCCATCATGGCCTAAGCTGGTCTTTTCAGTTTACTTTGGAATGTCCTTGCTCAACAGGAAGGGTCCATTCAGTCGGATTGGGTGGCTTAGAATTTTATTTTTGGTTTACATCTCAACTATCACAGCAGCCGGGCGCGGTGGCTTCACAGCTGTAATCCCAGCACATTGGGAGGCTGAGGCAGGGGTATCACCTGAGGTCTGGAGTTCTAGACCAGCCTGACCAACATGGAGAAACCCCCCGTCTCTACTAAAAATACAAAATTACCCGGGCGTGGTGGTACATGCCTGTAATCCCAGCTACTCGGGAGGCTGAGGCAGGAGAATCGCTTGAACCTGGGAGGCGGAGGTTGTGGTGAGCTGAGATCGTGCCACTGCACTCCAGCCTGGGCAACAAGAGCGAAACTCTGTCTCAAATAAATAAATAAATAAATAAATAAATAAACAAACTATCACAGCATAAAGTAGGAATATTTCGTTACTGTCTAGTTAAACTGGTTAATGCAGAAAGGAAGTCTGGAAATTCCAGTTTTAAAGTAAAATTTTGGACATTGTAGGATTGATTATTTGGCATAGTTGTGATGTTTGTTCCTGCGTTATGGTTTTGTTGGCAGGGCAGCCTTTAAGGACCTGTATATTTTCTTCTAGACTCTATATATTCCCTGTGAGTATTAGTTGTATGGTCAAACTGGCAAATTTTACCATAGGTATAAATAATAGAGAATGTGGAAGAATAGTGAATAGTGTCAGAGATAGTTAAAAGTCCATACAATAGTAGAGAAGGTAATAAGTAATAGTGGCTTGGACTAAATATTTGTTGAATAAATGTTTTAAAAAACAGGCTACCTACAATTTGTGTTGAAGATATGAATGAATGAAGTTTCCACACCTTTATGTGGAGACCTGATAAGTAAGCAACAATAAGGAAGGGTCCCCAGGTTGGGGAGAGCCCCAAGTTGAGAACAATAATGAACAATTATTGTATGAACAATTGTTAGAAACAGCTAATCACAAACAACCTGCGGGCACAATGACCTCATTCCACACGTAGCACCCTTCAGCAGGACCCTATAAAACTTTCCTCCAGCCCTTGCCTCTTTGCAGGTAGCCCCTTCTCTGCTGAGCTGCCCACTGCAACATATTTTCACAATTTCTCTAATAAATCTGCCCTTCTTTACCTACAACTATCTTGGTAAATGGCTTTACCACCTGCAAAACTGACCCTAGGTTGTTGCTACCCGATATGGTTTGGCTGCGTCCCCACCCAAATTTCATCTTGAATTGTAGTTCCCATAATCCCCATGTGTCGTGGGAGGGACCCGGTAGGAGGTAATCGAATCATGGGGGCAGGTTTTTCCCATACTGTTCTCGTGATAGTGAATACATCTCACTAAATCTGATGGTTTTATAAAGGGCAGTTTCCCTGCACGTGCTCTCTTGCCTGCTGCCATGGAAGACATACCTTTTTGCTCCTTGCCTTCCACCATGATTCTGAGGCCTCTCCAGCCTTGTGGAACTGTGAGTACATTAAACCTCTTTTTCTTTATAAATTACCCAGTTTCCAGTATTTCTTCATAGCAGTATGAAAAGTAACTAATACACTACCCGAGACATCTTAGGAGATTTGTAATAGCTGTAATGCCAGGTCCACCATATTTTTAGCATAAAGCAAATGTTTACGCGTGATATGACTGCACGGGCTTTCTTTCAGCTGGAGCCATAGCAACTCAAGTAGTAACCCTATCTTAGTCTGATTAAAAGTAAATATTAGTCTGGGCATGGTGGGACATGCCTGTAATCCCAGTACTTTGGGAGGCTGAGACAGAAGGATTGCTTGAGCCCAGGAGTTTGAGACCAGCCTGGGCAACATGGAAAAACACCATCTCTACAAAAAATACAAAAATTAGCTGAGCGTGGTGGCACACACCTGTAGTCCCAGCACCTTGGGAGGGTGAGGCAGGAGGATCTCTTGAACCCGGGAGGTGGAAGCCGCAGTGGGCAATGATCATGTCAGAGGTGTGTGAACCAGAGCAACTCCATCTTAAATAGGAGCCAGGAAAAATGAGGCTGAAACTACTGGGCTGCATTCCCTGATGGTTAAGGCATTCTAAGTCACAGGATGACATAGAAGGTCAGCACAAAATACCAGTCATAAAGACCTTGCTGATAAAACAGGTTGCAGTGAAGGAGCTGGCCAAAACCCACCAAAACCAAAATAGAGACAAGACTGACCTCCCATCATCCTCCCTGCTACACTCCTACCAGCACCATGACAGTTTACAAATGCCACGGCAACATCAAGAAGTTACCCTATATGGTCTAAAAAGAGGAGGCATGAAAAATCCACTCCTTGTTTAGCATATCATCAAGAAATAACCATAAAAATGGGCAACCAGCAGCCCTCACGGCTGCTCCGTCTATGGGGTAGCCATTCTTTTATTCCTTTACTTTCTCTCTTTTTTTTTGAGATGGAGTCTCCCTCTGTCACCCAGGCTGGAGTGCAGTGGCGCGATCTCGGCTTACTGCAAGCTTCGCCTCCCGGGTTCATCCCATTCTCCTGCCTCAGCCTCCAGAGTAGGTGGGACTACAGGCACCGGCCACCACACTTGGCTAATTTTTTTGTATTTTTAGTAGAGATGAGGTTTCACCGTGTTAACCAGGATGGTCTTGATCTCCTGACCTCGTGATCCACCTGTCTCGGCCTCCCAAAGTGCTGCGATTACAGGAGTGAGCCACGGTGCCCCTCCTCCTTTACTTTCTTAATAAACTTGCTTTCACTTCACACTGTGGCATCACCCTGAATTCTTTCTTGCACAAGATCCAAGAACCCTCTCTTGGGGTCTAGATTGGGACCCCTTTCCTGTAACTATCATGCTACTGCACTCCAGCCTGGGCAACAGAGCAAGGCCCTGTCTCAAAAAAAAAAAAAAAAAGGAACATGACTTAATACATTCATTTTGGAGGATAAGTCTCTCAAAATAGGCCTTTCACTGGGGGAAAATGGTAAAAATACTCCCTGGTAATTCAAGAATTGGAGACTCCTGAGATGCTGCTCATATTAGCTGAGCACTTATCAATACTTCACTTTTTTCCATATATACTCAAGGAACAAGTGCTATTTAAAGTGTTTCACTCCACTGGGCTAGGTGCAAGACTATAAAGAGGTGTGAGGATCAACACTTTTATGAAAACCAGTGTCATTCTGGATATAGTTTCAGATGCTAGTGCAAAGGAAGCTCTTGGTATACGGAAAAAGTATTCAACAATAAATTAGGCATGGTTGCTTCCATTTTCTGCCTCACATACTTTTTTTTTCGTGGTTAAAGTGATATAATGTCTATGATATTTTAGATTGGCAGTTGCAAACTAGTGGTCCTCAGCGTGCTTTTTATGACACCTACAAGGTCTGAAGACTTTGATTTCATATTAAAAATCTGGGTTTCAGGCTGGGTGTGGTGTTGCATGCCTGTAATCCCAGCACTTTGGGAGGCTGAGGCAGGAGAATCGCTTGAACCAGGGAGGTGGAGGTTGCAGTGAGCCAAGATCGCGCCACTGCACTCAAGCTTAGGCAATAGAGCAAGACTCCATCTCAAAAAATGAATAAATAAATAAATAAAATCTGGGTTTCAGGCCAGGTGTGGTGGTGCACTCCTGCAATCCCAGCACTTTGGGAGGCTGAGATGGGCAGACAGCTTGACCTCAGGAATTCCAGACTAGCCTGGGCAACATGGCGAAACCCCATGTCTACAAATAATACAAAAAAATTAGCTGGGTGTAGTGGAGTGTGCCTGTAATCCCAGCAACGTGGGAGGCTGAAGTGAGAGGATTGCTTGAGCCTGGGAGGTTGATGTTACAGTGAGCTGAGATCGCCCTCCTACACTCCAACCTGGGCAACAGAGCCAGACCTTGTCTTAAAAAAAAAAAAAAAAAAAAAAATTCTGGGTTTCTGGCATCTCAAAAAAAAAAAAAAAAAAAAAAAAAGGAAAGGTCAGGGCACATGGCTGCTACAGTCCTCTATTAAGCAATGTGCCACAGCAGGGTCCCTGACCCCTGGGCCATGGACATGTACTGGTCTGTGGCCTGTTAGGAACTGGGCCACAGAGCAGGAGGTGAATGGTGGGTAACAATTGAAGCTTCGTCTGTATTTCTGGCTGCTCCCCATTGCTTGCATTGCTGCCTGAGCTCTGCCTCCTGTCAGATCAGCAGCATCATTAGATTCTTACAGGAGCATGAACCCTGTTGTGAATTGCACACACGAGGGATCCAGGTTGCATATTCCTTATGAGAATCTAATTCCTGATGATTTGTGGTGGAACAGTTTCATCCCAAGACCATTACCATCCTGCGCCCCATCCCTTGCCGCCTGTGGAAAAATTGTCTTCCACAAAGCCGGTCCCTGGTGCCAAAAATGTTGGGGACTGCTGTGCTTTAGAATCTGCCATGAATCTGCAGCCTCTATTATATAGCTCCCTATAGACTTTGCTTCCTACCGTCTTACGTTCTGCCTTATAGGCATTTGACTTTGCAACCCTTGTTTTTGTTAGTATGCTACGCTGGTGACATTGACCAAATTGACCACATTAATTATAAGCTTAGTTGGTGATGACCTCAACGGAATAACGTGACATAAGTATTGTGACAATACTTCTTGCATGTATCTGCAGGTGGAATTGTAAACCTGGTGGTCCGAGATGGTCTAATTCCATCTTCCTATGTATCTCCTTATATTAATAGTGGTAACATTTGTGGTGGTGATTCAGCATTTCAATGCCTCTTCTCATGGCAACAACAAACATTTTCCTTCTGAATCAACATTAACCTAGATGT
This sequence comes from Homo sapiens, assembly GCF_000001405.40. Taxonomy (NCBI): domain Eukaryota; kingdom Metazoa; phylum Chordata; class Mammalia; order Primates; family Hominidae; genus Homo; species Homo sapiens. Next base: position 30,257,675 of record NC_000016.10, read on the forward strand.
TACTGCGGATCAAAATTAGACTCTACATTTTCAACCACAGAAATACCGGGCAGTAAAAATTTTTCTTAATATTGATTGCCTACATAGGTTGTGTAATTAGCATATGTTTACAGTTCTATGATTTCTGCGTGGCTGCTACAGAGCTGGAGGGGGTAAAGCAACAGTATTTTCTCAGTTGTCCGAGCAGCATTACATTATAATAAATAGGTAATATTAAACTGGGCTGATGAGAGTTGCAAAAGACTACTTTAATGTTCATATGGAACCAAAAAAGAGCCCACATTGCCAAGACAATCCTAAGCCCAATGAACAAAGCTGGAGGCATCATGCTACCTGACTTCAAACTATACTACAAGGCTACAGTAACCAAAACAGCCTGGTACTGCTACCGAAACAGACATATAGACCAATGGAACAGAACAGAGCCCTCAGAAATAATACCACACATCTACAACCATCTGATCTTTGACAAACCTGACAAAAACAAGAAATGCAGAAAGGATTCCCTACTTAATAAATAGTGCTGGGAAAACTGGCTAGCCCTATGTAGAAAGCTGAAACTGGATCCCTTCCTTACACCTTATACAAAAATTAATTCAAGATGGATTAAAGACTTAAATGTTAGACCTAAAGCCATAAAAACCCTAGAAGAAAACCTAGGCAATACCATTCAGGACATAGGGATGGGCAAGGACTTCATGTCTAAAACACCAAAAGCAATGGCAACAGAAGCCAAAACTGACAAATGGGATCTAATTAAACTAAAGAGCTTCTGCACAGCAAAAGAAACTAGGATCAGTGTGAACAGGCAACCTAGAGAATGGGAGAAAATTTTTGCCATCTACTTATCTGACAAAAGGCTAATATCCAGAATCTACAAAGAACACCAACAAATTTACAAGAAAAAAAAACAAACCCCATCAAAAAGTGGGCAAAGCATATGAACAGACACTTCTCAAAAGAAGACATTTATGCAGCCAACAGACACATGAAAAAATGCTCATCATCACTGGCCATCAGAGAAATGCAAATCAAAACCGCAATGAGATATCATCTCACACCAGTTAGAATGGCGATCATTAAAAAGTCAGGAAACAACAGGTGCTGGAGAGGATGTGGAGAAATAGGAACACTTTTACACTGTTGGTAGGACTGTAAACTGGTTCAACCATTGTGGAAGACAGTGTGGCGATTCCTCAGGGATCTAGAACTAGAAATACCATTTGACCCAGCCATCCCATTACTGGATACATACCCAAAGGATTATAAATCATGCTGCTATAAAGACACATGCACACATATGTTTATCGCGGCAATATTCACGATAGTGAAGACTTGGAACCAACACAAATGTCCATCAATGATAGACTGGATTAAGAAAATGTGGCACAGATACACCATGGAGTACTATGCAGCCATAAAAAAGGATGAGTTCATGTCCTTTGTAGAGACATGGATGAAGCTGGAAACGATCACTCTCAGCAAACTATCACAAGGACAAAAAACCAAACACCGCATGTTCTCACTCACAGATGCGAATTGAACAATGAGAACACTTGGACACAGGAAGGGGAACATCACACACTGGGGCCTCTTGTGTGGTGGGGGAGGGGGAAGGGATAGCAGTAGGAGATACACCTAATGTAAATGACGAGTTAATGGGTGCAGTACACCAACATGGCACATGTATACATATGTAACAAACCTGCACATTGTGTACATGTACCCTATAACTTAAAGTATAATTTTAAAAAATAAGTAAATAAATAAATAAAAAAAGAAACAATTGCTGGCTTTGCAATTCTCTTTCCTCCAAAATCGCCAAGGCCTCAATTTACTCATTGCTGAAAAAGGACGACTCTGTATATTTTTAAATGAAGAGTGTTGTTTTTACCTAAATCAATCTGGCCTGGTATATGACAACATAAAAAAACTCAAGGATAGAGTCCAAAAACTTGCCAACCAAGCAAATAATTATGCTGAACCCCCTTGGGCACTCTCTTAATTGGATGTCCTGGGTCCTCCCAATTCTTAGTCCTTTAATACCTGTTTTTCTCCTTCTCTTATTCGGACCGTGTGTCTTCTGTTTAGTTTCTCAATTCATACAAAACCGTATTCAGGCCATCACCAATAATTCTATATGACAAATGCTCCTTCTAACAACCCCACAGTATCAGCCCTTACCCCAAAATCTTTCTTCAGTTGAATCTCTCCCACTGTAGGTTCCCAGGCCGCCCCTAATCCCGCTCGAAGCAGCCCTGAGAAACATCGCCCATTATCTCTCCATATCACCCCCACAAATTTTCGCCACCCCAACACTTTACCACTATTTTGTTTTATTTTTCTTATTAACATAAGAAGACAGGAATGTCAGGCCTCTGAGTCCAAGCTAAGCCATCATATCCCAGTGACCTGCACGTATACATCCAGATGGCCTGAAGCAACTGAAGATCCACAGAAGTGAAAACAGCCTTAACTGAAGACATTCCACCATTGTCATTTGTTTCTGCCCCACCCTAACTGATCAATGTACTTTGTAATCTGCCCCACTCTTAAGAAGGTTCTTTATCATCTCCCCCACCCTTAAGAAGTTTCTTTGTAATTCTCCTCACCCTTGACACTGTACTTTATGAGATCCACCTCCTGCCCCCAAAACACTGCTCTTAACTCCACCGCCTATCCCCAAACCTATAAGAACCAGTGATAATCACACCACCCTTTGCTGACTCCTTTTTTGGACTCAGCCCGCCTGCACCCAGGTGAAATAAACAGCCATGTTGCTCACACAAAGCATGTTTGGTGGTCTCTTCACACAGACACGTGAGACAGGAGTTCGAGACCAGCCTGGCCAATCTGGTGAAACTCTATGTCTCTACTAAAAATACAAAAATTAGCTGGGCATGGTGGCGGGCACCTGTAATCCCAGCTACTCGGGAAGCTGAGGCACAAAAATTGCTTGAACCCAGGAGGCAGAGTTTGCAGTGAGCCAAGATCACACTGTCAGGCCTCTGAGCCCAAGCCAAGCCATTGCATCCCCTGTGACTTGCACGTATACATCCAGATGGCCTGAAGTAACTGAAGATCCACACAAGAAGTAAAAATAGCCTTAACTGATGACATTCCACCATTGTGATTTGTTTCTGCCCCACCCTAACTGTTCAATGTACTTTGTAATCTCCCCCACCCTTAAGAAGGTACTTTGTAATCTCCCCAACCCTTAAGAAGGTTCTTTGTAATTCTCCCCACCCTTGAGAATGTACTTTGTGAGATCCACCCCTGCCTGCAAACATGGCTCTTCACCCCCTATCCCAAAACCTGTAAGAACTAATGATAATCCACCACCCTTTGCTGACTCTCTTTTCGGACTCAGCCCGCCTGCACCCAGGTGAAATAAACAGCCATGTTGCTCACACAAAGCCTGTTTGGTGGTCTCTTCACACGGACGCGCATGAAACACACGACCGCACTTCAGGCTGGGCGACAGAGCTAGATTCCATCTCAAAAAAAATAAAACAAAAAGGAGTCACCTCCCCCGAGAGGCCTCTGGACCACCCCATCTGAGCAGGCCACTCTTCCTTCTCTATCTTACCATCTTGTTTCTGTCCCAGTAGTTAGGGCTACCTCCAGTAATCCTATTTGTCCCTTTACTGTTTAGTGCGTCTCGCTTGACTAGAAGCTCCATGAAAGCAAGAGACCCTACCTGCCTCCTTCGCCACTAGACCCCCAGGGCCTGGTATGTGGTGATCGCTCAGGGCCCATTTTCTTCCTTTCCTCCTCCTCCAAGGGTGGGGAAAGAGCATCAGAAGGTCTAGGTGGCCCCAGGCCCAAACAATGCTCCTTTAAAAGGAAACCAGATTGTTACAAAGGTCAGAGGCTGAAAAGTTATTTCCGCCTTTTATCCCTCTAAATTCTTCACTTCCTGAAAAAACAAACAAACAAAAAAGCCACTGAGGGCCCTTGGACTAAATCCAGGCCTCAGTTGCTGGGCAGAGGTCAGTCTTGTCCAGACATGGGAAAAAAATAACTCGAGTCAGACAGGTGGGTCACCAGAGAACGAATCCAGCCTGCAAATGGCCTGTGCAATCTTCAGCTCTGTCCAGACCTGCCTCCCTTTGGGGATGCCTTTAAAGGTGATGAATGATCTGGATGAATGGGCTTAGAAGATAAGAGGGAAAAACAAATATCACAGGTCAAATCGTTATTTGTCTTCAAGTTTAACACCGTCTACTGGACTAAAAGATGTCCAAAGAATAGTTGTTCAACTATGTAAATTCCTTTTTTTCTTTTTTTTTTTTTTTGAGACAGAGTCTCGCTCTGTTGCCCAGGCTGGAGTGCAATGGTATGATCTTGGCTCACTGCAAGCAACCTCTGATTTTAGTATTGTTAGTACAGACAGGGTTTCACCATGTTGACCAGGCTGGTCTCGAACTCCTGACCTCAGGTGATCCACCTGCCTCGGCATCCCAGAGTGCTGGGATTACAGGCGTGAGCCACCGTGCCCGGCCAACTACATAAATTCCTAACAACGTATCTCCAGAAAGTATAGGCACAACAGCACATGCAGTCATTCCTGTAATTAAGTGCTCCGGGAGGCCAAGGCAAGAAGATCCCTTGAGCCCAGGAGTTTGAGACCAGCCTGGACAACATAGCAAGACTGTGTCTCTACAAAATATACAAAAATTGGGCTGGGGATGGTGGCTCACGCCTGTAGGCCCAGCACTTTGGGAGACCAAGGCAGGAAGATCGACTGAACTCAGGAGCTCGGGACCAGCCTGGACAACATAACGAGACCCAGTCTCTACTGAAACTCAAGAAAATTAGCCAGACGTGGTTGCATGTGCCTGTAGTCCCAGCACTTTGGGAGGCCAAGGTGGGTGGATCACCTGAGGTCAGGAGGTCGAGACCAGCCTGGCCAACATGGTGAAGTCTCGTCCCTACTAAAAATACAAAAATTAGCCAGGCACGGTGGCACACACCTGTAGTCCCAGCTACTTGGGAGGCTGAGGCAGGAGAATGGATTGAACCCAGGAGGCAGAGGTTGCAGTGAGCCGAGATGGCACCATTGCACTCCAGCCTGGGCAACAGAACAAGACTCCATCAAAAAAAAAAAAAAAAAAAAAAAAAAAAGAAAGAAAGAAAGAAGAAAAGAAAATTAGCCAGGTGTGGTTGCATGCACCTGTAGTCCCAGCACTTTGGGAGGCCAAGGCAGGAGGATCAATCAAGGCTAGGAGATTGAGACTGCAGAAGGAAACCCTGTCTCTAAAAACAAGGTCCAGCTAAAATCAGGGTCCAGCTCCACCACAAGCGCAGCTCCAGGGGCTGTTGAGTTTTGCCTCTACCATTCCAAGTAGTCTCTGCTCCAGACCAAGTCCCACCATCTGGCAGTCATGTCAGTCTAACCACAGTCATATCAGGGCGCTTCCAGTCATTGAGTGCCCCTTGAGGAGGCTGGAGGAGAGGCCAATGACATTTGCACTTGAGACTCCAGAGTCTAGATTTATAACCACTATGTTATGGCTGCCAGTGTGGCTGCAAGGACACTTCTTTCATTCATTCATTTACAATAGATGTAGCATCTGCTGTGTGCCAGATGCCATTCTAGGTTATAGGGAAACAAGGCAGAGCCCCTGTTTTCCAAGGCATCCACATTCTAGGAAAGACTGCTACCAGCCTGGCGTGGTGGCTCATGCCTGTAATCCCAGTACTTTTTGGGAGGCCGAGGTGGGCGGATCACTTGATGTCAGGAGTTCAAGACCAGCCAACATAGTGAAACCCCGTTTCTACTAAAAGTACAAAAATCAGCTGGGCATGGTGGCACGTGCCTGTAGTCCCAGCTACTCAGGAAGCTAAGGCAGGAGAATTGCTTGAACCTGGGAGGCAGAGGTTCTGGTGAGCCGAGATCATGCTACTGCACTCCAGCCTGGGCAACAGAGTGAGACTCCATCAAAAAAAAATAATAATAATAAAATAAAGACTGCTACTAAACAATAAAATAACCAAACCAGATAGATGACTTCAGGTGGTGGTAAGAGCTTTGAAAGAATAAGCAAGGTAACTAACTGGTCAGAGGAAGGGAGATGGGTGCATTCCCTCAGATAGACCGCCCCAGAGGTCTGCCTCTCTGACATGACATTTGAGCAGAGACCCAACAGGAAAAGGAAGAGACTGCTCTATGGCCAGGCACGGTGGCTCACACCTGTAATCCCAGCACTTTGGGAGGCCCAGGCGGGCGGATCACGAGGTCAGGAAATCGAGCCCATCCTGGCTAAGACGGTGAAACCCTGTCTCTACTAAAAATACAAAAAAATTAGCCGGGCGTGGTGGCGGATGCCTGTAGTCCCAGCTACTCGGAAGGCTGAGGCAGGAGAATGGCATGAACCTGGGAGATGGAGCTTGCAGTGAGCCGAGATCGCGCCACTGCACTTCAGCCTGGGCGACAGAGTGAGACTCCATCTCAAAGGAAAAAAAAAAAAAAGAACCAAGAGGTGTCCAGGCGAAGAGAACAGCAGATGCAAAGGCCCTGTGGCAGAAACAATCTTGGTATGCTGGAGGAATAGGAAGGCAGCCAGTGCAGCTGGAGCAGGATAGGTTAAGGGAGGATCAAGGTGATGAGGGCCTGGAAAGAGGGGCTGGGGTCGAATCACCAGATCCTGTTGGTTGCAATGGAAGAGCCTGGAGTTTATTCTCAGAGCAGTGAGAAGCCACTGGAAAGTTGTTTTTTTGTTTTTCTGTTTTTGAGACAGAGTCTAGCTCTGTCACCCAGGCAGACTGCAGTGGTGCAATCTTGGCTCACTGTAACCTCTGCCTCCCAGGTTCAAGCGATTCTCCTGCCTCAGGCTCCCCAGTAGCTGGGATTACAGGCACATGCCACCACACCCATCTAATTTTTCTTTTTCTTTTTTTTTTTTTTTTTTGAGACAGAGTCTCTGTCACCCAGGCTGGAGTGCAGTGGCGCAATCTCAGCTCACTGCAACCTCCACCTCCCTGGTTCAAGCGATTCTCCTGCCTCAGCCTCCCGAGTAGCTGGGACTACAGGTGCATGCCACCATACCTGGGTTAATTTTTTGTGTTTTTAGTAGAGACAAGATTTCACCACGTTAGCCAGGATGGTCTCGATTTCCTGACCTCGTGATCTGCCCACCATGGCCTCCCAAAGTGCTGGGATTACAGGCGTGAGCCACCGTGCCTGGCCAGCCACCGGAAAGTTTTATGTAAGCAGGGGAGTGATCTGTTTTATCATTTAGAAGGATACACACCTCTTCTTCTTTTTTTAGAGACAGGGTCTAGTTCTGTCACCCAGGCTGGAGCCCAGTGGCACAATCATAGCTTACTGTAACCTCAAACTCCTGGGCTCAAGTGATCCTCCTGCCTCAGCATCCCAAAGTGCTGGATTACAGGCATGAGTCACCATGCCTGGTCACACTTCTCATTCTTTAAACCAGACCTCATTTGTCCATCTCCCCCATCCCCCGCCCCACCCCACGGACTGTCCTATAATGCCCATACAACAGGTCACTGTTTAGAAAGTGCTACAAAGTTACAAACACAGTCCCTTCTGAGCCTCCCACCAATGTTGGTGGGTACAAGGTCAAAAAAAAAAAATCTCATCTATCTAAGGGGCATAGGAGACTTTTTAGTTAGAGGGCCCAATTATAGTCCTCCTGAAAAGATGCCAAAAGTCCCCTTCAACACTTAGCAAAGATTCAAGAAAGATGAATCTCACATTCTTTGTATGGGAAATGAGGAACTTGACATCTTCAATATAATGGATTCCACTAAAATAAGATGACGATCAATAGGAACCAACTAAAAAAATACTTGACTAGCTGTTATTGAAAGGCTGAAATTCAGCTGACATAAGCAGTATTAATATTGAGCTAGAAAATAATTCGCATTGAATTCAGCCCAACTTTTGTTTTCTGATTTGGGTCTCTTCTAAATTTTTTTTTTCTTCTGGACATTGGGAACAATCCAATTTGAAGGCCTCAATGCCCAAATCTACACTCTTGTTTTATTCTATATCCTTGGTTTCTTTTTTTTTTTTTTGAGATGGAGTCTCATTCTGTCGCCCAGGCTGGAGTGCAGTGGCGTGATCTTGGCTCAATGCAAGATCCGCCTCCCGGGTTCATGCCATTCTCCTGCTGCAGCCTCCCGAGTAATTGGGACTACAGATGCCCGCCCCCACGCCCGGCTAATTTTTTTGTATTTTTAGTAGAGACGGGGTTTCTCCGTGTTATCCAGGATGGTCTCGATCTCCTGACCTCGTGATCCACCTGCCTCAGCATCTCAAAGTGCTGGGATTACAGGCGTTAGCCACCGTGCCCGGCCCACACCTAGGTGATTTTTAAAGTTCTTCTAGTAGAGACAGGGTCTCACTATGTCGGGTCGCCGTGTTTGATGTCAGTTTTCCCTGCCAGAATCTACAATCTCCTTGATCACCATTATATCCCAACGTAGAGCTCAGTACCTGGTACAAAGCACATTTGATCAATACTTGCTGAATAAAGAAATAAAAATGAAGAGGCACTCCAGCCTGGGCAACAGAGTGAGATGGTCTCAAAAAAACAAAAACAAAAACAAAAAACGACTGGAAAGGAGATGAGGGTACTTGTGAAGCCATATTATATGACACGCTCTGTGCTAGGACTTTTATATACCTTGTCTCATCTCTTCATCTCATATAATCCTTACAAGGATCTCAAAAGTGGGGAAATCCCCATATAACTGAAGACGAAGGCAGTTCAGAAGTTCACTGATTTGCCCTAAGGTTCCTCAATTTGCAAACGTCAGGCCAATGATCCAACCCCAGGTATGTTTGGCAGTGAAGGACCAGTTGAGTCACAGCTGCAAGTAACCACCCTGCAGTGGTCCCTATCTTGGCCGTTAGCTTACATTGACATTTAACACTCAAATTTACTCAGTAACACCAGCTATCATGTTTTCCACTAAAACTCCACAGCATTCTGGCAACTTTTCTATTTTAGAGCAATAAAGTAAATTGTTAGCATCCCTTTGACATATAAATATTTCTACAAATAGTAATTCTCTAGCCATTCATTTGGAGTATTTAAAACTCAACATTCATAGCACATTTTATGTGACAAAGAACTTCTGTTCAGAACACAAAAATAAGTCGTACATCTTCATTAAAAACGGGTGAAGAATTTGAACAAACATTTGCAAACTAAAATACAAATGAAATACACTCAACATCATTAGTCATCAAGAAAATAAAATTATGAGATAATCACTAATAATCACTACATATGCACCACAGTGATTAAAATTTTTTTAAGTTAAGCCACGTGACCCAACAAGGTGCATTCACTCAAGAGAAACGCAAATATATGTCCACTCAAAGACTTGCACATGAATGTTGAGAGCAGGTTTATACTGAATAGCGCAATGTGAAAAAACCCCAAAATCTAGCAAAGGATGAAGGGAGAAATAAACTGTGGTATATACATACAATAGAACACTACTCAATAATAAAAAGGATTATATTCCTGATACATGCAATATGGGTGAACCGTAAAAATATCATGCTGAGCAAGAGAAGCCAAACACAAGAGAACATGTTGTTATGATTTCACGTACATGAAACTTTAGTAAAGACAAGTCTAATCCATAGTGACAGAAAGCAAATCAGTAACTGCTGACAGGGGCAAATGAGGAGATGATCTCAAGGGAACCTTCTGGGGTAAGACGCTGTTCTGTATCTCGATCGTATTGGTGGTCACACAAGTGAAGACATGTTAGAACTCATCAAACCATACACTTAGAATGTGTAATATAAACCTCAATAAAGCAAAATTAAAAAAAAAAAAACCACCTTTAATTTTCTCTTACAAAAAAAAAAAAAAGGAAAACCACTTAACTTTAATTTTCTCCAACAACTGATTCTGGTACACAGTATACCTTAATGCCTGCATCCACGGCCTCACGTCATGCTGTTTACATGAACGTAAAGCTTCGCCGAAGAGTGGAATAAGACAGTCCTGCCAGAGAAAAACCAAAATTACTCAACGTAAAACAGGCTGTTGATATGTTTGCAGATATATAGCAAGTCTTAAGTCCAAGACTGCAATATAGTTTGGCTACTTCAGATTGATTGCAGTAGTTTTATCTATTACACTATACCCTTCCATCATTTATCTTCTACTCACAAGAGGCAAGCACACAGTAAGAGAAAGCCTTTTGTTTTGAAGGGAAATCTTCTTCAGAATATTAAGTCTAATTTATCAATATACTTAATAAAGCACATTACAAAAAAAATGTCACAGCACATTTACTATAAAGCAGACTGCAGAAAAACATTACAACTAATGCTTTATTATGAAGTTCTCGAAGATCACCATTCATTCAGAAGCCCCCATCTCTGGTCGAACTTTACCCCATTTAGGATGAAGAGGAGAGATCTTTGTTTGCAGCAAATCTAAAATTTACGTAATCCGCCTAAAGGAACTGTCTTTACCTACACCACCTCCCACCCCAAAAATAGAAGAAAAAACTGAGCAATTTGCCATCCTTGCGATTATCTCAGGTTCTTCCATCTGCCCCATGTACTTCCCAAATGAAAGACTGCCTGAAAACGGCATGTTAGATTTCTGGATTTACCAGCTTGCCCAACTACAAATCCTATTCCAAAAAACTCAAAAAATAAGGTCTTTGTTCTACAGTAATGACCATTAATAGTCATAAGAGTGTGCTTGTAAAAATATACAGACCTCTGTTGAAAGTCTGTTAGAAACTGTGGTCTCCAAAGCAAACGAGCAATACAGCTACAAGGTACTTAGAACTGGCAAAGACTGTGAAACTGTTAAAGTAGAAAGTCTCAGAGGTCCAATAGTGATGCGGGATGTTTGCTTCAAGTACTTTACCACATTTCTGAAACAAAATATTTACTGTCAATTAATAAAAATTACAATTCATAACCACTCAAAGAATAAAGCAATTGATAAGATGCTATCAAACTGACATCCAAAGTTAGGGGGCAGTAAGAGGAGCAGCCTGCTCTATAATAAAATGATATCAGCAAGTCAAGACATTTGCTTTTGGGGATTTTTACATTTTATTTCATTTCAACCTCAGTTTTTGTTGGCAAGCAGCATTCATATATCATATGACTTCTACAACTAAAATGAAGCTATTAGCACTAGTATTTAGTAATCTAGTAACTCTCCTTCCAGCCCTCTTCACCCCATGTATGTTTATCACATGATATACACAATGTACATTTACCTCCGTAAGAGTAAACTTACTCAGTTATAGACTGCCACTTCTGATCTTGTTCTATCGGGTTTAAAGCAGTTGCCAAACAAACAGAACTTCTTAACAATGGAACTTCAATGGATTTCTGAGGTTCCCTTGGATCTGGACTTCACATGTTACGAAGCAGTTTTTTCATGTCTACAGAAGTTAAATGAAATGTCATTAAGTTAATGTGCTTTTATTATAAATTTTGATTTATGTTTGGCATTATTAAGAACTAATCACCAATGAACAGCTCCTTTAATATTTCAGGCAGTTAAACACTATAAGCATTACTGAGAGCTATATAAAAATCATACTTCATACAAAATTACTGTACCTCAGACCCCTAAAAAGCAGTTGCCTTCAAAGGCTCAAAAATCACTAAGTCGAGGTCAGGTGTGGTGGCTCACGCCTGTAATCCCAGCACTTTGGGAGGCCAAGGTGGGTGGATCACGAAGTCAGGAGTTCAAGACCAGCCTGGCCACGATGATGAAACCCCGTCTCTACTAAAAATACAAAAAATTAGCTGGGCACGGTGGCAGACACCTGTGATCCCAGCTACTCAGGGGGCCGAGGCAGGAGAATCACTTGAACTCAGAGGGCGGAGGTTGCAGTGAGCCGAAATCGCGCCACTGCACTCCAGCCTGGGCAACAGAGTGAGACTCTGTCTCAACAAAAAAGAAAATCGGTAAGTCAATCTACTATTTAAGGGGACAAATCTAGACCTGCATTAGCAAATCTTGCTCAATCCAGAATACTCATTAAACTTTTTAATAACATCTTATCAAGTGTTCCATTTGTGATAAAGAACTTAATGAGCCACATCAAGATGAAAATCAAGAAAAATATTTAGCTGAAACACTACTTTGTCCTTTATCAAACAAAATGGCTAGATAAATCTCAAAGTATTAAGGTGGTCATTTTTTTTATTTGACTTAATTTTAAGTGCTTTTCATTTCCCAAATCAAACATAAATAGGGCAGCCCTAAATTTGTTGCTTCACATGGGATTCTGCCCCCACAAAAATGTAAAATAACTTCCAGATTTTCCAGTAAAATATACTAAGCCAAACATTTTGAGCAACTTGTCCACTAAAATAACTTTAAAACTATTTTCTCAAATACCTACCTATTTTTTCTTTTGACCCTCCAGCAAGTAGATTGATATTTTCTCCTGGTAACAATTCTAATTGCTCGGTACATTTGACAAATTTTCCAGACTCAAAGCTGCTTAATGATCTGTAATTAAAATATTGCTTAGCTTGTATTCCTATGCAGCCTGTGGAACCATTAAAAAAAACAAACAAACAAAAACAGAACAAATCCTAGGAAGACAGCAAAGTACACAGCATTTTTCTGACAAAATTCCTTCCACGAGGATGCCATTATTTTGGTTTTTATGTTGAAGATGTGACTACCACTTAATTAGTACTCAAATTGGAGTGGCAAACCAGAAAGTCACAGCTACAGACTTTCAGTGGAGCTGACTCGCCCCTGTGTCTCCTTCCTGTTTTCATGTGTTGCAGCCTGTTCTCTTCAGAGCCTGACACACTGACAGTAGACCTCTGCAGGACAACTTTGACACCCAGTTCTCTCCAAGCTGCCAGTGAGCTCCCTGTGCAGCCTCACTCCTCACCTACAGCATGAGCCCTTGCAGCTCTCCCAGCATCACAATCTTGTATCTCAGTCCTGGCTTCTTTCACTGCTGGCATCCCTCTGTCTCTCCCTTTTTCACCTACTTTTCTTTTTTCAAAGAATTCTTCTCTTTCATCTGCTTATATGAAAAATAATGACACCTCTGAAATTCTTTCCTGTAGTTCTGCAGCATCAATGCCAGGAAGACAGGCCTCATCCTCCCAGCTTCTATGCTGCTCCTTTCAGATCCCTTACCCTGTCCCCATTTTCATGACACGGGCTCTCCAGCCAGGAAGAAGACACTGTTTCTCACTCTCTCTTTTCCATCTTTGCCTGTCCCTCTCGCTGTGTAACTTCCCTTATAACTCAGCCTGAGGCCAGTGCTAGAAAGGCACATCACCTGACTTATTCTGTGCCTGATTCTACCTAGATCAGTGCAACCACTGGCTTCTCAGGGGGACCCTTGAGTACTGGGCACTGATGAACTGCTGCCAACACAGTCATCATTTCTGCCATTAAAAGGTCCTAAGTCCTCTCCAGTGGCAGGTTCCCCAAGTCCCCACTATGCTCTATAATGCCCTATGCTTTCAGCTAATGACTCAGTCCTCAGAAAAAACAAACAAATAAACAAAAAAACACAGGCTTTAATTTCCTCTACCCCTACCCCCAATCCACCATACACTGCCGAAATTCTGTCTATACCAACTTTGACTGCTTTCCTTGAGGCAGAGAAAAGGTGAGGGCCAGTTAATCTATCAATGTTCTTTCTCCTGTTTCTTCAACCTCTGCTTTCTAGTGGCTCCTTCCCCTTGGCCAAAAGAACATAATCTCTCCAACATTTAAAATAAACATCTCATATTTCCCTCCAGCAACAGCTTCCTATCCTCGACTTCAAGAAAAACTCACTGACCAAATAACTTACCTCAAGCTTTTCATTTTCAAATGTCTCTACCACTCAATACTATTCAATCTAGCTTCTTCTGTCTCTCTACAAAACTCTTTTTCCTTATAATCCCTAGAGCATCTGACAAGGCTGACTACTCCCATCTGGATGTCCTATATCTAGGGCACTTCCCTTCTCAATGTCCCTGTATTTTTTTGAATGGCTTCCTCTTCTATCCTTTCACAAAAATGCTAAGCTAGGATTCTGACCCAGGCCTTCCTTCCTCTTCACTCACTATTCTCCAGAGGCTTCTCTCTGGTTTGGTTGCTTACAAAGGCTCTAGAGTATAGAGACTGAAAAGGAAAGAGGGCCTTTTCTGTGTACTAATCATCTGCAAATCTCTCAAGCTTAGACTGTCTCCTTAGTTCAAAATCCAATTCTTAACAGCTTACCCAACAATCTCATCTGCACATTTCATTAGAAATCTTAAAACATGGCTTGTTCTCTGTGTGCTCCTACTCCAGTTAATAGCATTGTTTCTCTTCCCTCTACCATTGCCCCCATAAATTAATGGTCTCCATGCTTCCATACTTGCCCCGCACCTCCAGTCTCTTCACCACAGCAGAATGAACCAAGTCAGATCACCACACATCTCTGTTCAAATCCCACCTGAAATTTTCAGTCTTACTAGAATAACAGCCAAAGTTCTTCTCAGTTCCCAGCTACTTCTCTGCCCTTATATCCTACTGTTTAAGGCGCTCCTAAACACACAGGCCTCCCAGCTATTTCCAGAACACTCCAAGCCCATCATTCTCACATCAGGTCTAGGCCCAAAGGGCATCCTGATGGGCATGTCTTGACCTTGTGTCTTCCCTCCAAAGAAGGTCAGCTTTACCTAACTGCTTTCCTTATGGCACAGAAAAGGTGAGTGAGGTCCAATTAGTCCTTCTATCAATAATCTTTATCTAATCTTTGCTTTAAAAGGTTGGAATTTGTGTCTGTTTTATGTGCTGCCTGGGTCACAGCACATGCTCAGTGAAGCAATTACACATTAACCCATTTAGCAGTAGAAGTATCAGACAAAGTCTAATGACCTTTATCTTCCCAGCCAAGTGTCTGCAACAGAGTGCTCAGTTTTGAATTACAGAATTAATAAAAGCACAGAGGAATGAGAAGAAAGTTTAATTTACAGATGTTCACAAACTCTGTCCTCATTAGAATAAATGTTTTTGATATATTCAGACCTCATTTAGAAACAAAGCCATCAAATGTGATTCTTTCTAAAGCAGTACAAATTTTTCTTTATATTCACTCTGGCATAATCTTCAAACTGTATTAAGGTTTTAGAACAACAGGTTCTGAAAATTAATACCAAATGACTATCTCAGCAGTGTTTTCCCATTATACAAATACCTTCCCTCATCTCTGATGTCAGTTTCCTGTTGTCATTTTCATAATGGCAGTAAGTTAGAAATATAACCATTTTGTATTACTACATATGACCAATTTTAATATTTTTTTGCCATAGGAAAAACATCGTAGTTATTGGAAATTTGTTTTATAACTGGAAACAGAAAGCCTTACTTTATATAGTTGAAGTCAGCTTTCAGGTTGAAGGAAGTGCTACTGGTACTCTTTTTCAAGTCATGGATAGCGTTCTGCCATTCCTGCACAGCAGCCCAATCGGCAATTGAGATGTAGCACTCACATGCTTTATTTCCTAAATAATTTATAACCTCAGGGGAAGAGTCAGTCGGTTTGGACAGCACAGTTTTTCTGGATTCACCTGAAAGTATTTTATAAAGTAAGAAGAGAGAGATTCAGATCAATTAGAAATATTTCAAAGAGCACAGAAACCTAAAAACATGATAAGATCATCAGTACGAAATATATTACTATAACTTTTGCTTTATTTAAAAATACTGAACGCTCACCATTCAGACAATGTTTCGGGCTGGCACTGTTACACCCAGCATTGGCTAAGGTGAGCACCGATTTGTCAAAGCTGGAGATGCAGCAATGAACACCTATCATGGCACACAGGTGTTCCTGGTACTCCACAGAGGCCTTTTCAAACCTGAAAAGCAAATTGAAGCAGTCTTATTTCTTTATTTATCTACTTACTTACTTTTTTTTTTTTTTTGAGATGAAGTTTTGCTCTTCTTGCCCAGGCTGGAGTGCAATGGCACTGTCTCAGCTCAATGCAACCTCTGCCTCCTGGGTACAAGCGATTCTCCTGCCTCAGCCTCCTGAGTAGCTGGGATTACAGGCGCTCGCCACCATGCCCGGCTAATTTTCTTGTATTTTTAGTAGAGACGGGGTTTCACCATGTTGGCCAGGCTGGTCTTGAACTCCTGACCTCAGGTGATCCGCCTGCCTCGGCCTCCCGAAGTGCTGGGATTACAGGCATGAGCCACCGCGCCTGGCCTTTACTTACTTACTTACTTGTTTTTTGAGACAGTCTTACTGTCACCCAGGCTGGAGGGCAGTGGCATGATCATGGCTCGCTGCAGCCTTGCCCTCCCAGGCTCATGCAATCCTCCAACCTCAGCCTCCCAAGTAGCTGGGACTACAGGCGCCCACCACCACACCTGGCTAAAACAAGGTTTTGCTCTGTTGGCCAGGGTGGTCTCAAACTCCTGGACTCAAGCGATCCGCTCACCTCAGTCTCCCCAAGTACTGGGATTTCAGGCGTGAGCCACCGCGCCCAGCCCCAAAGGAGGCTGTTATTTTAAACACACATATCTCATTTCCCCCCTCCCACAAAAAATGGTGCAAGAATAAACTGAGCTAAAACAGTGAGTTGACTATGGTGGGGGGAGGTTTGATGTCTTCCTCACAACTATGAAACTAAATTTAAAAGTGGTTAAATGTTTTTTAAAAAATGTAAGAGTATAAAAGAACTAGTGGAAAATATTGATAAGTAACTGATGTCAGTGTGTGGAAAGGCTTTGTAGAAGGATAAAATGCAAGAAAAGATGCACAAGTAACAGCATCTAGATGCATAATGCTGAAATACAACACTAAACATTAAAAACAAATTATAAATCAAGAAATTGGATAGCATCAACAATCTTAGTATTTAATGAAATTTCACAGATTAACACAGGAAAAATTGAGAGGCCATGAAGACATGATCCATGTTTTAAAAAATCACAAATGGTCACTATATGGGGCAACTTCTACTATTAGTCATTAATACATATAGAAATGTAAAGTACAATAACTATTTTCGCTGATGGTGGTGGCAGCATTCTTGTTTCTCAGTGACTCTCAGTATCCACAAAGGTGAAGGGAAGGGGGTACTCTATTATTAAGGGTATACATTGCAGCCATCTTTTCTGTAGAGTAACTTAGCAATAGAATATATCATAAGACTTATGGTTTGGCAGCCTTTCTTCTAGTAAATCAGTTTATGAGAATGGATTCCAAGAAAGTAATCAGAAATATAAGCAAAGATATTAAGTGCTATGGTACATTTAGTAAAAAAAAAAATCAGAAACAACCTTAATGCCCAACAGTAAGAAATATTAAATTATGGTACACTCATAAATACAAATCTTTATTAAAAATAACACTGTAGAATACTTAACATGGCAATTTTTTTTTTTTTTTTTTTTTTGAGACAGAGTTTTGCTTTTGTTGCCCAGGCTGGAGGGCAGTGGCACAACCTGGGCTCACAGCAACCTCCGCCTCCCGGGTTCAACCGATTCTCCTGCCTCAGCCTCCCAAGTAGCTGGGATTACAGGCATGTGCCACCACACCCCACTAATATTTTTTGTATTTTTAGTAGAGACGGGGTTTCACCATGTTAGGCTAGTCTCAAACTCCTGACCTCAGGTGATCCACCTGCCTCGGCCTCCCAAAGTGCTGGGAATACAGATGTAAGACACCGAACCCAGCCTACCTAACATGGCAAATTTTTTTTTTAAATATTGAGTGGGAAAAACAGATCATAAAACCATGTGCCTATGTATGCTGCTGTTTTGGTGAAGAATGGAGAAAACGACATGAAAGAAAAAAGAATTACAAAGCATATGGATATGGAAATATGGGACTACAAAAGGACACACAACAGAAGTTACTACAAAGATATGGAAGAATGAGCAGTTCTTTTATTTTCCTAAATTCGCAAGATTTCATTAAACTAACATAAATGGACACAGAATATTATGGTACAAGCTCCTCTATCTGGAGGAAGCAATGAGTCTGAATGTAGAGTTCACAGGACTAATGAGCAAATACTCTGACAATAAAGGGTAATTTGTATCAGACTCTGAGGGGGAAGGAGCTCAACTAGGGATCAAGTTCAAAAGCATTTATAAAACAACTGACAGGTCTTGTTTTTCAGTGTGATTTGCCACTAATTCTTAAATAAGAAAGGCACTCAAGTATTGCTGCTAACTAAAGAACAAACTGAAGATGCCTCCTGGTGAAGTGATTTATAGCAAGCTTCAATGCTGAAAGCAAACAAAGCTGTTTTAAGATTTGGCTACAATGTCAGTGAGTAATACAAAGAATTTAAACATAAAGTAATTCTATCACCCATTTCCTTCCCTCCAACCTACCTCCCTTCAGCCTGTTGAGCCACTGAGTTAATCCACAGAAGATTTTTTCCAACAATAGATGATGACCAGACAGCAATTCCCTGTATAGCTTCAGGACAATGAAGTTCACATAGTGCTTCTACCACCATCATAATGGTTACTTCCAATTCATTCCCCTGAAAACGCATTCAGAAAAGTTAGTCACCCAATACCATTAAAACATAAATCCCTATAAAATTTACAACTGATCACAGTCTGTGCCTGCTTAAAGCCAAATGTATTTAACAATTATTTTCACAATTTTCACATTATTTAGCTCAGAATTATTTAAAATGTTACATATAAAATAGCCACAAAGGGTGACTAACAGAACCTTAGCAGCACATGGATGTTTGTACCCCGACCCCGAAGTTACCCAAACATTTAACCTGTGACCTCTGTAGGAATAACACATGGAGTAAAAAGAAAGCAAAAATTAAATATAAATAAACAGGAATTAAAGAATGATTAACTTCATGTGTTTGAATACTGCTTGACATTACCTGAATTGCTAAACATTTTGTTATTTTTGGATTCCAGTTATTTATTGTGAGCCCACTTTCAAGCCAGGAATTACTCAAGCATTTGTCATACGTTATAAAAACAATTTCTCCTGGCCAGGTGCAGTGGTTCATGCCTGTAATCCCAGCACTTTGGAAGGCCAAGGTGGGCAGATCACTTGTGGTCAGGAGTTCGAGACCAGCCTGGCCAACATGGTGAAACCCTGTCTCTACTAAAAATACAAAACTTAGCTGGGTATGGTGGTGGGTGCCTGTAATCCCAGGGACTGAGGCAAGAAGAGGCTTGAATCCGAGAGGCGGAGCTTACAGTGAGCTGAGATCACACAACTGCACTCCAGCCTGGGCGACAGAGTGCTGTGTCTCAAAAAAATAAATAAATAAATAAAAAATATCCCCCATAAACAAATTTTCAGAATTACCTTTAAAGTTCTAAACTTTGCACATAAGAAATATAGTTTTAACATGTTCTAAGATGAATATTGTTTTAACATGAACAAAAACATGAACATTATTTTAACTTCTAACACTGTTTTAACACGAATAAAATAGGTAACTCTGGCAGTTGTTGCTTTTACAAAATACAGGATAAAAACCTTTGAAAATGAATCCAAGCTTTAACTTATTTTATCCATAGATTAAATCATACCAAAGGAATTAAACCATGTTTTTCTTATTAACAGACTTAAAATGAATTTCAAACACACCACTTTACCTGAGATAGGCTGGTTGTTTTCATCTCTGTAAGCAAGTCAAAGCCATGTCTCACTGTCACTGCAGGCTGGCCTGCCAACAATCCTACCCTCATGATGGAGAGTCGAATCCGCGTTAGCCAGTCCTGACAAGTTTGGCGATTGGTATAGAAAAAAGTTCTAATGACCTTTACGATAAGAGAAAGAAAAGCTCAGGACTGGTTCAATTTGTAGGTAAGGATGTCTCACCTATATATAAACCAAATACACAAGTCTATTGTGATTTCAGCTCTGCACATACTGCCAGCTGTGACCATTAAACTGCTATAAAACAACACTATCTCATGGAAACCAACCTTGGGAGGTGAAGTTAATGCATTAGCACATCCCTCGTATGCATTATACATTAATTTCTCCAGATATTCCAGATACTGCAGAAGAAGAACAAGTCTAAGTTGGTTGTTACCATGGCCTTCATCACTGTCTGCAGTTGTCCACTGACTAACATCCTGATCAGGGTTTAATGTGTGAGCTGCGAGACTTCGAATGATACCTGAAAGCAAAGACAACATTCTGAATTTTTAAAAATCTTAAAAGTTCCTAGAATAAGTGTGAGTTTTTTATGATCAATTCACATTTATCAAGTATCCTCTGTCTACCCATCATTTAAAAATAAAAAATCCCAACATGAAAGATCTTTCATTTTAGGGGAAAAAAATATATATTTTTTCCACACAACTCCCATAAGTTTTGGGAAAAAAACAAACATATTTCCAATGCAATTATTCAATGAAAGCTTATTCTAACAAACATACCTGAAAATTACTGACTTCTTTTCAAAAAAATCATATACTCTCAAATCTTTAACAAAGATTTAAAAATCCATTATTTCTTAATAAGGCTTTGAAAGTATTCACATCACAAAGCTTGAGCGAGTTACCTTCAATTGTCTGGAAGGTGTCTTGAGCTCTGCCCAGTGGGGTTCTCAGCTTAGAAAGAACAGTGAATTGTGCAGCTTCCCATACGGCCCACTGCCAAAGGATAGCATCTGTCTTCAGGAGATTGCGTGGAATTGTTGACTGGTCATGCTTATCCAGTCTCTGGCAGCTATAGAACAGTCTTTCCAACCAATTGTCCTTCCTGGGAAAAGTAGTTTCATATTTAAAAGACAATGACAACTTCATTTTAATAATGAAAAAAAAATGCAAGGGGAATGGGAATAAGGAACTGTAATTTTCCCTACTCCAAAAAAAGGCAAAACCTATGAAATTGAGAAGCATTATGTCCCCCCCCTCTTATTTTGAGGTCTTTTATAGTTAACAGGATGAGGTACAGCGTGGAAGGATGATTAGGGTAAACGGCTCATGCCGGTCAGGAATGAAACTCATTCAATGCAACTAAGCATCTCTAGAATATCTCCACCCCCACCCCATTCCCCAAAGTGTTAATGACATCACATCAGTTAACTGTTAACCACATTTCATGACTCAATTTCAAAGCCCATTTTTGTTTCTACAGATGCTATCTTCAAAGTAATTTTCCTATTGATGAAAACTGAAATAACCCATATGAGAAGAATGTTACTTGATACTCTGCCACCCCCAAACATATTTTCTCTTCAAAACTGCATGTAAAGTCAAGGGAATCTTAAAATTATCTTTCCTAGATAAAATAGTCAAAGAAATGCCTTACCCTGTTCTATGAGAGTTCCCATACAAAATAAAACTAATAACATCAGAGAAATCTTGGGGGTGGAATGTATTACTTGGTGCTTTACTCATGTGACTTCTTAATGCTAAAGAAATTTCTTGAATTTCTGTGTGATTGTTATTGCTGTAGACAGAAAATAAAGTTGTTGTTACGCAAAATATTTTAGCTTAAAAGGTTAGCACATACTGTAAGTGGATTATTTACTTATTAACTCACTGGAGGTAAAAATATAGAAAAATTGAGACTTTCAAATGGATACGGAGATGTGATTACAACTTTAGATCCTTTTTTTATTCACTTCAGATGGGTCATGTGCCGACATCATAAGAGGATTTGAGGGAGGCATATCAAACATGTGAACATAAAAACCCAATCATTATGCTTATGTATTACAAAAGGATCAAGTTTAGGCTCTTAAAAGCTCCCAAATCAACTTGATCAAAAACAATAAAAGATTACTGTTTAGTTTTTCAAATATCTGAGCTACTAAGAAACATATTTTGGCACTACATGAGTTATTCTATACTAATTATTGTGAGCCTATAAAGCTCATTAAAAATTTTTAATTTTCTTGCAGACCTGCAAAATTTGATTATTTGACATCACTTCAATCACTGACAAGCAGGGCCATAAAAGATGTGTCATTAATGCTCTAATAGGTGATCTGTCTTCTCCTAAAGTAGACAACCAGTAGAGGCTGTAAATATCACAGAATGTCTTTGCTCCAAAACAACTGTTATACCTTAGGATAACATCTAAAGGAATTGATTTCAACAGTTTTCCAAATGCTTGTCGAATACGAGTTCCACAGTGCACTAGTTGAACATGGCAAACATCAACACATCTATGAAAGAACGAAATAGACAAAGCAGGTGTGTTAACATTTCAAAGTTATTAGGATTAATGTCAAAAGACATGATCTTAATTTCATACCTCTGTAAAAGATCATCTGGCAAGGAAGAGGACAGAGCAGGTAGACTGCTGCATGCCTGCAGACAGATATTCACATCTTCAACGAGAACTATTAAACATTAAAAGACAGCTACTTTCAGCTGGCCAAAAGAAATTATATCCCAGTTTGTCATAATTATCTGAATCCATTCATTCATTCAACAAAGAGTGAGTGCCTACTCTAGACTAGGCACTGTTCTTGTCCAGAATCCTCATTGACTGTCACGTTTGGAAAAATGACACATTCAACAAAACCCACGTAATGTAACTGATGGGTCATCACACAAAACTTTTTCTGAGAGAAAATGTAAAAGTATATGCAAACTATAAACATTCACGTAAGCTTAAAAATGTGACAATCACTTCAAAACATTTTTCTAATACTAAGAATGAAAAAAAATCAAGACTGTGTATCTGTCATTAAAATGAGGATTACACATCTGCAGGTCAGGAAAAGAGCTCGATTGATGACCATCTCCCATTACCAAAGACCCTTTTAAGGATTGATAAACAAAATAGAAAAAAAAAAACAGAGTCTTACTGTTGGCTAAAAGGCCTTTGCAAAATTTATGGAAAGACGGAAGACAGAATAAAGGTGCATATGTTTCGGACTTCTTCATTAAAACAGCTACTTCCAAAGCCCAAGTCATTAACAGTTTCCTGAAACACAAAATATACAGTTGACTGTACATTAAAAACAATAACAAAAACAAAAAAACGTTAAAAGCCTAGTCTTCTTACATTGGTTTTCTCTTGGTTTTTCAAACATCTCAAACAATAAAAAATAAAAATAAAAAATGAAACTATAGAAATTACTGTCAAAATTGTTGTGTGCCTTTTAAGAAAACCTCCCAACGCAGCATGATAATAGCAAAGAGGCCGGGCGTGGTGGCTTACCTGAGGTCAGGAGTTCAAGACCAGCCTGGCCAACAACATGGTGAAACACCATCTCTACTAAAAATACAAAAATTAGCTGGGTGTGGTGGCGGGCACCTGTAATCACGGCTACTTGGGAGGCTGAGGCAGAAGAATTGCTTGAACCTGGGAGGCAGAGGTTGCAGTGAGCAAAACTCCGTCTCAAAAACAAAAAAAGCATAGAATATTAAAAATCTATATATATTCTTCTATGAAACACTGGGGATGGGGGATTGAGGTTTTTCATGTATTTCTTTTCAGAAAGAATAAGAAAGCCTAGATTAAATAATAAAACCAAATTATAAGGTGTTTGACAGTAAAGAAGCTGCTCTACCTCACCTCTATAATCCACATTTTTAAAAATTTTTTGTAATTCACATTTCTTATTCTCAAATTATAAAGGCAAATTAACAAAGTTAGGAATAGTTAATACTATATAAAATCTGTTACCTCGTGTCCTGGTTAAGGTTATCTTTCTTAAGTAATATTCACAGAAGATTTAATATAATTGAGAAATGTTTCTTTGTGGCCGTAGTTACAGTGCTAATCACAGCTCCATCAAACAAAGGAGAGGAAGAACTGAGGCTACTAGAGATAAAGTGATCATGCCTGAAAGACAAAGCATAGATTATCTTTTCATCTTTAATCAAAGAAAGCAAGCAAGTCCAAAGTTAAATCAACATACATCTTTAAAATCTATCCATTAAAAAAATAAAATGTTTTGTGGGGTTCTTAAGAAAAATTTGTGAATACAGTACCTGGTACAATGAGAATACAATGTGTAGAGCACAGCATACTGAATGGCAGGGAAGTGAACAGCCAGGTCACTGTGCACAATCATCAGATTCTTACTCAGAAGTGCAAAGACAGTTGGAGATAGCGCCCACATCTGATCATGTACAAAACAAAGTAAGTTTATGGCTTCTCCAAAATAAGCACAAGCATACAGAGTTTATCCTTCAAAACAGGGGTATTTGGACTTTTTTTTTTTTATTTGGACATTTTTAAATTAAAATTACAGATTGGAAGGGATCTAGTACACTACACCTTGGACAAATACTTTTTTGTGAAGTCAGTAAAGCCTTTGCGTGCAATATAGCATCTCTATGCAATGCAGCAACTCCTTGTCTATCACTACAGTAAGAAAACAGCCACAGGTCAGGTGTTGTGGCTCACACCTGTAATCCTAGCACTTTGGGAGGCTAAGGTGGGCAGATCACTTGAGCCCAGGAGTTTGAAACCAGCCTGGGCAACACAGCGGGACCCCATCTCTACTAAAATTACAAAAATTAGCTGGGCATGGTGGCGCACACTTGTAATCCCAGCTACTCGGGAGGCTGAGGCAGGAGAATCGCTTGAACCTGGGAGGCAGAGGTTGCAGTGACCCGAGATCATACCAATGCACTCCAGCCTAGATGACAAAGTTAAGACTCTCTCTCTCAAAACAAAACACCAGCCACATACGAAACACAGGAATGAGAGTACCTGTGTTCCAAGAAAACTTTCTTGAGTCGGAGTCTCTCGCTCTGTTGCCCAGGCTGGAGTGCAATGGGGCGATCTCAGCTCACTGCAACCTCTACCTCCGGGGTTCAAGCAATTCTCCCTGCCTCAGTCTCCCAAGTAGCTGGGACTACAGGTGCCCATCACCACGCCCTGCTAACTTTTGTATTTTTTTAGTAGAGATAGGGTTTCACCATGTTGGCCAGGCTGGTCTTGAACTCCTGAGCTCGGGTGATCTGCCTGTCTCGGTCTCCCGAGGGATTACAGGCGTGAACCACTGTGCCCAGCCCAACGAGAACTTTCTTTACAAAAACAGGCACTAGTGTTGCGATGGTTGTACACTTCTGTGAATATACTAAAAATCAGTGAATTATACACTTAAAATAACAAACAAAAAACAGGTGCTGGGCTGTATTTGGCCCACGGACCATAGTTTGCTGATCTCTGGTCTAAACAGAGCCCTTTGTATGTGCCTTTTGCGGAAGTAGACTGTATTTCTTCAATTTTCCATATACTGCAAATGGCAAGGTGCCCTGTTCAATAAGGAAACAAAGGCACACCCTGCCACTATACACCTTTTCCATCCATCTTTTTCCTTTACACTGCCAAGACACTCCATTCCACCTGACTGCCCCAGCCCCACCCACTTTCTCCTTATTTCTAGAGTACAGGACATAAACATCTTTGAATCTGCAAATAATGTGAATAATTTTCCTCAAAAATCAAGCTTTCATGTTTGAAGAAGAGTTTATTGTGACTTCAAACATAAGCTGTAACTGGTAATAAGCGAAGCAGCTATGGAATTATACAAGGCAATCCAATCAAACAACATGGAGCACACTGAAGCGCAAACATCAAATTTTACCTTTTTCCTCCTAAAAACTTTATTCCCTAATTACATCCATTACTTTCTTTGTTTCTTTCTTTCTTTTTTTTTTTTTTCTTTTGAGACAGAGTCTGGTTCTGTAGCCCAGGCTGGAATGCGGTGGTGTGATCTCAGCTCACTGCAACCTCCACTTCCTGGGTTCAAGCAATTCTCCTACCTCAGCCTCCAAAGTAGCTAGGATTACAGGTGTGCACCACCACCCCTGGCTAATTTTTCTATTTTTAGTAGAGGCGAACTTTCACCATGTTGGCCAGGCTGGTCTCAAACTCCTGACCACAAGTGATCAGCCCGACGTGGCCTCCCAGAGTGCTGGGTTTACAGGTGTCAGCAACCGTGCCCAGCCTACACCTATTATTTTCTATTAAAAATAATGTTTTTCAACTCTGTGTGGTCCAATAGGAAGAAGAAATACACAAACCATAAACAATAAATACAAATCAAGAGCAGGGCCACGTCGAATTACTTAAAAAAAAAAAACACACGGGCTGGGCGCGGTGGCTCGTGCCTGTAATTCCAGCACTTTGGGAGGCTGAGGCGGGTGGATCACCTGAGGTCAGGAGTTTGAGACCAGCCTGGCCAACATGGTGAAACCAAGTCTCTACTAAAAATACAAAAATTAGCCCGTCGTAGTGGCAGGTGTCTGTAATCTCAGCTACTCGGGAGGCTGAGGCAGGAGAATTGCTGGAACCCGGGAGGCAGAGGTGGCAGTGAGCCGAGATTGCACCACTGCACTCCAGCCCAGGTGACAACAGCATGACTCTGTCTCCAAAAAAAAAAAAAAGCTTTTTTTTTCCCCCCCTCCTAAAAGAAAGACTACAGGTTGAGTATCCCTTATTCAAAATGCTTGGGACCAGAAGTGTTTCAGACTCTGTATATGTTTGGATTTGAGAATACTTGCACATATATAAAATGAGATATGTGGGGGACGCGACCCAAGTCTAAACACGAAATTCACTTATATTTCATAGACGCCTTCTATTCATAGCCTGAAGGTCATTTTATGCAATATTTTAAATAATTTTGTGCATACAACAGTTTGGACTCATCACATGAGGTCGGGTGTGGGATTTTCCACTTGGGGCATCATACTGGTGCTCAAAAAGTTTCAAATTTTGGAGCATTTTAGATTTAGGATTTTCAGATTAGGGATGCTCACCAGAAAGTGTTATGAAAATATTCCAAAATCCGGCTGGGCATGGTGGTGCCCACCTGTAATCCCGGCATTTTGGGAGGCCAAGGCAGGTGGATCACCTGAGGTCAGGAGTTCACAACCAGCCTGGCTAACATGGTGAAAACCCATCTCTACTAAATACAAAAAAATTAGCCAGGCGTGGTGGCGCATGCCTGTAATCCGAGCTACTTGGGAGGCTGAAACAGGAGAATCGCTTGTACCCGGGAGGCGGAGGTTGCAGCGAGCCAAGATTGCGCCATTGCACTCCAGCCTGGGCAACAAGAGTAAAACACTATCTCCAAAAAAAAAAAAGTATTCCAAAATCCAAAATCAAAAACACTTCCAGTCCCAAGTATTTCAGATAAGGAATATTCAACCTGTATGAATGTTCCTAGGGAAAAAAAGACAGCCAAAATATAAGACCATGTATAAGAACTAACTTCAGTAGACAGAAAGAAAAAAGTACCAGGGGAAGAAGAAAGAGACCGCATTTTAAAACAACTATACAAATTTGAGCTGTAAGAAACACTGACATTTTCTATAAGCATGCTAGAGCAAATGGGAGAAATTCATAAGACGTTTTCTAGAAAATAAAACTAATATAAAAAAACTTATCAAGATTTGTCAAGGAAAAAGAAGAAACGTTAAATATAATGGCAAGAAAACATTCCTACCAATTTTATTTATCCAGGCATGTCTTAAATATGGCTGTTTGTTACATACAGTGATTCTGCAGACATGTTGACATGACAGTGAAATACATAAATATGTAATGAGAAAAGGCTTAACTGTGGATAAAACAAAGTCATTACAATTAAAGACTCGAGTTTTTGGCATTTCCAATTGTAGTCAGGGCACTGAGGTCAAATTTAACTACAAATTTTGCATTGTCTACATTGAACACATGATTCTTAAAAGCCTCATGTTTTATTTCAGAACAGGCCTCAGGAAGTTGCAGACTGTGCAGGAGGTTGTTTAGGGCACAAGTCATTTCTCCCAATATTAACTTATAGGCAGTCTCCAAAACAGGAATATTCTTCAAGCTGAGCATTGCTTGATAAACAGCATGGGCTACAGCAACAACCTGAAAAACAAAAAATTCAAGGAAGTGATAAATGGAAAATAAATCTTCTAAAATTATATGGAAAATAAATCACTATCTGTATTAGTGCTGATGATACAAATAAATTTAAGATTGATCAATTCACTGTCCGTAGCACTTAATATTTTAATTTTTAAAAAACCAATCAGAAAACTGACACAGATCAGTATGCTATTTCAAATCTATTAAGTTTTATCACAAATAAAGAGTACTATAAATGAAAACTGTCAATAGGAAATTTCCAAAATGGCCGTTTTTTTTTAAATAATCAACATCAAAAGACATATGCAAACAGCAATTTAAGACTGGGTTTCTTAAATCTACCAGGAAAGTCTGTGGTGGATTTGACTAGGGGGTGGTTGAAAAGCCAGTCATTTTTGTTTACAAAATATACAGTACTTAATTTATAACTTTATAAATGTGTCAACTTGTTTTACCCTTATGAAAATTTAATAAATTTAATAACAGCAAGAGATGCATAGTCTGAAAAGAGTATCTGGCACATCATTCATGAAAGTATTCAGTATGATTATCAAGAAATATAAATTTAAAAGAACAAATACAATCACTATATTCTAAATCAAACATTTCACATTTCACTCAATTTCACTTATATAGCCTGGTAAGCAACATTAGGTCCAACTCTTCAGTGACTCAAGTTGTCAAAATTCATTATCAGTGTATTACTTACCTCTTTTTCTTTATGATAACGCAAGAATAGTAGTTTAGATGATGGTATAAACAGTTTTTCTACAAATGATGATGGCAGTTTCGTATTTATCTGTTCAACAATCTAAAAGAATAAAATTTTTAAAAAATGAGCTTCTCAAATTACAAAAAGACATGGAGAAACCTTAAATGCACACTGGTAAGTGAAAGAAGTCAATTGAAAAGGCTACATACTATATGACTCCAACTACATGGCATTCTGGAAAAGGCAAAACGATGGAGACAGTAAAAAGATCAGGGGTTGCCATGGGCTTAAGATGGAGGGAGGGAGGAGTGAGGAGAGGGAACGAGGAAGGAGTGGGTAGAACATCAAAGATTTTTAGGGAAGTGAAACTATCCTGTATGATACTGGTAATAGGGGATACATGTCATTACACATGTTAAAGTCCATAGAATACATAACACAAAGTAAACTATAAAATTAGTTAATAATAATATATCAATATTCACTCCTTTGTAATAAATGTACCACACTAACACAATATGTTAATGAGGGGGAAACTGTTGGGATGAAGAAGGTATATGGGAACTCATTGTTTTCTGCTCAATTTTCTGTATATCTAAAAAATAAAGTCTTTTAATTTAGAAAAATATATCTAAGCTATATTTTAAGGCCTTAATACTGTGACATTAAAGTGTTTAGACACCTAAATAGGACACACGTATTTTACAGTTATCATGGGCATTTTTTCACATTAGCAAAGAGAGGTGTAATTCTGGCAGAAATGCTCAGCAGAATGTCATCTAGAATTTGCTTTAAAATAATCCAGCTGGAGATGAAAGGATAGCAAAGAGGCCTAGATGAAACCAGATGGGCCATTTGTTTCTAATTATAGAAGCTGAGTGTTAAATATGTACAAATTTATTATACTATGCTCCCTATTTTTATGTGCTTCAGAATGTCCATAATAAAAGTGGGGGGAGGATATTTATGGTTAAGAAATTAAAGGAGGCCGGCCGGGCGTGGTGGCTCACGCCTGTAATCCCAGCACTTTGGGAGGCCAAGGCAGGCAGATCACGAGGTCAGGAGATCGAGACCATCCTGGCTAACATGGTGAAACCCCGTCTCTACTAAAAATACAATTGTGCCACTGCACTCCAGCCTGGGCAAAAGAGCGAGACTCCGTCTCAAAAAAAAAAAAAAAAAAAAAAAAAGAAATTAAAGGAGGCCAGGCATGATTGCTCACACCTGTAATCCCAGCACTTCGGGAGGGCAAGGCAGGAGGATTACTTGAGACCAAGAATTTAAGGCCAGTCTAGACAATGTAGTGAGACCCCTTCTCTCCAAAAACTACAAAGGTTAGCCAGGCATGGTGGCATGCATCTGTAGTCCCAGATAGTCGGGAGGCTGAGTGGGAGAATCACTTGAGCCCAGGAGTTTGAGGCTGCAGTGAGCTCTGATTGTACCGCTGCACTCCAGCCAGGGGAATACAGCAAGATCCTGTGACAAAAAAAAAAAAAAAAAGAAAAAAGAAAAAAAGAAAGAAAAGAAAAGCAAAAAAGAAAGAATCTGGTGCGTAGAGCAATGTTTCCTCAGAAAAAACGAGTAAAGCTACACTGAGACTAGCTATCAACCACTAAAAATAGAGGCCTGGCAGAGTGGCTCATGCCTATAATCCCAGTACTTTGGGAGGCCAAGGCAGGTGGATTGCTTGAGCCCAAGAATTCAAGACCAGCCTGGGCAACATGGCAAAACTCCATCTCTACAAAATAATATAAAAAATTAGCCAGGTGTGGTGGTGCACGCCTGTAGTCCTAGCTACCTGGGGGGCTGAGGTGGGAGGGTCACCTGAACCCAAGAGGTCAAGGCTACAGTGAGCCAAAATCATGCCACTGCACTTCATCCTGTGCAACAGAGTGAGACCCTGTCTCAAAAAAAAATTGCATTAAAAATAAAAGTAAATAGACACTAAAATGAAAGCATAGATTATAAGACTGATGAATGTACTCTAAAAAATAATATAATAAAGCAAAGCCCTTATTTTTTTTCTTTTTTGGAGACAGGGCCTTTTTTGTCACCTTGGCTGAGTGCAGTGGCACAATCAGAGCTCACTTCAACCTCAAGTTCCTGGGCTTAATCGATCTTCCTCCCTCAGCCTCCCGAGTAGCTAGGACTGCAGGTGCACACCACTACACCAAGCTAATTTTTGACTTTTTGTACAGATGGGGTCTCACTACATTGCCCAAGCTGTGCCAGAATTCCTGGATGCAAGCAATCCTTCTGCTTTGGCCTCCCAAAGTGCTGGGATTACAAGCATGAGCCACCATACCCAGACAAAGTCCTTAATTTCTTACATATCGATTTAAGGGCCTGAATAAACCAACACATTAAAAAGGAAAAGAATAATTCACATACCAGCGTGAGTAAATTCAAGACTGAGATGATATAATTGGTACCACAAGTCTGGCAATTCTCCAGTTGGTCTAATCCATATGTAATGACCATGTCACAATGTATAGTCATGCTAGGATCCAAGCTGCCGAGCAAAACACCAACACACTCATTAGCAGCTGTCAACACAGCCTCAGAAAAAAACACCTGGTTTGCAGCCGTCACACATCTCATTACTCTGTACAGAACCTGTAAATGGGGAAAACAAGCAGCTTTTTACAAAAATTCACGTGCTTCCACAAAGCAAGAAAATACTTTTTATTTAATGCAATTTCAACTGAAAATTAACTGCTTGCCTTGCCAGCAGTCTCTTAATATTCTAGTTCTCAGTAGCTGAATAATAATGATCCCTTTACTACAATATGTAAACATGATCTTGGCTAAAAAATCCTAAAGTGCTACTATGACAGGAAATGGAACCTGCCATCCTCTATTTCCCATATACCCAACTTCGTTTCTCCCAATGTCACTAAATGGCTGAAGCTCAGAATCTTTATCATGAAATACACCACGACAGTAATGGTATTGACAGCATGGGAATAGCCTGCCCACACATACTACAAGCTAGCTCTTGGGCTTTTGGGAATCAATCTTTCAAAACTGAACATACAAGTCACTTTAAGCTTATTAAAGTTTCTATCTACTGATGGTCTCTTTTGAAAGATAAGCACTCTCATGCTTACCACATAATATCTTCAAAAATCATATTATTTCCAATACACACACAAACAAAATCCCCCACTTAACTATAATGGCCAATAATTGTGTACTAAATTTCTAATAAAATGGGGGAGAAAACAGAGCAAATGTTTAAAAATATTTCTATAATATTTAACAACCAATACATACAGGATTTTATTTAGTCTACCCATAGTTTTCATTAAAAGTATCCTTGGAGGTTGGGCATAGTGACTCACATCTATCATCCTAGCACTTTGAGAGGATTAGCTGGAAGGTTCTCTTGAGTCCAGGAGTTTGAGACCAGCCATGTCAACATAACAACACCTCATCTCTACCAAATTTGTTTTTAAATTAGTTGGGCGTGGTGGCTCACACCAGTAGTCCCACCAACTACTTGAGGCTGAGGTGGGAGGATCACTTAAGCCTGGGAGGTCAAGGCTGCAGTGAGCCAAGATCGTGCCACTGCACTCCAGCCTGGGCAACAGAGACCATGTCTCCAAAAAAAAAAGAGTGGGGGAGAGAGGGCGGAGGGGGAACCATTCTTGGCCATGCATGCACAGTGGCTCATGTCTATAATCCCAACACTTTGGGAGGCTGAGGTGGGAAGACTGCTTGAGGCCAAAAGTTCAAGACCAGCCTGGGAAACACTGAGACCCCATCTCTACAAAAATAAAAAATTAGCAGGAACTATGGTGGGAGGATCACTTGAGCCCAAGATACAGAGGCTGCACTGAGTCGTGATGGCACCACCCCACTTTAAAAAGAAAAACAAAAAAAGCTGGGTATGGTGACACCCGCTTGTAGGGCTGAGTGAATGGGAAGTTCACCTGGGCCCAAGAGTTCAAGACTACAGTGAGCTATGATTGCACTACTACACTCCAGCCTGGGTGACAGAGTGAGGCTCCAGCTCCAAAAATAAATAAAAAAAATAAAAACCCCACCATTCTACCATTCTCAAAGGCCTAAAAGATCCTCATAAATCAATATACACCTATCCTATAAATTATGTCCCTTTTATTTTATGTCTGAATTAACGGCTTTTTATTTCAACTCTGTACAGTCTTCAACCACCTTTTAGACATTAAAAATGAAGCAAAGATATTAAACCATTTTGAAACCATATTGGTTTAAAATACCAATATGCTGGTTTCATTTATCTTTAAGTTCTGACATTTCTGCTCAAGTACACAACTTACTATATAATCAATATCCTATTTTATTTAGCAACATGTTCAGCAAAAGTATATGCTCCTAAAAGCGAGTTTTATCCTAACAGTAAAATTTTCATCAGTTAGATTAATTTTTTTATGACTGTATCACACATGCTTCTTTCTCCTTATTCAAAGCAGAGTACAATGCCTGGGGTTCATTTCTTGTGTCTTTTCCACTGAACCCTCATTGGATGTGCTATATACAGTGCAGCTAATGTTTGAGGCTGCTGAAGTGTGGCAATCTAGCTACCTCATTTTTAATTTGTTTATGTTCTTTGATATCAGGCTATCAAAGAATATAAAGATATACAAGTTTTCATATGAGTTCCATCTTATGCTCAGAGAAGGTTACTTTCTGAGGCTTCTCCTATAGTGTGCTATTCGTAATATGTTGAAAAACTAAAAGGAAACCCAATAATTTAAAAGTAAAATTATAAGAAATATTATTTAAAAATGAAAGAATAAGATTTAAAAATTCAGAGTGGCCTTTTGTCATGGGAGGGTAGGGGAGTTGGATGAAAGGAGGATGAGATATAACAGGATTCCCTGCTTTTCTGGTTAAGAAAGCAGTCAGACAATATATACATATATACATACATACACACATGCTAAACAAATGAAGGATTAATAACAGTTCACCTGGTAAAGAGAATCATTTACAATGTAAAACAATTTTATTTTTGAATGACACTTCAAATGCCCAAAAGCACTTACAACTGTTACGTATGCCTCAGTAATTGGAGGACCCGAATTGGGCTGAAGCGTTCCCCAATGCTCCTCAGCACAGTACTAAATACCCGGAGAAGCGCAGCCAGCTTTGGTGATGACACTGATGGAGGAGGGACGTCTTCATCCACTGATTCCCCAGAGGCCACATGGCTGAGGTCCTAGATGTGAATTCACAGCATTCTTAATAAGTAGTACATTGTTTAAAAAAAAACAAAAAACTCTAAAATATTTCAATCAATTCATTTTAGAATAGATTTTTAGGCTTTTAGAAAGAGAACTGTGGCCCATGAGAATATTCATGACTCTGAATATAAAAATGGGTTTTACCTAATTATTTCAAAAAGCCAACATTAAACCCAATAGACAACAAATTAAGGAAATAATCTCTTAAATCAACTCAGAAAGCTGTCGGGGAAAAATAAATTCTAGCACATATGCTCTAGTTATATGTAGGTATAAATGAAGACGGAAGCTTTTGCCACTCCTGAATTAGTTTTTGGCTAAAAATCTCATTCTAGGTATTCTTTGAGCCACTCAGCTCAACAGTAAGTCCTCCAAACCAAGAGCATGCACATGAAGAGCAAAGGGAGATTACAAGACCTGGTCTACAGATGTGTAACTGAAGAAGTACGATATATGAAAAGGACAAGATTCGCAAAAACTAGGATACTAGAACCAATGTATACATCTACCTAAAATTAAGCACCAAAATAACAGAAGAGAATGAGATCTTAAGGATAACAAGGGGAAACATCTCTACAAACTAGAATGTGTGGCTTATGAGAGGTAGATCAGCTTTAAACGTGGGCTGTGAAAAAAGACATTCTAGGTGTGGGGGCAAAGAAAAAACAACGCAGAAGCAAAACATTTCCTTGCTTTTCTAGGAAAGAGTAAACACATCAGTACAGCTAAAGGTACTGAATTCCTGTTGACTACAAGCAGCAAAGATGAAAAAAACAAGATGAGGCCAAAATCTTTATGGGAGCCTTGATTGGTTGATCTGAATAGGGGAGAAACACAAAGAGATTCAGATAAGAGATGGCACAGAGTTAAGCCATGACAGTGGGGCCAGAAAAGCCAAGTACCAGTAACAGAGGCTTCAGCAGCGCTCTTAAAGCTCCTATGCTATATTCGTACAGCCACAAAAGCTGGCTGAAGCCAAGGCTTGTCCTCCAAAGTACGATTCAAGTTCTCCTGTACATATGTAAGAGGAAAATCTTTAGGAGCTTTTGGTGTTTTGTGTTTTTTTATAACACAACATCAATTTGCTTTAAGACTCTGAAGACTGGGGACAAAAAATAAAAATAAATAACAAAAAATGTCTTTAGAAAAATACCAGCTACCAAGAGTATGTAAAGCTTTGCGAAATACGAAGCTTGCAACGTTTCTTTTAGTCTCTCCAGTAATTCTCCTGGTAATTTAAACACATCTGAAATAAATGTTTAAAATACTGACTGGGCACGGGGGCTCATGCCTATAATCCCAGCACTTTGGGAGGCCGATGTGGGTGGATCACCAGTGGTCAGGAGTTTGAGACCAGCCTGGCCAACACGGTGAAACCCCGTCTCTACTAAAAATACAAAAATTAGCTGGGCGTAGTGGCGGGCACCTGTAATTCCAGCTACTCAGGAGGCTGAGGCAGGAGAATCATTTGAACCCAGGAGGTGGAGGTTGCAGTGAGCTGAGATCGTGCCATTGCACTCCAGCCTGAGTGACAGAGCGAGACTCCGTCTCAAAAAAAAATTTTTTTTCAAAATATTGCAATGGGCTTGTAATTTCTGCTTAAATGTCAGGAGGTCTGAGCCATTTTAAAATAAATCTAGCACAATTTAAGATTTTTTCTTAACCAAAATTTTAAGAAACAGCTTTCTATATACTCACCTCAGCATATGCTTCCATGTCTTCTAGAAACTGACCAAGAAGAGTCGTAGGAAATGCAAGATCAGCTACCCAAAATGGCTCCAAACTCTGCAACCACCCTTGGAATCGTATAAGAAATTGTGAAAGGGTAGGGGGGAGAAAAAACACCAAAAAATCCAAATTAAAAAAATATAAGAGGCTCGTTTTAAAAAGTATCTGGTTTTCAAGCAGCATACCCTAAAACATGTCCTATATCATAAAATTAAGACTGCTAAACATGCTGATCACGATTAACCAATACCTCTTTAATACCTCTTTAATTTCTGCAGAAATTAACATGTAAATGTTATTTCCTTACTTTTTCAGTAAATTTCATATCTATATTGTCACTACACATGACTTAAGACTAAAATGCCACAATCTACCATTGGCCTGGCTAATCCCAGGGCCACATCTAACCATTAAAGGTGTATACTCATCTCCTCAGTGAAAATGAAACAGACCACTATCACCTGAATATCCTATTTTCAAAAGTTTATTACACCAAGTAAGTTACGAGAAACTATGACACTTGAAACAAGCTGAAATGTGCAAATGAGCCACGCTAGTCATTCACTTAAATCCAAAAAAATGGGAAACAAAACCATTTCTCATTTATGACAATTCTCCAAATTAACCCTATATTTCCTTTTTTAAAAAAATAACCAGAAAAACAATAAAATGTGACAAATAACTTGGATCTTCCATTGTCCACTTCAGGGTATTGCCACTGCAATATATTCTTACCATATACTTTCCTACCAGTACAAACTACAAATAACTTGGGTAAGTCCTGTCTGTACTTACTCTACCCACCTACTAGTAATTTCCTCTGAAAATATATATTTAGCTAACAAGTCATGTTCATTTACAATAAAACATTTCTCCGAATTAGTTTTCTTGCATTATTAAAGAAATGGTATTGATAGATGGTCACTGGGGGACCACTGCTCCTCCCCGACAGTATTTAAATAACTGGTATAGGCTGCAAGACTTACCAGATACCTGCTGCGTGAGCGAAGGTTTCTGAGTATGATCTCTATGCCATCCAACTAATATATCAACTGTATCCTTGATGGAAACAAAGAGAGAGGGGGCCAATCATTTTAAGATATTACTGCCATTCACCTGTGGACCATTTCACAGCAAAAGATCCTAAAAGGAGCATCTATGTTCTACCTACTTGACATTCTAGAAACTTAGAAAGGGGAGAGGGGCAGGAAAATAAAAGAACTACATTTCTGACAACAATGAAATAGTTTATTTTCTTCAAATATTTTAAGGTACGAACGTCAGAAAGAAAAATGCGGCATTTAACCCTGGAACCTCAAATATCACTGATTATATTCAAAGGAGCAGAGGCATTGTTTTCCATCTGATTCCTCAGTTCCTCACACACACAACCATCCCCCTCACCCCATGATCTGAACAACGGAATGAGGAACTCACCCTAAAATTAGCGCTGAAAATATGAGGGTAACATCGAGCCACCAAAAGAATGCACTTAACACATTTGCAAAGCAATTCTGGTGTATCCACATTTTCAAGAATTGACTGCAGGCTGGTCATTACAAGCTTAAAAATAAAAGTTACAAACCGTGAACATTCAACAAAATAGGGAGAAAACAAGCAAATTAGGTTCATTATTTACTGACTACATAAAAAACTGAGTATGAGACCAAGAAAAATAGATTCTGTAGTTTTAGTTAAAAAAAAAAAAAAATTCACTTGTAAATCCCAACTGCTTGGGAGGCTGAGACACAAGAATCGCTTGAACCCAGGAGGCAGAGGTTGCAGTGAGCTGAGACTGCACCGCTGCACTCCAGCCTGGACAATACAGCCAGACTCCATCTCAAAAAAAATAATAATTAATAAATAAATAAATAAATTGAAAATATTTCGCTCCACTAAGATGTTAAGCTAAAAACAAATACTGCTTTCTCCTCTTCAATGTTTGTTAATATTAGTCCTTTGACATCAGTTAACATTAGTCCTTAATAACATCTGTTTACAATATCTCTAAATGCTCTCTTTAAGATTCTACCTGTGATTAAATTTCAAATACAAAAAAGTAAAATGGATTTGGGAAACTTTTCTATAAAGTACAACAATTACTTTGCAATCCAAAATATAAAGCAAATTTTATATAATTTATGCTTTAGTATATTAGTACTTGCTTCATATTAAAATTAAAGAAGATCAGTATGGCACCACACATGAATAACATGCAGGCTCAGGTTACCATTATACATAAATTTTTAAAATAAATATATGGCAAAAATAAAATAATAAATAACTATTTGTCATTCCATTGAAAGAATATTTATTTTGCAGCTGTTAAAAAACATTTTTCCCTAAAAAAGGAAAAGCTGCGCTTTACATAGCAATCTTATAAAAGAAATGCTAGAATCAGAAAACCATCATTTTACGCTGGGTGCAGTGGCTCACACCTGTAACCCCAGCACTTTGGGAGGACGAGGCAGGTGGATCACCTGAGGTCAGGAGTTCAAGACCAGCTTGGCCAGCATGATGAACTCCATCTCTACTAAAAATATAAAAATTAGCAGAGCACAGTGGCACATGCCTGTAATCCCAGCTACTCAGGAGGCTGAAGCAAGAGAACTGCTTGAACCTGGGAGGCGGAGGTTGCAGTGAGCCGAGATCGCACCACTGCCCTCCAGCTTGGACAATAGAGCAAGATTACATCTCAAAAAAAAAAAAAGAGAGAAAAAGAAAACCATTATTTTGCAATAGCCAATGTTATAATCTACACAGGCACAGACTATCAATGCTAAAAATCATTTAAAAGACATCTTAAGGGTAATTACAGAAATTTGAATATAGAACACATATGTAATAAAATTCATTTTCTTAGGTATGATTACAATATTCTTGTTATACAGAAGAAAAACCTTATTCTTGGGAGATGCATACTAAAACATTATGGGGTGAACTGTCATCATGTATATGGTTTTCAGATGCTCAACAAAAGTGTGTGAGAAAATAAAACTGTAGCAAAATATTAGTAACTGGTAAATCTAGGTGAAGCATATATTATGAAATTATTATCGTTATTTACAGGTATTTATTTTACTGGTGCATCTATCTTTCTATGAATGTGAGAATTTTCACAAGAGATGGGAAAATGTTCATAATTATGCATGCAGAATAAGCCCAAGCTGGTGGCATTCTGTTCAGTTACAGGTAATTTTCTGAATCCTCCCTCAAATTTTTCTCAAACCTCTATAATCAAGGGGGAAAATGTTTCGTTTTGTTTTGCTTTTTTGAGACAGGGTTGCCTATAATGGAGTGCAGTAGCTTGACCATAGCTCACTGTAGCTTCAACCTCCCAGGCACAAGCGATCCTCCTGCCTCAGCCTCCAAGTAGCTGGGATTACAGATGCATGCCACCATGCCCGACTTATTTTTTTTCCTTTTTTTGATAGAAACAGGGTTTCACCATGTTGCCCAGGCTGGTCTCAAACTCCTGGACTCAGGCAATTCACCGGCCTCAGCCTCCCACAGTGCTGGGGTTACAGGAGTGAGCCACCATGCCCAGTTAAAAATACATTTTTTATTTAAAAAAAAAAAAAGAACATTCCTTATATTTCCTTTATATTTTTTAAACTACATACCCAAAATAAAGCATATCAAAAACTATATTAAAAAAAAACCCTAATATCAGATATTCCAAACACAACAATACCATAATTTAATCACTTAAAATCTTACTCAAAACTAAATCAATGATCTTTTAGGCCAGGTGTGGTGGCTCATGACACTAATCACAGTACTTTGGGAGGCCGAGGCAGGAGGATCACTTGAGGTCAGGAGTTCAAGACCAGCATGGCCAACACAATGAAACCCCATCTCTACTAAAAATACAAAAATTAGCCAGGCTAATGGCACACTCCTGTAATACCAGCTACTCGGGAGGCTGAGGCAGGAGAATCGCTTGAACCTGGGAGGCAGAAGTTGCAGTGAGCCGAGATCATGCCACTGCACTCCAGGCTGGACAACAGAGCAAGACTCTGCATCAAAAAAAAAAAAAAAAAAAAAAAAGGAATGATGTTTTAATATATTCAGATACACAAATGTGAAATAAAACTAAGTAGAGCTGGTATTCATTTACACATAATTATCTTATACCATTTGGAATAAGAATTTGGGGCACGTTAGCAAACCAAAAGGCTCAGAAAGAAGTTGTGATATTTAGTTCTTGTCTCCCTCTACAAATGTGAAGCACTCTTCTATCCAGCATTCCTAGTGGAGTTCCTATTTTCAAATTTGCAAATCATTCTGGTCCTAAGCAATCTCAAAAAAACATTTCTAAAAACCAAAGAGGAAAAAAATCCTTTTTTTTTTTTTTTTTTTTTTTTTGAGACAGAGTCTGGCTCTGTTGCCCAGGCAATGGTGTGATCTCGGCTCACTGCAACCTCGGCCTCCCGGGTTCAAGCGATTCTCCTGCCTCAGCCTCCTGAGTAGCTGGGACTACAGGCACGTGCCACCATGCCTGGCTAATTTTTGTATTGTTAGTAGAGACGGGGTTTCACCATGTTGGCCGGGATGGTTTCGATCCCTTGACCTCATGATGTTCCCACCTCGGCCTCCCAAAGTGCTGGGATTACAGGCATATAGGCCACCGCGCTTGGCTGAGGAAAAAAATCTTAAAACTAACTTATTTCAAATCTAACTTCAACGTGTATCTTTTTTTTTTCTTTTTTTTTTTTGAGACAGAGTCTCACTCTGTTGCCCAGGCTGGAGTGCAGTGGCGCGATCTCGACTCACTGCAAGCTCCGCCTCCCAGGTTCACGGCATTCTCCTGCCTCAGTCTCCCAATTAGTTGAGACTACAGGTGCCCACCACCACGCCCGGCTAATTTTTTTTGTATTTTTAGTAGATATGGGGTTTCACTATGTTAGCCAGGATGGTCTCGATCTCCTGACCTCATGATCCGCCTGCCTCGGCCTCCCAAAGTGCTGGGATTACAGGCGTGAGCCACCGCACCCGGCGTGTAAGCCAATTTCTTAGAAGAAATCTCTCCCTCTTTCTCCACATATATGCATATATGTATGTAGCACTGATCCTTGAACAGTGTATCCTTTACTCAAACTGAGAAAGAGGAATTTTTAAAACATATTTCCTATCAGTAGATAACCCCTATTCTATGTTTCCCTTCTTCAAGCTCCCCTCCAAGGACATGTGTTAAGGGACAATTTTCTTCCCAAGTACATCATGCATTTTCCCCCTTCATTCTTACCTGCATTACAGATGAAAAGGCTTTCTTTTCTCCTACAGTCTCTAGTGCTTTGTAGGTGGCACATAAGTAGAGGACTTTAACTTCATCTTTTGCAGATGAGCTAAATTTGCTAAAACTCCACTTGAAGATCTTCTCAGCCTCATAGCTCAGAGAAGCACAAAGAAGGCCAAGACAGCAAGCTCCCTCCTGTCTCAACTCCTGAAGCAATTTGCTACTGTGTTTATTTTAATGCAAACAAAAAACACACACAAAAGGCTTAAGTTTTCTATGATGACACGAGTAATACATCTTACAAAAGAATGTCTTAAGTGGTTTTTTAAATTTCTATTCAAACTACATAAAAGGTTGAAATTTTCTCCACTTTAAATACTACATTCTGTCTAGCCTGCATTGCCCTCAAGTATCTGTCTGACATTACTTTCTTTTTACAAAATCAATTATTTACAAACAGTGAGGGAAGGCCCAAAAATGCTAAATTCCATCTCAAACTGTATTAAATAACTCTCAGAAAAGGGCAGCAACAAATAATTAGATAAAACACTCTATACATAACTACATTCTACATAATATCCAATATGTAATGACTATAAAATAAAAAATGGTAATAGTTAAATACAGAAACTTAAAAGGATAACAGTAATGATTTACATAGAACTTTAATAAGTAACTCTATAAAACAAAACCATCAAAAGGCACTAAGGTTTATGACCAGCTGAGATAAATTTTGGGTACTTGCCAACACTGCAAATCTTTGGGAATCACCATAACAAAAAATGACCACACACCTCTGGAGACGCTAATAGCCAGAGAATATATGGTTTGGATCCACTCTTACCCAAAGAAGGAAATTCCTTTTTACCTCTATTCTCTAAGCAGTTTCAAATTCTCTAGTTTACAAAAACTAATTTTATTCTTCATGCCTGCATCAAGAGTTTATGCCATTCCATAAGTCAAGACTCAGTTATCCAGTGAGACTAGTAAATTAAAAAAATAAAATATTCCAGCCAGGCACAGTGGCTCATGCCTGTAATCCCAACACTTTGGAAGGCTAAGGTGGGTGGATCACCTGAGGTCAGGAGTTCCAGACCAGCCTGGCCAACATGGTGAAACCCTGTCTCTACTAAAAATACAAAAATTAGCTGGCAGTTGTGGTGCATGCCTGTAGTCCCAGCTACTCGGGAGGCTGAGGCAGGAGAATCACTTGAACCCGGGAGGTGGAGGTTGCAGTGAGCTGAGATCGCACCACTGCACTCCAGCCTGGGCGACACGGTGAGACTCTGGCTCAAAAAATAAATATTCTTTTCAAGTGGATTCCATTTGTATTCAACCGTAATTAACACATAATTAATGCAGATAAAAATGACAAGACCCACTGAAATGTCAATAGATGTTCATAAACAAAGCCAGTGGGTTTGTCTTCTTGTGTATTGTTAAGTAATTTCTAAAAATATATTTTAAAGTCATTTAAACCGAACCATTATTAGTTACTTACCTTTCATTAAGCACATCATGTACAGCAGCCAAGATATTATCCAATTGTTTAACTAGTACCTTTAAAAGAAAACACATTTATAAAAACTTCAAATTCCTATACTTTTAAGAATAGCATTGTGTACTTTTTTACTTGTCTTCCCTCCAAATTCTAATTCAACAGTACTTTACTTTCTTTATTATTCCCACTCCCCAATGAGCATGTATCAGGAATGTCATGTTTCCTTTCAGCCTATGAAAGAAATTCACCCACTGGAAACATAGAGCTGTGATCATCAACAAAAAAATAAACTCAAAAAGCTTGTTTTATTTACTTTGAAATCCATTTGAAAAATTGACTGATGGATGGAGGGATAGATGGAGAGATATGTGACAAGGCAGTATTTAGGGCAAAACATTAACGACAAAAATTAGATGATGGGTTTAACAGATTCAATGTCAAATTCTTTCAACTTGCTATATATTTGAAACTACTCATAATAAAATTTGGAAGGAGGAGAAACTTGCTTTGATCCAAGTGTCATCTGCCTCACTAGACCATTTTCATTAATTTTCTCCTGCTCATTGTCAAGTTCTTTTTTTTTTTTTTTAAGATGGAGTTTCACTCTTTTCGCCCAGGCTGGAGTGCAATGGCGTGATCTCAGCTCACTGCAACCTCCGTCTCCTGGGTTCAAGCGATTCTCCTGCCACAGCCTCCCATGTAGCTGGAATTACGGTCATGTGCCACCACGCCCAGCTAATTTTGTATTTTTAGTAGAGATGGGGCTTCACTATGTTGGGCAGGCTGGTATCGAACTCCTGAACTCAGGTGATCCGCCCACCTTGGCCTCCCAAAATGCTGGGATTACAGGCATGAGCCACCACACCTGGCCCATATCAAGTTCTTAATTGGTGTAAAGAAAGTGAAGAAAAAAATTTAACCCTTCCCATACTTTGTTACATTTCTGTTGTTGTTTTAAGAGACAAGGACTCCCTCTGTCGCCCAGGTTGACATGCAGAGGTGTGATCATATCTCACTGCAACCCTGAATTCCTGGGCTCAAGTGATTCTTCCACCTCAGCCAGGTGTAGTAGCACATGCCTGAAGTCCCAGCTACTCAGGAGGCCACAGCGGGAGGACAGCTTGAATCCAGGAGTTTGAGACTGCAGTGAGCTATGATTGTGCCACTGCACTCCAGCCTGGGCGAGAGCAAGATCTTGTCTTTAAGAAGAAAAAGAAATTACATATTAGAGAGCATTAAGTTCTTGATCATCATAATACAGACTTTCCCCATTCTTAAACTACTCAAGGTAGCATTACCTAGTTTATTATGGAAACACAAAAATCCTCATATTTCCAAACATACTATACTTACCAGCTTATTTTCTGGTTGCTGAATAAATTCTTTCAACTGCTTTACAGTGACCAATCTTCAGTCTCTGTCGTCTTCCCGGGTGATCCTCCGAAGAAGATTTGACAGTCGAGACTCATCACAATAAGACATCGATCTCTCTGTGAATATAT
This sequence comes from Homo sapiens, assembly GCF_000001405.40. Lineage (NCBI taxonomy): Eukaryota > Metazoa > Chordata > Mammalia > Primates > Hominidae > Homo > Homo sapiens. Next base: position 30,301,371 of record NC_000016.10, read on the forward strand.
AAACATTTTGTTGTCCATTGAGTATAAATAAGCAAAGGAATTTTTAAATTTTAAAATAATTTTTAAATTTTTAAAATTAAAAATTATTTAAATAATAATTAAATTATTATGGTGGCTCATGCCTGTAATCCCAGTACTTTGGAAGGCGGGTAGATCACATCAGTTCAGGAGTTTGAGACCAGCCTGGGCAACATGGTGAAACCCTGTCTCCACAGACACACAAAAAATTACATAAACTAGCCAGCCAAGGTGGTGTGCACCTGTAGTCCCAGCTACTCGGGAGGCTGAGGCAGGAGAATCACTGGAGCCCGTGAGGTGGAGGTTGCAGTGAGCCGAGATCACCCCACTGCACTCCAGCCTGGGTGACAGAGCAAGACCCTCTCTCAAAAATAAAATTACATCAAAAGTCACAGTCCACTGGTCAATAAAAGCTCAGGGAATATAGGTCCTATCGCTCTTTTGTTCAACTCTATATTCCAAATCCCAGCAGAGTGCCTGGCACATAACAGACCCTCAAAAAAATATTTGCTGAAGGAAACGAGAAATGAATAACCCTAGGCCAGCTGAACACCTCATTCCAGAGGACTGGCTGGGAGAGAAAAAAGAAAGGCCTTAGTAACAACTTTCTTTGGGTCCATTCCAAACTGTTTTCAACATGCAGGTAAAGAGCCTGGGTGTAGGTAAATTAAACAACTTCCAAGGGGTACGGATAAAGCCTCAATCGAGTAAAAACAGGATATAGGCTTCTACTTATCATCTAGGTATCCCACTGGAGGAAAGCCTCTTATTCACATTATCATCATTTCCCTGGGATGAAGTTTTGGGGAGCCATAATCACACATTTAGTTCAACAAATGTCTAATTATCATCTACCACATGCAAGGCATGCCTCCACTAGAAAGGTAGCAAACCACAACTTTTCTCCCCTTATTTTTTAATCACAAGAACAAGCACACAATAGTGAATACCATTAGTATATTAACAATGCCTTTAAAAACTAGATTTTTGCTGGGCGAGGTGGCTCTTCCCTGTAATTACCCAGCACTTTGGAAGGGCAAGGCAGGCAGATCACTTGAGCCCAGGAGTTCGAGACCAGCATCGGCAACATGGTACAACCCCATCTCTACGAAAAATACAAAAATTAGCTGGGCACAGTGGCACATGCCTGTAATCCCAGCTACTCAGGAGGCTGAGGTGGGAGGATCGCTTTAGCCTGGGAAGCAAAGGTTGCAGTGAAATCACACTAGTGCATTCCAGCCTGCGTGACAGAGCGAGACTGTCTCAAAAAACAAAACAAAACAAAAAACTCAATTTTTGCAAAACATTTTCAACTGTGCTATTTACCATAATTAGCCAATACATACGTAAACAACAAATCACAAAGGGTCTGACAGTTTCATTTCTAAGGTATGAGAAAAAATTGATAATAAAAGAAACCAGAAGGCTGGGCGTGGTGGCTCACACCTGTAATCCCAGCACTTTGGGAGGCCGAGGAGGGCAGATCACGGGGTCAGGAGATTGAGACCTGCCTGGCCAACATGGTGGAACTTCGTCTCTACTAAAGATACAAAAAATTAGCCGGGCATGGTGGCACGCTCCTGTAATCCCAGCTACTCGGGAGGCTGAGGCAGGAGAATCACTTTAATCTGGGAGGTGGAGGCTGCAGTGACCTGAGATCGCGCCATTGCACTCCAGCCTGGGTGACAGGGAGATACTCCATCTCATAGATAAATAAATAAATAACTACAAGGGGAGCAAAACACACTGGATCCTTTTGGAGGGTGGGGGGTGGGAGGAGGGAGAGGATCAAGAGAAACAACCAATGGGTACCAGGCTTAATACCTGGGTGATAAAATAATCTATACTACAAACCCTCATGACACAAGTTTACCAGTGTAACAAATCTGCACTTGTATCCTGAATTTAAAAGTTAAAAAAAAAAAAAAAAAAAAAGAAACTACAATGTCTGAGAGAAGAATAGGATTTTTACAAATCCGTAGCCCATAGAGTATTTCAATAAGGACGGATACCAAAAATGTCATCAAGTTACCAGCTGGGAAATTAGGCTCTACTTACAATTCTGTCACTAGCAAACTACCTTTGAAGAAGAGGAATTGTTTACTGAACTACTTTAGAGTCACTGTTTAGCTTCTATAATATCATAAGTCTAAGGCTTCAAACACTCTGTTTTAACAAACAGCATACATAGCCTTTGAATTCATTCCACTTGTGAAAACATAAAAAGAAATCAGTTTTTTAAAAGTTATATACCAACAATAAAAGCTACACGCACAAAGATTTTCACCAAGATACACGAAGCACACACACAGTATAAAAAAAAAAAAAAGTCAAAAACTAAATGTCCAAAAAGTAATTACATCTGACAAAGCCCATAACTCAGCTTTACCGATAAATTTCTCTTTAAGGAAAAAAATTATCATTACCTCTAATCCTCTGAACTTTCTTTTTTGTTGTTGTTTTTTTGAGACGGAGTCTCGCTCTGTTGCCCAGGCTGGAGTGCAGTGGTGCACTCAGCTCACTGCAAGCTCTGCCTCCCGGGTAGCTGGGACTACAGGCGCCCACCACCGCGCCCAGCTAATTTTTTGTATTTTCAGTAGAGACAGGGTTTCACCGTGTTAGCCAGGATGGTCTCGATCTCCTGACCTCGTGATCTGCCCGTCTCAGCCTCTCAAAGTGCTGGGATTACAGGCGTGAGCCACTGCACCCGGCCAATCCTCTGAACTTCCAAGGCACTCACCTATACAGTGAGGCTACGCCATAAGGCAGAAATGCTATCAGTGTATTTAACTTTAGAAAAGTGCCCACTCTAGGCAGGGCCCAGTGGCTCACGCCTGTAATGAGCACATGTGATCACTTAAGGTCAGGAGTTCGAGACCAGCCTGGCCAACATGGTGAAACCCTGTCTCCACTAAAAATGCAAAAATCAGCTGGGTGTGGTGGCATGTACCTGTACTCCCAGCTACTTGGGAGGCTGAGGCACGAGAATCACTTGAACCTGGGAGGCGGAGGTTGCAGTGAGGAGAGATTGCAGCACTGCGCTCCAGCCTGGGTGACAGAGCAAGACTCTGTCTCAAAAAAATATATTGAAAACAACAACAAAAAAACCAGAAAAGTACCCACTCTAGGGGGCGGGGGGAAGGAGAGCATCAGCAAGAATAGCTTAATGGATGCTGGGTTTAATACCTAGATGATGGGATGATCTGTGCAGCAAACTACCATGGCACACGTTTACCTACATAACAAACCTGTACATCCTGCACATGTACCCTGAACTTAAAAGAGAAAAAAAAAAAAAAGACAGAAAAGTACCCCCTCTATATATATATCTATATCCTCCACAGGCCCAAGAGTTCAAGGACTTGCTGTAGTAAGAGCCTACTATGCACTATACATTCAATATCCACGATAATTGGGTAAACCTTTTCTGTAAGATCTTATCCAGTCTTCTAATCTTGTTTTAAGAGAATTCTCTTTTAAAATGTACTATAACCTTTCTAGTGGGAAATTAACAATTCACAGGAAAAGAATGTAAACAATTTTTACCTGCACAGTAGACTAATCAACTTATGCCTGTGCAAGGCGTTAGTAAGAGGCATCCAGAATAAGAGGAGATACAAGTCTTTGGAAGGTGTATGTGATTGGTCCCCATTTTCCCAGCCTTACCCTGTGATTTCCTCATGTCTTTGGTGGCTAAAGCACGACTGCCATGCTGAACACTGGTGAACTCAGGGCTGGTCACATTGTTAACCCTCAGCTCTTGCCCCAACGACTTCCGACCATAAGTATTTTCCCCAGATCCTCCATTGACACTGTAGCCACCTACAAACAGCAATGTGTACGTTATTTAAATATGATTGTTCGTTTCATTCAGTCAATTTCCTGATAGCTCAGGATCTTACTACTCAATCTGCAGCTCAACCAGCCTTTGCTTCTCCTACCTTTTTCCTGTACTGTCTGCCTTGAAAATCATTTTCATTTCTTTTAATACACCTTTGAAGTTAAATTAATTTTATTTTGATCCCTTCATTGGAAAATAAGCAAAGAAATGAAAACTAAATTAAATCAAATTTTGCACCTTAAAACTTTCTTGAAGTTTAGAGACAGTAGCCAAGAGGAACTTCAACCTTAGCTAAATATTTTTGAAAATAAAAACAAAAATAGTATTGTATCTTTTTTGTAAGAAAACTGCATTGATGAATTATGTACGGAAAAATTTTAAATTTTAAAAATAATAAAGTGGATAAACGTCCTATGAAGTTTTCAGAAATAACACTGCATTTGTTATTCGTATTTTAAATATATTAGAAGAAAGCGAGAAAGTTGGGGGTGTAAGAAGGCAAGAAGGTGGGATAGGTAGGTTCAAAAAACATGCTTGTAGCAATAAGAAAATATATATACCCTTTTCGTCATTCTGTATGTCAGCGTGGACTCTGGTATCATCGTGCCTTTGCCGAGACACCACAGCTGAATTTGAAGGTTGCAGTCCGTAAGAGGAAGAACCACCTCTATCTCTGGATGAAGAATATTTTAAATTACCTGGGTCAGCTGATGCACTATCAGTTCTATAAAAAGAGAAAAGTTTAAGATTAGAACTTTAAATAACATAAATAAATCTTTCTTTAAACAAGCCTCTCTTCTCCCAAATTTTACATTTAACCATTACTATTGTATTTAATGTAATATGTACTATATATTATATGTAAGCACTCAGCCGTCTAATAAGAAGTCTTTCACTGGGAAGAGATTCTCAATGGATGAAATGCCAACTTTTCAGTCTCTTCTACTGTTCTAAAGACCCATTCAGAAATACGAATAACTACTGGGATTAGGGTGACTTTGCTGGTTTTAGCATTGAAAGCCTCCTGTCCCAGGCAAAACAGGACAATTGGTTACTCTGGTCCAGTGTTCTCCTCACATGACTTGATAATAAGAATAATTCTTTCTAAATTCTCCCCCATGGAGAGGGTTAATCAGTCAAAACATTTCAGCCTTTCCTATCATAAAAATAAAAAACACTGGCAGCATGTCAGGGACAGGCAATGTCTTACCAAGTTATTTTCTAAGTACTGATTAGGTACTGTAGTATTGAAGACCCCATTGAAGATGCCTTAATTGTAAAGGTAGCAATCAAAATTTTAAAAAGTAAAAAAGAAGACATTTTAAGAAAATAAAAGGTATCAGAAATGCAATAACGTTATATCGGAAAGTTGTAGTTCATAATCTATTTAAAATTTAGGTACTGTTTAGAATAATACCTGATGCTTATTAGTAAACAAGTAGGGTACAGCCAAGGGTAAAAGTGTGTCCTCATCTAAGTATCTGCTCTACGCTTCAACTGCCTCATAAGTAAAACAGAGCTGAGTTACAAGACTTCTCACGAGTGTTACTCTTTCAGCCATCAATCATAAACTATTAAGAAAGAAGACAACAAAATAATCTGTTATAGCATATGAAAAATCCAAGTAAGTTCTTCCCCTACTGATTTTCTCCTGAGAGGAACAACTTTGAGGAAAAAAAAAAAGAAAATCACTTCTATGATATTTACTAAAAATGCTTTCTCCACCTTTTAGAACCTGAATCTTTTAGAAAAGTTTAGGACACTGGCAAGGCCAGAAACTAACCTATTCCTCTACGCTTTGCCCCTCTATGGTGTAAAAGTGACAGCAGTGTTTGTATACTGTATATATTTCATTTAGAGTTTATTAGTCTTTCCTTGCTCCCAAAAATACTAAACATAAAACTTTGCATGAGCTCACTCAGTTGGACACCTTGATCTGCACTTACTGCAATCACTGTTAATACAGAATGCAGACAATAGGTCCAATTAAACTTGGATATCTAACTGGTACAAGTCATTACTTATAAAGGATCTCAATCTGAAACTTCATGAAATTCAAAACCTAGCATACTAAAATGACTACGGCTCCATAAGGAGTATCTTCTAATATTCAGAGTTCGCTTATTCATAAAGCTAAGTACTTCGAACATAAGGGAAAATTAAATCTATGGAATTTCAAGAAAAATGTATGAGAATATTTTCTGAGTATACTAAGTCTATAAGCATTAAAATATTAACTCAATGGACCATAACTTTTTTAAACTAATGAAAAGACATTCCTTATGTACCTAAAAATAGCACATTTAACATGCGTCTATATAAATCATAGCATACCATTACTTTCTGAAAGGAGACTGAAATGTAAGAGAGCTTATAATCTTTTCTGACAGGGTGTGAACTTTATATGTACGCCACAGTAAGCTCTTATTAGATGAGCAAATAAAATAAGCACTTGACTAATTCAGAAACACAAAGATAACTGAAGTCTGCCAATATTTAAACATATCTTCACTTCCTGTTTTCATCATGTTTACTTATCTCCTATACTACCTTTACTATTAAGAGTTAAATGTTTGTATCATTTTCTGGTGACACAGTAGTACCATAAGGCAGCAGAGAATACAAGTTAAAAAAAGATCTGGGCTCAAATCCCAGCTCCAGCACTGAAAAGTATGTGTGCCTTTGCACAAATTACTTGATCTCCAAGCCTTGGTTGTCTCTTGCATAAAATGAGGATGATACCTATCTAACATGTAAGGTTGTTGTGAGGCTTAAATAAGATAATGAATTATAAAGAAACACTTAGTTTGCAGGGTATGTTAAAAGTTATTATGACCATAATACAAAATAAACTCAGTTTCCAGTCTAAAAGACAATGTACAAACAGTTCATGAGTATATGAATATAATCAAAACAAGTTTTTACAGTCAATATAGAGCAACTTAAATACTTCACTGAAGAAAGCAGGTAATCTGTGGCTACCAACAATGTGTTTCCAACTAGGAAGCATCTGATTTCAAACTAAACTGTAAAACCAGGAGCAGCTTCCCCATTGGTTAGAAATAAGGTTTCTAAATCCCCTAAGTTATGAACACTGAGATTTTTTTCCCAAAAAAATTTGTGTTTTCAGAAATATAACAAAAAAAACTGGAATAGAGCCACTGTCTCAGAAATACCTGAAAACTCCCTAGTTGCCAAATTATTTTAATACAAATTGATCAAAGCATCCCCAACCAGAACTCAGGTTGTAAGCATTCTGAACCGAAAAGCACAAAATGGTTTAACATTTATACGAAATTTCTATTTTTATACAATCTTGACTGCTTAGGTTTCAAAAAATGTCAATGTCAGGCTGTTAGCACCAACAAGATCATCCCAGTCCAATAAATAGAAAACTGTTAAAGAACGGAAATGAGCACTTAAAATGAGGCAATCAAAGCCACAAAATAGAAACTGCAGATATGAACTCCAAGAAGCAGGCATAAATGTTAGGCTAGTTAGTTAGAAGAGCTGAAAGGGATATCATCTGCCAGAATTAGTGTCTCAATTTAGTGAAAAAAGAAAATCTATCTGTTAAGTCTAAGAATCCTAGCAAAGATCCAAAAATACCTCTACAGCCCCTTTAATATTCTAAAAATATCATGGAGAGAAAAAAAAAGAAATGCATAAATTTCCCCAAAACGATCAAACTGAAGTTAAAGCCTGAGGTACATGCCACATGAGAGGTAAGTTTCTAAAGCTCATAACTCAAAAATCGCATACTGTATAACATGGAGCCTTTGTGATGTTTTGCATCAAGTCAATCTGTAAGACAGTAGTTATAATATTAGTGAAGACAGTGGGTTAAAACATTTGTTGTTCAAACATGGAGCAAATATCATTCATGAGTTAGGTGACTTTAGTTGAACTATGGTCCCATTAGGGTTCATACATTAAAGCAAAAATTGAGGTGGAAAGCCACTCCGTGCCTTACAGGATAAAGAGGCTTAATGTGGCAACCAAAAAATTTTTAGTACATAAGAGAATTTAAATGTTAACTATAATATACAAATCACATGCAAATATAGTTACCACTTATTTTAGTTACCTACTCTCAATATACAGAAAAATGCCACAAATCTAGGAGGCCATTCGTTTCAAATGACCGGAATCCTTAGACCTCACACCAACGATCCACCATGTGCTGGGGATGGTATCGCCTGACTAAATGTAGTCTTGCAGTCCATTCTTGTAAGTATTAGAGAGAAAAAGAGAGAGAGCGTCATCTCTGGAAAGTGTGAAGTCAGGGACTTCCCTACTAGGAAGCATTTCCATAAAGCACCCCAAAATGACTTGATGCAAACACCACACCTAGTGGTATCACTGGAGTAAGCATCATATTACTTCAAATTGCTTTTACCTAGGTTTATTAAGGGATTTTGCTCTCATGCTGAGATCTAATTTGTAATGGATATAAACCAGGAAATGAGATTTGCACTAAAGCCAATGAAGTAGGAATGTACTTATTCTCTAACGTAGCAAAGATAGTCTCACTGTCACAGAGCAGTTATAGGATATGTTGCTTTCCATACTAATGGTTAATACCACTTGGAAATGATTTACCCTTCAAAAATAAATTCAAGGTTTTCCCCTGTAATGCCTCTTACCTGGATTCAAACATGCTTTAATGAGGAATAAGAGAAAGGGTGAAACTATGAATAACCCCGGGCCTTGTATCATTACATTAGAAACACTGCTCTAAATATGAGTCTATGGCTAAAATATTAATTTGAGAGGCTCAGGGAATTCATTATACAAATCTCTTCTTGCAGAGAACTTTAAGTTCAAATTTAATAAAACAAAACAGAACCATTCCACGTCAAAATTGTAAATGAGTATGCATCAGTTTTGCAATACTGAAATATTAAATTAATATAATTTATTGGTAAAACTAGCTTAGCTACCTAAGTATTAAGTGTCTATAATAACCAAATCTTAATTATCCATTTATGGGTGATTTGTTTCCTTTTTTGAGACAGGGTCTCACTCTGTCACCCAGGCTGGAGTGCACTGGCATGACCATAGCTCACTGCAGCCTCGACCTCATGGGTGCAGCCTCGACCTCATGGGTTCAGCCTCTCAAACAGCTGGGACCACAGGTGCATGCCACTCTATTTAGCTAATTTTTTATTTTTATGTTTTTTGGAGACAGGTGTCTGATTATGTTGCTCAGGCTGCTCTCAAATTCCTGGACTCAAGCAATCCTCCCACCTCAGCCTCCCAAAATGCTAGGATTAGAGGCATGAGTGACCACATCTGGACTGTCACCAATTTTTAACGGTTTGTCAACTAAACAGCCAATATAGACTGATAAAATATACTTAACTATTGTAAAATTGTAAAGAATTGTATCTTCACCAAGGAGAGGTCTGGCTTTTACCTGTGAATTCTGGAAGGTAATTTCTAAACTCTTGAAATGTCAAACCTAATAAGAGAGTCCTGGCCAGGAGCAGTGGCTCACACCTGTAATCCCAGCACTTTGGGAGGCCAAGGCGGGCAGATCGCTTGAGGTCAGGATTTTGAGACCAGCCTGGCCAGCATGGTGAAACCTGTCTCTACTAAAAATACAAAAATTAGCCAGGCATGGTGACGGGCACCTGTAATAATCCCAGCTACTCAGGAGGCTGAGGTTTCAGTAAGCTGAGATCATGCCACTGTACTCCAGCCTGGGCAACAGAGCAAGACTATCTCCAAAAAAAAGGGGGGGGGGGCGGCAGTGGGGGGAAAGTGTCCTTGTTCATCTGGGGGCTTTAGGCCACAGCAGAGTCTAATAATGTGGCTTATGGTGGGGGCTTTGAGTCATATGGATCAGCTTGACCTCCAGTGGGGCTGGAGACTAAGGTTAGCCACATGGGCATGCAACCATGGAACCCCAGTAAAAACGCTGGACATAAAAAATAGAGTGAGCTTCCTTGGTTGGCAATAATCCATGAGTATGGTCGCACACCAGTGCCACCAGGAAGGTGTCATTTTTCACAACTCTACAGGGACAGGACAATTCAAAACTCCAACATTTGGAACTTCCCCGAACTCTGCCCTATGCACCTCTACCCTTGGCTCATTCTAATCTGAATCCCTAAACTGCAATAAACTCTAACCATGGGTATGAGAGCTTTCAATGAGTTCTGGTGAGTCCTCCTGGCAAATCATCCAACCTAAGAGTGGTCTTGGCCAGGCACAGTGACTCAAGCCTGTAATCCCAGCACTTCGGGAGGCCCAGGCAGGCGGATCACTTGAGCTCAGGAGTTTGAGACCAGCCTGGCAATATGGTGAAACTGTCTCTAAAAAATATAGAAAAACTAGCCAGGCGAGGTGGTGTGTGCCCATAGATCCAGCAACTCAGGTGGCTGAGGTAGGAGGACTGCCTGAACCTGGGAGGGAGGAGGTCAGGGCGCAGTGAGCCGTGATCATGCCACTGCACTCTCGCCTGGGTGACAGAGAGAGGCCCTGTCTCAAAAAAAAAAAGAGTGGTCTTGGGAACCCCCAAACTTGCAACTAGTATTAGAAGCAAGGGTCATCTTATGGACTGGACTCCCTCTTACTCTGCATTCATATTTAAAACCATTAAATATACTGTAGCTCAAAAAAAGTTGCTTGTTTGTTTTGAAAAAGGGTCTCCCACTGTCGCCCAGGCTAGAGTGCAGTGGCGCAATCCGAGCTCAAGCAAACCTCCCACATCAGCCTCCCAAGTAGCTGAGACCACAGGCTTACTCCACCACGCCCAGCAACTTTTGTATTTTTTTTGTCCCATTCTCTACAACATTCCCAAAATGCTGCCCAAGCTGGTCTCGCACTCCTGAGCTCAAGTGATCCACTCACCTCAGCCTCCCAAAGGGTTGGGATTACAGGCATAAGCCACTGCACCCGGCCATAAATTTTGTTTTTTAATAACATTTCTAGCAAACATGATAAAGATTTGGCTTCAGTGTTGCTTATTTTCCTTCCAAGGAACCTCTAATATTCTCTATGTTCAGAACTCCAATCAAATTAGCCAGAAAGAGCAAACGAAGCCAATAAATCCAGGAGGGCAATAGATCTGATTTTAACCCTTGTTTCACATGCACAATTGTCTTCAGAGAAAAGCTGAAGAAAGTACCCCCTCACCTCCATGCCCCAATGCTCCTTTTCTCTGACTTCAAGTGGGCCTCTGATGCTGCCCACACTTCCCTCATCAGGTTTCTTTCCTTTCCAAAACATCTGTAAAACTTTCTGCACCTTCTCCCTTCTCCCACCACTACCAGTGGATGACCTTATAGATTTCTGCTCCATGAGAAATAGAAGCCATTTGACAGCACCCTCAGCAAGAGCTAACATTTTAGCTCCTAACAAGAGCTAGTGGGCAACTGATCCAAGCAGTTTACATATGTTTATCATGTCATTTCGTGTTCAACACAATCCTATTAGTTATAACTTGATAACTAAGGTTTCATAACTGGCCTAAGGTTGCACAGCTTGTAAAAGGCAGAGTCAGAACTCAGACCCAGTACTGTCTAATGTTTGAGCTCTTCAACACTCCAACGCTGCCTGTCATCTTCCTTCTAATATATCCACAAATTCACCTGCATCTGCACATACAGCTTTTCTTCCCATCATCTTCGCATAATGGAACAAATAAACCTCCTATCCATAGAAATCATCTGGATCTGTCTATTCCCCCCATTTTCCAAGGTATGTCTTGTCTTTTTTTTTTGAGATGTAGTCTCGCTCTGTCGACCAGGCTGAAGTGCAGTGGCGTGATCTCGACTCACCGCCTCCCAGATTCACGCCATTCTCCTGCCTCAGCCTCCCGAGTAGCTGGGACTACAGGCGCCCACCACCATGCCCGGCTAATTTTTTGTATTTTTAGTAGAGACGGGGTTTCACCATGTTAGCCAGGATGGTCTCGATCTCCTGACCTCGTGATCCGCCCACCTTGGCCTCCCCAAAGTGCTGGGATTACAGGCTTGAGCCACTGCACCCGGCCTGTTTCTTTTGTATGTTGCAAAATCTCCCATTTTACTACTGCTTATCACATCGTCAACATATGAGCACTCTCAAAAGTCTTACTTTAAAAAAAACAAAAACAAAAACAAAAAATGGCCGGGCACGGTGGCTCACGCCTGTAATCCCAGCACTTTGGGAGGCGAAGACAGGCAGATCATAAGGTCAGGAGATTGAGACCACCCTGGCCAACATGGTGAAACCCCGTCTCTACTAAAATAGAAAAAATAAAACTACCTGCGCGTGGTGGCACGCACCTGTAGTCCCACCTACTTGGGAGGCTGAGGCAGGGGAATCGTTTGAACCCGGGAGGCAGAGCTTGCAGTGAGCCGAGATCGTGCCACTACACTCCAGCCTGGCGACAGAGCAAGACTCTGTCTCAAAAAAAAACTAAAGGCCGGGTGCAGTGGCTCACGCTGGTAATCCCAGCACTTTGGGAGGCCAAGGTGGGTGGATCATGAGGTCAGGAGTTCAAGACCAGCCTGGCCAATGTAGTGAAACCCCGTCTCTACTAAAAATACCAATATCAGCCAGGCGTGGTGGCGGGCGCCTGCAATCCCAGCTACTCAGGAGGCTGAGGCAGGAGAATCGCTCGAATCCGGGAGGCAGAGGTTGCAGTGAGCCGAGACTGCACCATTGCACTCCAGCCTGGGCGGCAGAGAGACTCCATCTCAAAAATAATAATAATAATAAAATAAATTTAAAAATTAAGAAAATAAGGCCGGGCACGGTGGCTCACGCCTGTAATCCCAGCACTTTGGGAGGGTGAGGCAGGCAGATCATGAGGTCAGGAGTTTGAGACCAGCCTGGGCAACATAGTGAAACCCCATCTCTACTAAAAATACAAAAAATTAGCCAGGTGTGGTGGTGGGCGCCTGTAATCCCAGCTAGTTGGGAGGCTGAGGCAGGAGAACTACTTGAACCCCGGAGGCGGAGGTTGCAGTGAGCCGAGGTCGCGCCATTGCACTCCAGACCAGGCAACAGTGTGAGACTCTGACTCAAAAAAAAAAACAAAAAACAAAAAAACCCTTTAACTGCCTTTCTCCCTCTATCAATCTAATAGCCTGGACTCTTCACAGACAAACCTGTTGAAAAATGTATCTTCCTTGCCTTCATTTACTTTTTAACGCACTTTAATCTGGGTTCCACCTGCAACACACCACTGAAGCTATTCCTACTAAGGTAGGAACTGCCACTCAAGGACTTCTTGGCTCTAAAATCCCATGAGCCTTTTTCAGTTCACCTTACAATTTCTCAGTACCATTCTAAAGTTTATGAGTTTTTTAGTTAACTTTAATTCCAGTGACTCTTTCTACTTTATCCCAATCCAAGTATTCTCCTCCTTCTTCACTTTTTTTTTTTTTTTTTTTTTTTTTTGAGACAGACTCTGACTTTGTTGCCCAGGCTGGAGTATAGTGGTGCAATACTGGCTCACTGCAACCTCCACCTCCAGGTTCAAGCGATTCTCCTGCCTCAGCCTCCCAAGTAGCTGAGATTACAGGCCCCTGCTACCACACCCGGCTAATTTTTGTATTTTTAGTAGAGACGGGGTTTCACCATGTTGGCCAGGCTGGTCTCGAACTCCTGACCTCAAGGGATCCCACCCGCCTCGGCCTCCCAAAGTGCTGGAATTACAGGCGTGAGCCAACGTGCCCGGCCCCTTCTTCACTTCTTTAACCAGCTTAGATTTCATTGTGTGTCATTTCAACAACACTCTTGCCTATACCCTTAACTCTTAAGATTTTCATCACAGCCATCTGGCAAAACCCCAATCCTGGATAAACCCAACGATCCATCAATAAGCACCACACTCCCAGGTCCTCCAGTGTTTACTTCCCATTCTATACATGCACTATCCAGACATTCCCATTATCTTCAAATTCCAAAATATCCTATCCACCTCCCCTCCCCATACACACATTCTACTTCACCAACAAAAAAAAAGGTACCAGCTGGGCACGGTGGCTCACGCCTGTAATCCCTGCACTTTGGGAGGCCAAGGCGGGTGGATCACTTGATGTCAGGAGTTGGACACCAGCCTGGCCAAAATGGTGAAACCTCATCTCTACTAAAAATACAAAAATTAGCTGGGTGTGGTGGTGCGCACCTGTAATCTCAGCTCCACGGGAGACTGAGGCAGGAGAATCGCTTGAACCCAGGAGGTGGAGGTTGCAGCGAGCCAAGACTGCACCACTGCACTCCAGAGCCTGGGCAATAATAAGAGCGAAACTCCATCTCGGGGAGGGGTGGGGAAGATACCATAAAATACCTGCACCCGATTCTAGACCTTACTGAGGATTCCATCTACTTCTACCTTACTGTAACTTTTCAAATACTTTTCCCACTGAACTAAATCCCCCCCATAAACATGCAACACTTTCTAATGTATCCCATTGAAAAATGCAAAAACATATAAAAAGGAAAAACTCCATCAATCCCACATGTCCCTCCATCGAACAATCTGCCTTTACTTGCTGCAGCCAAACTAAAGTTGTCTAGACTCCCCTCTCCCATTTCTTCACTTCTTCTAGCTCCTTAACACACACTGGTCCAAATTCTGCCCCATCACTCTTGGCAAAATCCATTATGACCTCCAGGCTGCTAAATCCAAGATACAGTTCAGGCCTCAATCTGCTCATCCTTTCAGCAGCTTTCACAGGGCTGCTGAGTAGGGTTGAGCAGTTTTGCCCTGCACACAGGTGCCCTGCAGAGGAATGAGGTGGGCTGAATGAAACTCCTTTTTTAAAAATTCTTGGCTGGCATAGTGGCTCACGCCTGTAATCCCAGCACTTTGGGAGGCTGAGGCGGACGGATCACTTGAGGTCAGGAGTTCAAGATCAGCCTGGCCAATATGGCGAAACCCCATCTATTAAAAATACAAAAATTAGCTGGGCGTGGTGGCGGGCACCTGTAATCCCAGCTACTCCGGAGGCTGAGGCAAGAGAATCACTTGAACCCAGGAGGCGGAGGTTGCAGTGAGCCGAGACTGTGCCACTGCACTCCAGCCTGGGCAACAAGAGAGAAACTCCATCTCAAAAAAAAAAAATTGTTTATGCCAACTAATTGTACACCTAAATGCACCAAGTTCATGACTTTCTCCTTGCATTTATTTATTTATTTATTTATTTATTTTTTAATTAGGTCTCACTCTATGTTGCCCACGTTGTAGTGCAGTGTGTGATTACAGCTCACTGCAGCCTTGAACTCCTGGGCTCAAGAGATCCTCTGGTCTTAGCCTCCCCAGTAGCTAGAACTACAGGTATGGAGTGGCTCTCTGCCTTTATTTCTAACCCAAGCTACCTTACAACCTTAAAAAGAGATGCTGCTTCGCCGGGCACAGTTGCTCTCGCCTATACTCCCAGCACTTTGGGAGGCCAAGGCGGGCGGATCATGAGGTCAGGAGTTCGAGACCAGCCTGACCAACATGGTGAAACCCTGCCTCTACTAAAAATACACAAAAACTTAGCCAGGCCTGGTGGTGTGGTGCCTGTAGTCCCAGCTACTCAGGAGGCTGAGGCAGGAGAATCATTTGAACCCGGGAGACAGAGGTTGTAGTGAGCCGGAGGTTGTAGTGAAGCCGGAGGTTGTAGTGAGCCGAGATCACGCCGCTGCATTCCCACCTGGGCGACAGAACAAGACTCCAAAAAAAAAAAAAAAAAAAGAGAGACCCTACTTCAGCTCTCAATTGCATCGCTTATCTTCCCCTTTTGTCAGTTAAGTCCTGGAAGTACCCTAGAAACCTATCATTTGGCCTGGGAAATTGCCAAGATTAAAAGGAAATGTCTTACTCTATGACCTCTTTAACAGATGAAGGACAAAAAAGGCTGAAAATGTACAAAGATATGCATCCCTCCCCCACCAGTTAAATGCCAAACATAGGCCAGGCACAGTTGATCACACCTGTACTCCCAGCTGTTTGGGAGTCCGAGGTAAGCAGATTACCTGAGTTCAGGAGTTCGAGATCAGCCTGGCCAACATGGTGAAACCCAGTCTCTACTAAAAATACAAAAAAATTAGGCAGGCGTGGTGGTGCACATCTGTAATCCCAGCTACTCAGGAGGCTGAGGCAGGAGAATCGCTTACCCAGAGGCGGAGGTTGCAGTGAGCTGAGAGCTCGCCACTGCACTCCGGCCTGGAGAACAGAGTGAGACTCGGTCTCCAAAAAAAAAAAAAAAAAGGCCAAACATAGCACATTCCAACCAAGATTAAGAATCACTAAGAGTTACATTGCACCACTGCACACCAGCCTAGGTGACAGAGCGAGACTCCGTTTAAAAAAAAAAAAAAAAGAGTTACACACTGCAGAAATCTAAAGAATCTCAAAAGTAGACTGGGACTTTATAATCAAGGTAAAGGTGAAGTCATGTTTACCAATATAAGAAATGAATGGGCCAGGCGCAGTGGCTCACACCCGTAATCCCAGCACTTTGGGAGGCCGAGGCGGGAGGATCACAAGGTCAGGAGATCGAGACCATCCTGGCTAACACAGTGAAACCCCGTCTCTACTAAAACTACAAAAAAATTAGCCGGGCGTGGTGGCAGGCACCTGAAGTCCCAGCTACTCGGGAGGCTGAGGCAGGAGAATGGCGTGAGCGCGGGAGGTGGAGCATGCAGTGAGCTGAGATCGCGCCACTGCACTCCAACCTGGGTGACACAGCGAGACTCCGCCTCAAAAAAAAAAAAAAAAGAAATGTATGCAACCATTTTTTTCAACTCCTGAAAATAGTCAGATAATAACTGTAGTTATTCTGATAAAGTTCCTTTAGCCAACAGGTTGAAGCACATTCCCAGCGAATAACATGTTTATAAGATTTTCTAACAATTGCATATGTTAAATCTTCTCTTTAAAAATAATCCTGGCCAGGCGCGGTGGCTCACACCTGTAATCCCAGCACTTTAGGAGGCCGACGCAGGTGGATCACTTCAGGTCAAGAGTTCAAGATCAGCCTGACCAACATGGAGAAACCCTGTCTCTACTAAAACTACAAAATTAGCCAGGTGTGGTGGTGCATGCCTGCAATCCCAGCTACTCGGGAGGCTGAGGCAGGAGAATCACTTGAACCTGGGAGGTGGAGGTTGTGGTGAGCCGAGATGGCGCCATTGCACTCCAGCCTGGGCAACAAGAGCGAAACTTCATCTCAAAAACAGGAAAAAAATAAAATAAAATAAATAAAAATAAAAATAATCCTAGGCCAAGCTGGCTGCAGTAGCTCACACCTGTAATCCCAGCTACTCAAGAGGCTGAAACAGGAGGATCACTTGAGCCCAGGAGTTTGAGACCAGCCTGGGCAACACAGTCAGACTGTGTCTCTAAAGAAAAAAATCGTCATCATCCTAGGCCAGTCCAGACAACATAGCAAGACCTCCAACTCTAAAAGAAAATGAAATAAAAAATTTTAAAAGTCAATTTAATTAGAGGTCTCAAGTAATTCCAGAAGATATGGTCTCACAAATCAAATACTGAAAAAGGAAGACGCCTTTCAAGATAATCACACTATTATTTTAACTGCAGGAAAATGTATTAAATGAAGACAGCTTTTGCTAGCTGCTGAAACATACTAGTAAGAACAGGAAACGATGCTCCCACCATGCTCAGCAGTAGCCAGAAATTTACTGAGGTCTTTGTATTTAGCCTTAAGTATAAGACACCTAGGAAACTTCAAAATCATCACTTAAGCCACTTTAAACCCACAGTCTATACAAACCCTATCTTTTTCTTTTGTTACATTTTATACTAAACACACTTTAATCAGATTGACATAAGTGATTTAAAAGAAGTAACTTTTATAATTCCCTTTTACAAGAAAAAAAGAAACAATGTTTCCAGATACTAAGTTCCTTAAGAGACAGCAATCATTTATTATAGATTTACAGTACTACAATTTCAAATAGTACCAGAATCTTTTTTTTTTTTTCTTTGAGACAGTGGCACAATCACAGCTCACAGAAGCCTCGACCTCCTGGGCTAAAGCAATCCTCCCACCTCAGCCTCCCAAGTAGGTGGGACTAGAAACTCATGACACCATGTCCAGTTATTTTTTTTTTTTTTTTTTGAGACAGAGTCTTGCTCTGTCACCCAGGCTGGAGTGCAGTGGTGTGATCTTGGCTCACTGCAACCTCTGCCTCCTGGGTTCAAGCAATTCTCCTGCCTCAGCCCCCAAATAGCTGGGATTACAGGCATGCACTACCATGCCCAGCTAATTTTTGTATTTTCAGTAGAGACGGAGTTTCACCAGGTTGGTCAGGCTGGTCTCGAATTCCTGATCTCGGTGATCTGACAGCCTCAGCCTCCCAAAGTGCTGGGATTACAGGTGTAAGTCACCATGCCCAGCCAATTTTTTTATTTTTTGTAGAAACGAGGTCTCACTATGTTACCCAGGCTGGTCTCCAACTCCTGGGCTCAAGTGATCCACCCACCTCCCTGTCTTGGTCTCCCAAAGCACCACCATGCCTGGCCCAAAATCTTGTAATTGCTTAATACTGTATATACATTCTTATAATGATATGATATTTCCCATCTTTGTTTAGAAGATGCGTGTGGTTCTTCTCCACCCCCTCAAGTACTTAAAACTATCACATTGGCAGAGTACAACTAAATGTTTCTGGCATCCTCCCTCCTCCCATTAAAAAAAAAATTAAAATAAAAATATGTATATACACACCCATACACACTACACCAGAGGGAAAAAAGCAACTCATCGTTCAACTGGTGTTCTTATAAGAATCAGTTCTTAAATTCCAACTGTGTAGTAAAAGGTAAGCAAGCTATAAGCTACCTTTTAACCTACCCTTTCTCTATATACATTCCATTTACATTGTACTTGCCCTCCAATCTATGCAAACAGTCACAAAGATTAGATTATGTTTGCTGGCTTATCATTTCAACTAGTAACAAATTCTTAAGGTGTGAATACAAGATATGGAGAAAAAATGATGATGCAGAGCTATGCTGAAATTTCTTATCGTTCAACTTGAAATAGGTTTACAGCCTAATGGGACTATACTAGAAAGTGTAGAAAGAGGGCAGGCACGGTGGCTCACACCTGTAATCCCAGCACTTTGGGAGACAGAGGTGAATGGATCACAAGGTCAGGAGTTCAAGACCAGCCTGGCCAACAAGGTGAAACCCCGCCTCTACTAAAAATACAAAAAAAAAATTAGCTGGGTGCGGTGGCACATGCCTGTAATCCCATCTACTCAGGAGGCTGAGGCAGGATAATCGCTTGAACCCGGGTGGCGGAGGTTGCAGTGAGCTGAGATCGCACCATTGCACTCCAGCCTGGGGGACAGAGCGAGACTCCGTCTCAAAAAAAAAAAAAAAAAGGAAAAAAGAAAAAAAGAAAATGTAGAAAGAGAGCCACTCCACTGCAGAGCAATTAATTCTATCTCCACTAATATTTTTCTAAATATTCACTGGAACAGTTTTAAAAATAATTTCCTGAACTTTAACCCTCCCAACGTCTTCAAAAGGCAAAAATTACCCCCTCAGAGGGACACAGCTGGTAGTGCCAATACAGAAGATCTTTGTCTTCCCATTCTTAGTCCATAGCTTTTTTCATGACACCAGCCTCTCCTAAGATAAATATCTGTGAAGGATCAACTTTTTAAAATACACACATTCTAGCTGGGCACGGTGGCTCACATCTGTAATCCCAGAACTTTGGGAGGCTGAGGCGGACGTATCACCTGAGGTCAGGAGTTTGAGACCAGCCTGGTCAACACGGTGAAACCCGTCTCTACTAAAAATACAAAAATTAGCCAGGCGTGGTGGCATGCACCTGTAATCCCAGCTACATGGGAGGCTGAGGCAGGAGAATCGCTTGAACCCGGGAGGTGGAGATTGCAGTGAGCCAAGATGGTGCCAACTGCACTCCAGCCTGGGCAACAGAGCAAGACGCCGTCTCAAAAAAAAAAAAAAAAAATACATTCTTAAAAATAAAGACACTTAGAGAGGAATCTAAAACACACTGGTTCTATTTTTATGCTAAGACAGCAGGTGGATTTTTTTTTTTTTTTGGAAAAAGAAAAGGGAACAAATTTCACATAGGAGAAGAGTTTTTGAAATCTTTGCACAACAGGGTGGCCATAGTAAATAATGATGTATTTATTTGCAAAGAGAAGACACAGATAACAATAGCAATAATAATAATGTATTTCAAACAATTAAGAGTAAATTTCAAATGCCTCACCACAAAATATAAGTAAGCAAAGTAAGGCGATAGTATGTTAATTAGCATGATTTAATCATACTACATTACACACATATATATAAACATTACGTTGTACCCTATGTGTACAATTATGATTTCTGAATTAATATTAGAGTGGGGAGAACAATGATTAATTTTTACTTCTTCAGTAAGATTACAATGAAAATGTAGAGAGCACTAGCATTATAGTAACTATACGATAGGCCACTTTAAATAAAAGGCATCTTTTACAAAATTTTTAGTCAATAAATTGATTACCACATACTTACGACCTATTTGCTATTAAGTGTAATTTATAATTCTAGTATTTTCAAAAAAGGAACATATTAAAATCCTATCAATATTTCAAATAATGACAGAATTAATCATTTTTAATAGAATCCTTACTCAGGTCCTTCAAAAACAATATAAACTATGACTTAAGGTAGATTCCTTTAAATCTGACTAATGAATAAATGTTAAATCTCAAATTTCATAGTCCCAGTGCTGGAAAACCTATATTTTTATTTTTCTTCACGTTTATACAAAGAACGTACAGACAGGCAAGAAATGTAATCAACCTTTTTAGGAAAGAATCCCAGGATTTGCTTTCTTTTCAATTAAATATATATGAATTCTGGGGGATACTGGTGATCATCTCTGGATCTTTTTACTCATCTAATGAGAAAAGAGTCTCATTATACAAAGAGGATAGTCAAAAAGCCTAATGATTTCCTCACATAAGTAGATTTTTCTGTCTGGCAAATCTGAAGAAGTCAACATAGAATCTGTCATTAATGCATTGAATCTGAACTTCCACTATTCAAATCAAATTAGGACCTGGAAATAAAGTGTTAACACTTCAGACAAGAAATTCCAGGGTTTGTATCATCAGGAATATAAACCAGGGACACTCTCAAGAGGCTGAAGAGCAAGAGTCATGCACTGCTTCAGAGAATTAAATACTCCAAGATGAAAGTTAAAATTTCAAACACACATATCACACATACACATCTTTTAACATCAGGTTGAAATGCTAAAGGGAACAGAGTAAAGGTATGTTTTCAATTAATAAATTTAAATGAGAGAAAACTTTAAATTCAAAGAGCTTCAGTAAAAAAAAAAAAAATATTAGCAATGTTATCAAATGTGGACGAAAAGCTAATATATGTCACTATGTAATCCAAGACATATTCATTAGTGGCGCCTTTTTTCTGGGCTATTAATATATTAGATGCCATCCAAAAACAAATATCTAGTAAATATTAAGTTTAACGACTTCTTAAAAACCTGTAGGTTCCCAAAGACATATACATGTATGTGCAGTGAGGCCACTGCTAAGCCTCTAACAATATTCTTGTAGACTACTAAAGTTCTCTATGATGATAAAAAGCGTGATAAAAAAAATCTAGTGTCTCCCCTTAATAAACAAAGAACGAGCATAACTTAGGAAGTTCGGTAACAAAAACAATCTATAATTCTGGTACCAGAAATCCCTCTGAGGCTGGGCGAGGTGGCTTACACCTGTAATCCCAGCACTTTGGGAAGCCAAGGCAGGGGGGATCACCTGAGGTCCGAAGATGAAGAACATCCTGGCTAACAGGGTGAAACCCTGTCTCTACTAAAAATACAAAAAATTAGCCAGGCGAGTGGCACATGCCTGTAATCCCAGCTACTCAGGAGGCCAAGGCAGGAGAATCACTTGAACCCAGGAGGTAGAGGTTGCGTGAGCCTAGATCGTGCCCTTGCACTCCAGCCTGGGCAACAAGAGCAAAACTCCATCTCAAAAAAAAAAAAAAAAAGCAACAAGTCCCTCTGAAAAAAGTTTTAAATAATAAACAAAAAAGTCTATAACAGGTTTTTAAATAACTATAAAGTCCTACACATATTATATGAATGCCAACATAATAATATGAATATGAATATCAACAGGGTATCCAAATCCTTTTTTGAAAAGGTCTGAAAATTAATATGAAAGAAGTAATTCAGTATGTTCAGAAATCTGTTGATTCTAGGCCAGGTATGGTAGCTCACACCTGTTATCCCAGCACTTTGGGATTTACAAAATGGCATTTCCTCCTCACCTAAGGTCAGGAGTTCAAGACCAGCCTGGCCAAGATGGTGAAACCCCATCTCTACTAAAAACTACAAAAATTAGCCAGGCGTGGTGGCAGTCGCCTGTAATCCCAGCTACTCAGGAGGCTGAGGTAGGAGAATCACTTGAACCCGGGCGGCAGAGTTTGCAGTGAGCCAAGATCTCACCACTGCACTCCAGCCTGGGTGACAAATAAAATAAAATAAAGAAATCTGTTGATTCTGGAATATTTGCGTTTCATTCCCCAATCAGCAGGCATGCAATTGGCAAGAAGTGTGTTTCCCCAGGCATTCTAATGGGATGCCAGAAGGCTCAACCCAGTGCTTAAATTTTTAGTGATTACATTGCTTAAATAATGTAGACAGATACAATAGACTCAAAATAAATCAATGTGTAAAAAGACTTTAAATATGTGCACAAGGTATTTTTCAAGATGGATAAAACATATGAATCTTAAATTACCATATTCTTTTATTTTTTATTTTTTCTGAGACAGAGGTTTTCCTCTTGCTGCCCAGGCTGGAGTGCAACAGCATCATCTCCACTCACTGCAACCTCCGCCTCCCAAGTTCAAGCAATTCTCCTGCCTCAGCCTCCTGAATAGCTGGGACTACAGGCGTGTGCCACCATGCCCAGCTAATTTTTGTATATTTTTTAGTCGAGATGGGGTTTCACCATGTTGGCCAGGATGGTCTTGATCCCTTGACCTCATGATCCGCCCACCTCGGCCTCCCAAAGTGCTGAGATTACAGGTATGAGCCACTGCGCGTGGCCAAATTACCGTATTCTTTCTTCTGTAGAAAGATCTGGCCACTCCAGTCCATTACGATACTGTCCTTTTGAGCCTGCTCAATCAGTTTGTTTAAGCCCTGCCTCAGGCCAACAAGGCTGCCATAAGAGGAATGCTTTCCCCAAAAAAACATCCTACAAGAACAGTGTTGCAATCTCTGGAGTTAACACTTAATATAAAAACACAAACTTGCAGGATCTCATTTTCATGTATTTACTTGAGGAAAGACACAAATATAGAGTGGATGCTATTTATTGATGCACTTAGTAGGAAAGAAGGGGATAGCAAAAGTAACAATTTTACCAGATCCATGCACATATGCAGGTTGTATTTTACTGGAGATGGCACACATAAAAATTCCAGATAGTGGTAAGGATATGAAAAAAAGTGGCAGGAATGGGTGTGATAGTGAAAAAGTCACTGCATATCTGTACCTTGACTGAGGTCATGGTTACACAGGTGTATACATTTGTCAAAATTTACTGAATTTAAGACCTATACAGGCCGGGCGTGGTGGCTCACGCCTGTAATCCCAGCACTTTGGGAGGCCGAGGCGGATGGGTCACCTGAGGTCAGGAGTTCCAGACCAGCCTGGCCAACATGGTGAAACCCCATCTCTACTAAAAGTGCAAAAACTAGCCAGGCGTGGTGGCAGGCATCTGTAATCACAGCTACTTGGGGCGCTGAGGCAAGAGAATCACTTGAACCCGGGAGGCGGAGGTTGCGGTGAGTCGTGATCGCACCATTGCACTCCAGTCTGGGGGATAAGAGCGAGACTTCATCTCAAAAGAAAAAAAGAAAAAAAGAAAAAACACCACCACCTATACATACATAAATTTTATCTCAAAGAAGCACCACAATAGAATTCAAAAACGAATTCAATTTAAAAAGGAAAAGTACACTCGATTAATACAAGATGGAAAAGAATAACATTATAAAACCAAGTATCTCTGCATGAGCGAACTCCACAAGAATTTAGTAAGTTATACTCTACATTAAAAAAAAAACAAAAAACAAAAACTCAGAATAAGGGAGCATTTCCTATACATATGAAACCACAAAATTTCTGTACTCTTTACTGTTAGGCCTCTATACAAGGGGAAGTATGTTTCATTTTATAGTTCCAAAAATAAAATGGGCTCTGAAAAACTTCAAGATAGTCAAAGACAGGTAACCAAAATGATGACAATGTGAAAAGATTAACAAACAACAGCTCCTCTAAATCATTAAGGGTGGTCCAATGAAAGGAGCCTCAGGGATTTGTTTTAGGCGATTAGGATAAGGAACAAGAGCCAGGTAACAAAGGCAGAAAATCCTAAAGAATTTAACAATTCAATGTTCCCAACAGACACCATGGACCACACTCCATTTTATATGACACTTAAATGACATTCCATACATGTGTCTAACATGAAGATTGAGCAGATAAAAGGTATCACTTTAGTAATCATCCTCAATCAACACCAGATAACAAATGAGGGGCTTTTGCTTATGGAAATTCTCACATATTGAGCTGAACACTTTTACCTTAATTAATTAATTAATTTATTTATTTATTATTATTTTTTTTTTTTTTTTGAGACGGAGTCTCGCTCTGTCGCCCAGGCTGGAGTGCAGTGGCGGGATCTCGGCTCACTGCAAGCTCCGCCTCCCGGGTTCACGCCATTCTCCTGCCTCAGCCTCCCAAGTAGCTGGGACGACAGGCGCCCGCCACTACGCCCGGCTAATTTTTTTGTATTTTTAGTAGAGACGGGGTTTCACCGTTTTAGCCGGGATGGTCTCGATCTCCTGACCTCGTGATCCGCCCGCCTCGGCCTCCCAAAGTGCTGGGATTACAGGCGTGAGCCACCGCGCCCGGCCAATTAATTTATTTTTTGAGACAGAGTTTCGCTCCTGCTGCCCAGGCTGGAGTGCAATGGCTCGATCTCGGCTCACCACAACCTCCGTCTCCCGGATTCACGTGATTCTCCTGCCTCAGCCTCCCAAGTAGCTGGGATTACAGGCATATGCCACCACGCCCGGCTAATTTTTGTATTTTTAGTAGACACGGGGTTTCTCCACGTTGGTCAGGCTGGTCTCTCCCAACCTCAGGTGATCCACCCACCTTGGCCTCCCAAAGTGCTGGGATTACAGGTGTGAGCCACCATACACAGCCTTATCTTAATTTAAATTGTTAAATATAAACATAATACTCAGGTCCTTAGCAGCCCCTTCTCTATATTGTTCCAATTAACTGCCTCCCACTGCGATCTCTCCTGCACGTGTGTGCACGCACTCTAACACACACACTCCTTTTTTTTTTTTTAGACGGAGTCTTGCTCTTGTTGCCCAGGCTGGAGTGCAACGGCGCAATCTCAGCTCACCACAACCTCGGCCTCCGAGGTTCCAGCAATTCTCCTGCCTCAGCCTCCCGAGTAGCTGGGAATACAGGCATGCACCACCACACTCGGCTAATTTTGTATTTTTAGTAGAGACGGGGTTTCTCCATGTTGGTCAGGCTAGTCTCGAACTCCCGACCTCAGGAGATCCACCCACCTCAGCCTCCCAAACTGCTGGGATTACAGGCATGAGCCACCACGGCCAGCCCACACACTTTTTCAAGAAGCAACTAGATTTAATCTTCCTAAATTGTGCCACTTTCCGGCAGGTAAAATTTCAATGATTCCCTAAAGTCACTCCAAATACACTTAAACTGGGCCAGGGTGGTGGCTCACGCCTGTAATCCCAGCACTTTGGGAGGCCGAGATGGGTGGATCACCTGAGGTCATGAGTTCAAGACAAGCCTGACCAACATGGTGAAACCCCGTCTCTAGTAAATACAAAAAATTAGCCAGGTGTGGTGGTGCGTGCCTGTAATCCCTAGAGCTACTTGGGAGGCTGAGGAAGGAGAACTGCTTGAACCCGGGAGGCGGAGGTTGCAGTGAGCCAAAATGGCACCATTGTGCTCCAGCCTGGGCAACAAGAGCAAAAACTCTGTCTCCAAAAACAAACAAACAAACAAACAAACAAAAAAACACCTGAACTATGATTAAAGGTCTACAATAGGGTCCCCAACCCAGTGCTTCAGCTTCACCTCTTATTTGTATTACTCCTCATAAGTACCCAATTCCTCTACACACTGACAATTTGCACCTGGCCTTATCCTAATTTTCTTCTATTTTGGGGGGGATTCTCCCCCAAATTCACAGTGAAAATTGTACAGACCAATTCCATCACCCCATTTCCCTCCTCTAACCCTCCAGGTTTTTGTTTTTGTTTTTGAGACAGTCTCACTCTGTCACCCAAATTGGAGTGCAATGGCATGATCTTGGCTCACTGCAACCTCCACCTCCTGGGTTCAAGCGATTCTCCTGCCTCAGTCTCCCAAGTAGCTGGGATTACAGGCGCCCACCACTGCATCCAGCTAATTTTTGTATTTTTAGTAGAGACGGGGTTTCACCATGTTGGCCTGTAACCCCAGCACTTTGGGAGGTCAAGGCGGGCAGATCACCTGAGGTTAGGAGTTTAAGACCAGACTGGCCAACCTGGCGAAACCCTGTCAATCATGCCACTGCACTCCAGCCTAAGTGACAGAGCAAGACTGTCTCAAAAAAAAAAGAAAGAAAGGAAGGAAGGAAGGTATACTGAGAATTACATCACAAAATCCACATGCTCTCCCCTTTACAAAGCCCTTTACTTTTCTCCCATAATAACTTATAGCCTCCTTGAAGACAGTGGTTTTACAAGTCATAAAAATCCTGGCCATGGCCCAGTGCAGTAGCTTGTGCCTGTAATCCCAGCACTTTGGGAGGCCAAGACAGGCAGATCACTTGAGGTCAGAAGTTCGAGACCAGCCTGGTCGACATGGTGAAACCCCGTCTCTACTAAAAATACAAAAATTACCCAGGAGTAGTGGGCACATGCCTGTAATCCCAGCTACTCGGGAGGCTGAGGCAGGAGAATCGCTTGAACCCAGGAGGCCGAGGTTGCAGTGAGCCAAGATTGCACCAGTGCATTTCAGCCTGGGCAACAAAGCGAGACCCCATCTCAAAAAAAAAAAATTTATGGCCGGGCGCAGTGGCTCATGCCTGTAATCCCAGCACTTTGGGAGGCCGAGGCGGGCAGATCACGAGGTCAGGAGATCAAGACCATCCTGGCTAATATGGTGAAACCCCATCTCTACTAAAAATACAAAAAATTAGCCAGGCGTGGTGGCGGGCACCTGCAATCCCAGCTACTCGGGAGGCTGAGGCAGGAGAATGGCGTGAACCCAGGAGGTGGAGCTGGCAGTGAGCCGAGATTGCACCACTGCACTCTAGCCTGGGCGACAGAGCGACACTCCATCTCAAAAAAAAAAAAAAAAAAAAATTTATATATATATACATACACACACACACACACACACACACACACACACACACATCTCCCTAGAAGCATCAATATTTACTGAATTAGAGTATTTCATTACCTGTTATAAAAAACAAACAAAAAAACCCTCCATTATACTAATTTATAAAGGAATCAAAACAAAATGGGTTGGGGGGTCCAGGCACGGTGTCTCACTCCTGTAATCCCAGCACTTTGAGAAGCCAAGGTGGGAACTTGAGGTCAGGAGTTCGAGACCAGCCTGGCCAACATGGCGAAACCCTGTCTCTAATACAAAAATTAGCCGGGCTTGGTGACATGCGCCTGTAGTCCCAGCTACTCGGGAGGCAGAGGCACATGAATCACTTGAACCCAGGAGGTGGAGGTTGTACTGAGCCAAGATCGTGCCACTGCACTCCAGCCTGGGAGACAGAGTGAAACTATGTCTTTAAAAAAAAGGCGGGGTGCAGTGGCACACACCTGTAATCCCAGCACTTTAGGAGGCCGAGGCAGGTGGATCACCTGAGGTCAGGAGTTCATGACCAGCCTAACACGGTGAAACCCCGTCTCTACTAAATATAAAAAAAATTAGCCAGGTGTGGTGGCACATGCCTGTAATCTGATCTACTTGGGAGGCTGAGACAGGAAAACAGCTTGTACCTGGGAGGCGGAGGATGCAGTGAGCCAAGATTGCACCATTGCACTCCAGCCTGGACAACAAGAGTAAAACTCCGTCTCAAAAAAAAAAAAAAAAAAAAAAAAAGTTGGAGTGAGGGGAAGGTTCAACTTAAAGATACAATTACTAAGTGTTTCATAAGGAATGACTTATTTCATAATGGAGTAGGAGTTTGACACCAGCATGGGCAACATGGGGAGGCCCCACGTCTACAAAAAAATAAAAATAAAAAATTAGCGTGCCAAGCATGGTGGGTCACACCTGTAATCCTGGCTCTTTAGGAGGCCAAGGAGGAAGGATCACTTGAGCCTAGGTATTCAAGACCAGCCCAGGCAGCATGGCAAAACCCCGTCTCTACAGAAAACAAAAAAAAGTAGCTGGGGGTGGTGACATGCACCTGTGGTCCCAGCTATTGGGAGGGTGAGGTAGGAGGACTTATTGAGCCTGGGAGGTGGAGGCTGCAGTGAGCTGAGATGGTTCCACTGCACTCCAACCTGGGCAATGAAGTGAGACTCTGTTTCAGAAAAAGAGAGAGGCGGCCAGGCGTGGTGGCTCACGCCTGGAATCCCAGCACTTTGGGAGGCCGAAGCGGGTGGATCACCTGAGGTCAGCAGTTCAAGACCAGCCTGGCCAACATGGTGAAATCCTATCTCCACTAAAAACACAAAAATTAGCCGGGCATAGTGGCATGCACCTGTATTCCCAGCTACTTGGGAGGCTGAGACAGGAGAATCACTTGAACCAGGAGGTGGAGGTTGCAAGTGAGCTGAGATTGTGCCACTATACTCCAGCCTGGGCGACAAAGTAAAACTCTGTCTCAAAAAAAAAAAGAGAGAGAGAGAGAGGAAAAATAAATAAATTAGTCAGGTGTGGTGGTATGCACCTGTGGTCCCAGCTACTCAGGAGGCTAAGGCGGGAGGATTCCCAGAGCCCAGGAAGTCAAGGCTGCAGTGAGCAGTGACTGCACCACTGCACTCCAGCCTGGGCAACAGAGCAAGAGCATATCTCAAAAAAGAGGAAAGAAAAGAAAAGAAAAACATAAAAACAAACGTTCCTTTAGTTTTAATTTTTATTTTTTAGTTTATTATGGCTGTTTTACTCTCCTCCAAGTAAAACTGCCATACACAATTTGCTGAAATTTTCCTTAGTGTACTTTGAAATCTGTGGAACAGAACTGGCAATCGCTAAATTCTATTTGACTCTAGTTCCATTTAAAATTAGACTGGTGTGAAGTAACTGCGGTTTTTGCCAAAACTGCAATTACTTTTGCACCCACCTAATACGTATAAAATATGTAACTTCACTTAATTTTATCCTTTATGTATTTCCCTATATTATGTACCTATGGACATCAAACTTACTACAGACTGATAAAAGGCTGAATAGACAACTCTGGTTTCAAAAATCCAGCTTCTCACAACATCAGACATACTAGTATACAGCTTTTCTAATTTCACAACATATTTCCATTTTTTGGTCTTTCACAATAGAGAAGATGTGTATACTTTTGAATACTCTGCTCTGTCTACAATCTACCAAAATTGGAAGGTGTTTTTATTATACAGTTTCATCCTTTTAGAAATACAGAAAGATCCTAAGTTTGGGCACAGTAAGACACTCAATACAGATCTACTACTAAACAAGTAAGACCAATTACACAATTAATGTCCTAATACCCCGAGTGGAAAAGTAAAATCTACTTGTTTTCTGTTGACTTGAATGCCTTCTCTTTTGTTGAATTAATCAATCTATTTGACTCCAATGTCAAATTAATCAATGTCACTTTAGAATATTAAAATGTACAATTATGAATTACACATTTAATTTTAAAACACATCATTCTGATCTCTGTCTTGATTGATACTAGAAGATTATCTTCCAAACTAAGGTGGAAAAAATGACAGACTTTAGCTATTGGCAATGATAGGTCATTTTTTTAGGGAAGAGGAGTAAAGAGGGCAACCTCCATAGGTCAGATATCCCTTTGTTCTAAGAAGCCACCACCCCTGTTTCTTCATATGAAAAAACCCAGAGGCATCCAGTGGTTCCCAAAACCTTCTCAACTTTATGCCTGAGGAACCCACAGATTTCAAATAATACAACTGACCTAAGACCACTCATTTGTTTAACCATTCTTTTTTTAATTTTTTATTTTTATTTTTTTGAGAAGGAGTCTTGCTCTGTTGCCCAGGCTGGAGTGCAGTGGTGTGATGTCGCTCACTACAACCTCCGCCTCTCAGGTTCAAGTGATTCTCCTGCCTCAGCCTCCCGAGTAACTGGGATTACAGGCATGCACCACCACATCCCGCTAATTTATTTATTTATTTTTTTTAGTAGAGACGGGGTTTCACCATGTCGGTTGGCCAGGCTGGTCTTGAACTCGTGACCTCAGGTGATCCACCCACCTCAGCCTCCCAAAGTGCTGGGATTACAGGCGTGAGCCACTGCCCCCGGCCTATTAACCATTCTTAAATGTCGGGTGCGGTGGCTCACACCTGTAATCTCAACACTTTGGGAGGCTGAAGGTGGGCAGATTGCTTGAGTTCAGGGGTTCAAGACCAGCCTGGGCAACGTGGTGAAAACCCCATCTCTACAAAAAATACAAAAATGAGCCAGGCTGTTGGCAAGCGCCTGTAGCCCCAGCTACTTGTGGATGCTGAGGCAGGAGGCTTGAGCCTGGGAGGTCGAGACTGCAGTAAGCCAAGTATCTGTGCCGCTGCACTCCAGCCTGGGTGACACAGCAAGACCCTGTCTCAAAAAAATTGACAGAAGAGTTGACTGAGAGCACAGTGAATGAAAAGGAAGACTATAAGCCAGTGCCATATAAATGCTTACTGTTGGAGGTATGCTTCTATGGAACACGGGTTTGCTCTCTTGCCATATGACATTCACGTATTCAGCCACCTGGAACACTTCTTGTCAGTATGTGTGAAGTATCATGTGTGGTCAAAATTGACTCAACAGTCATTTTCCACACCAACTGGCAAACTAACACTAAAAGAAATCAACAAGTATTGCTTTTTCAAAAGCCTAAATCGGCTGAGTGCGGTGACTTACACCTGTAATCCCAGCACTTTGGGAGGCCAAAGCAGGCGGATCACCTGAGTCAGGAGTCCAAGAACAGGCCGGCCAACATGGTGGAATCCCGTCTCTACTAAAAATACAAAAATTAGCTGGACGCCTGTAATCCCAGCTACTCAGGAGGCTGAGGCAGGAGAATTTTTCCCTGTAACCAGGAGGCAGAGGCTGCAGTGAGTCGAGATTACACCACTGCACTCCAGCCTGGGAGACAGAGCAAGACTCCATCTCAGGAAGACAAAAAAAAAAAAAGCCTACATCAAGGAAAACAGAACCAAAACACCAGGGACAAAATGGTACATAAGAGGCAAAAAAATTTTCACCAAAATTATTCAGATGAACCATAATAAATGTGCCTGCATCTGAAGATGTTCTAAACCTTCATTTAAGTAAGAAGCAAGATCAAGATCCATTCCGTCAGTTACCTGGAGTCTGTCATCTTTCGGAATAGGGGACGGAATCACCTCAAATTTAACTAATAAAAATTTATGACTTGGCAAACACCCCAGGTATTTTTATTGACTAACAAATCAGCTATGACAATCTTAGCAACAAATCAAGTTATGCTATGGGGTATGTCCACACTTCCCTGTTCCCTCTACAACAGGAGAAAATCAAATCTTTCCAACATCCTAACAAACTGTTACTCCCTGTAACCAAATGTATCACAGTATCGTCTACCAAGGCGTTACATCCTGAAACTTTCCTACAAAAAGCACAGCTTCAAAGAAACCTTGCAAGCTTTCTTGTAAGCTCCTCCCTTCCCACATCGCCCCTCCCCAGAGCCGAGAAATAAAGCACTTGAAAGAAACAACATGGATAATATTTATTAATAGCTCATGTACATATTCCATAACTACATAAGCCATTTGGCTTCATACCTGTCAGCAATGAAGTCAGCTGGCCCTAGCACGTGGCTGCGACTCTTCTCTATTTATTTAGAACTATAAACTACAATTTACACTTTACAAAAGCTGTAGGACTATTTGGGAAGGCACTTTATTCTTCTAAAAGGTTACTAAATTCTCTTATATACTTATACTGATCACAATACTGAAAAATAATAGAAAATCCATTGTCATTCATTTACCACCTGATTTGTTAGATGCCAGATAATCAAATTTCACACATTTCAATAAAAAGGCAAAACTAAGCATGTCAATCATAGGAAGAAAAATACTTAACTAATTTTATTTAAAGCACTCACAAACTCTTAAGTGGTACAAGACAAGCCAACGCTGTTTATCGAACAATATTTTTTTTTACGACTAAACATCTCAATTCTAGACTCAGGCACTAATTATTAAAGTCATCTAGTTATATACACCAATTCTCAACAGACACAGTTTTTTTTGGAAAGGCATATTAAACAGACTAAGATGTGTACTACCCATTAGCCAAAGATAATTTTATTGATTTTTCTAATGAGTCTTCAAATGTTACATTCTAACATCTTAGCAAATTATTTCCAAATACTGCTGGAATTACATGTAACTATCAGGAAACAAAAGGGCTTCTCAACAACTTGTGCGTTCTACATTATCTGGCCAGTTTCCGGACAATTATAATACAATTGTGCTCCAAAGCAGGAGAGTTCCATGAATCAATTGCCCCTAAAATATATTTCTGTATATTTAAGGAGTTCTAAGCATTGGGTTAAATTCCAAACAGACTCTGAATACAAGCATTTATTTAGTAAGAGAGGTTAGAATAAATCAATCCTAAATTAGGCACAGCTACCCTCCCCCCATTGATCAAAAAGATAGGAAATTACATTTATTTAAAAAGTTAATGTTCCTAATATATTCAAATCTAACTAAGCCCCAAAACGGTCTGAGATCAAATCCTCCATAAAAGAGGAAATTCTCTAGACTTCTAAGTGGGTGCCCAAAGAGTTCACTCAAGTGTCCAGGTATGAATTACGATTCACCAGAGTAACCGGCCTTGCACTTAGGGAAAACTTCCATCGCCCAAGACCAGAGTGGGTCGATCCCATCAACAGTCACACAATCTCATCTCATGCTCCACTAATGAATGTTCTGCCTAAAGTCAGAGCAATGCCTTGGCTGGAGTTTTGTTTTGGTTTTTTCAATATTAACATGTGGGGGTCACAGAAAGGAACAGAGGCTACAAGAGCTCTCACGTGGCGGCTGAAAGACTGGGGAACCGAGAAAGTGAATGAGTAACAGGGAGGGTCCTGGACTCTCAGGATCTCCCAACTCGGGGTCAGGGGGAGGCGGTAAGTGGAATGCCCCCCCCACCACCCCCGCCTCTTTCTCACCTCCTGGTCCCGACCCTAGGTCAGTGCCACCGCCGGGAGCCCCGGGGCTCGGCTTCAGCCCCGGGCTGAACAAGCAGGGAGGGGAGAGGCACTTAGGCCTCGCCTCCCCGCGGCCTTCCTCCCCTAGCCGGGGAGGAGGAGACCCAGGAAGCCGCGCCCGGCTCCGGTGGGTGGAGGGCCTAGGCCGCGCCTCCCAGCCCCGCGGCCCTAGGCCTCGGCCCGCCCGAGGCGGAGCCCGGGAGGTCGGGGCGGGGTCCCGGGCCGGTCACCCACCTGGGTTGCCAGTCATTCCAGCTCCGCGAATAGTTGGTGCCGCCGCTGCTCAGCCGAGACCCCGGGGCTCTGCGGCTCATTACCTTCCCCGACACGACATGGCCAAGCGCCGCCGCCCGAACCGGCCGCCGCCGACACCCCGCTCCGGCCCGGGGCTGAGGAGGAAGCCGAGAAGGAGGAGGAGGAGGCGGCGGCGGAGGGCGGGGGAAGAGGACGGCCGTTCCGGGTTCCGCCTGAGCCCGCAGGGCAGGACGAGGGAGCGGCGCGGTGAGAGAGGCGGATGAAGGCGAGGCGACGTCTCTTCCAGGGCCGTGCGCGGCCCACGACGCTGGGGCCCCGGAGGACGAGGAGGACGAGGAGCAGGCGGTGGCGGCAGCTCCTCACGCTCACACGGCCACTGCTTCCCCGCCTCCCGGCTCCGCCCGCCGCGCCGCCGCTGTCGTACGGCAAGCTGGGAGCGAGAGGCGGGGTCGGCCCCGCCGGGCCTGGGGAGAGAGGCGGGTCCTGTCGGCGGGGCGGGGCCGATAGCAGGCAGCCCCGCCCCCCACGGCCCCAGGCTCTTGGACGGCGAAGCTGGGCATGGTGGTGGGCAACTGTAATCCCAGCTACTCAGGAGGCTGAGGCAGGAGAATTGCTTGAACCTGGGAGGCAGAGGTTGCAGTGAGCTGAGATCACGCCATTGCACTCTAGCCCAGGCAACAGAAGTGAAACTCTGCCTAAAAAAAAAAGAAAAGAAAAGAAAGAAAGAAAGGTGGCCCCGTTAATGTTTATGCCAAGACAGCCGGCATGACCTGGAAGTGTCCCAAGCCACAGGGCATCTTGTTTCCGGGGAGGATGAATGAATCAAATCGCACCTATTTTGAGGCAAGCAAGGACTCTGTGACTTCAGGAGCCCTGGTGGGTGGACAGAAGCTCCCTGCTCCCCCAGCCTGTCTACCCAGCAGCGCTTTGGCCAGTCCCATTCCTGTACTTCTGAGCCTGCCTGTCAGTCCCTCCTCACACGCACACCGTGGCTTTGTGCCTGGTACTGAGTGTCCCGGAGCCCCAAACCACAGGGTCAACCCCATGAAAGAAACCGGGACTCTGCTCTCATCCACTCGCCCCCACCCCCCGCGTAATCCCCTGGTGCTCACACAGCCCCACCGTAAAGTTTTTGTAGCTCCCTGGCAGACTTGTGCTCCTGTTTGCCAGATCAAAGCCCAGTGACCTGAGCGGCCTGTCCCCAGCAGAGGCCACTAGTCCCTGTGGACCCACCCCATTGGGAAAGGCATGGGTTGAACTTTAACCATTAGGCTCAGGGATTGGGATGAGTTTCTACAAAAAGAGGTGGGTACACGCCAGTCCACAGTGGTCCTGATCAAAGTGAGAACAGACAGCAGGGAACATCACCCTCTTCAGATTGGAGTCAGTGGGAACAGACCTAAGATGTTGGGGAAGAACACTTGGAAGACCTCAGCTTTCTCCTGGGTTGAGCAGATGTGGGCCCCTCTCTGGAGTCGTTCGATGAGGCCAGGGTGATGGTGTTCTCAGCGTTCCTGTGCGCGGCGAACCAGCAGTAACACTTGTAAGTAGAGCCTCAAATTTCCCAAATGCAACTGGATCCTTGTCTTAGCTGATGGGGTCTTTCAAGATGAGAGAGTAGAGACCATCCCGAGCCACACGGGTTCAGATTTCCACTCTGTTTCTATTTTTTTTTTTTTTTTAAGATGGAGTCTCGCTCTATGGCCCAGGCTGGAGTACAGTGGCGCGATCTCAGCGGCTCACCACAACCTCCACCTCCCGGGTTCAAGCGATTCTCCTGCCTCAGCTTCCTGACTAGCTGGGACTACAGACGCATGCCACCACTCCTGGCTAATTTTTTGTATTTTTAGTAGAGACAGGGTTTCACCACGTTAGCCAGGCTGGTCTCGAACTCCTGACCTCGCGATCCGCCCGTCTCAGCCTCCCAAAGTGCTGGGATTACAGGCGTCAGCCACCACGCCCGGCCCTCTTTTTTTCTTTTTTTGATGAAGTTTTGCTCTTTTGCCCAGGCTATAGTGCAATGGCATGATCTCGGCTCACTGCAACATCTGCCCCCCAGGTTCAAGTGAATCTCCTGCCTCAGCCTCCAAAGTAACTGGGACTACAGGCACCCACCACCGCACCCGGCTAATTTTTTGTATTTTGGTAGAGATGGGGTTTCACCATGTTGGCCAGGCTGGTCTCGAACTCCTGACCTCAGGTGATCCACACACCTCAGCCTCCCAAAGTGCTAGGATTACAGGCATGAGCCACCGTGCCTGGCCACACTCCTTTTCTCTTGTATTTGGTGACCTTGGGTGAATCGTTTAGCCTCCGTTTCAGGGGTCCTGGGGAGGGCAAGATGCCGGGAGCAGGCGGGTAGTCCGTGTTCGCACAGGACACACTGGCATGACTCACCATCCAGACCCGGCGGAATGGCTTGCACTAACCAGTCACGATCGCTCCTAAACTCTTCGGCAAAGAACGCTTCCAAGCAAACCTGTAGCAAATAAACCACTCAGCCAACTCTGCCAAGAAACTGCCCCATGCCAGCCCCTCCTGGCTTCACGGTCAGTGCCTTGTGACCTTGGACGAGGCCCTTCCTCTTTCTGGGTCTCAGGTGCTTCCTCCGTAGAATGAGAGGCTGCTTTGGCAGCTGCCAAGTTCTCTTCTAACTCAAATCTTCCACGCGTTCCATGTTTGGGCCATTGAAAGAGCATGGGCTTAGGAGCCAGACCCCAGGCATGCGGTGCTACTGACGCTTGCTGAGGTGGAGCTTCGGCAGGTCTTCACCCCCAAACCTCTGTGTCCTCATCTCGAGATGGGGGTGGCCAGACTTTCTCTCCAGGGCCATGGAAGGATGACATGATGCATGTAGAAAGCCTGGCCCACCCCAAACTGTCGGTGAGCTCCACTCATTCCTTCTGTTGGGGTCCACACCTGTGGACTGGAGTGCAGTGGTGCGATCTCGGCTCACTGCAGCCTCTGCCTCCTGGGTTCAAGCGATCCTCTTGACTCAGCCTCCCAAGTAGCTGGGACTACAGGCGTGTGCCACCACGCCCAACTAATTTCTGTATTTTTAGTAGAGATTGGATTTCGCCATGTTGGCCAGGCTGGTCTCAAACTCCCGACCTCAAGTGGTCTACCTGCCTCGGCCTCCTAAAGTGCTGGGATTACAGGCATGAGTCACCTCACCCACCTCCCTTTTTTATTCTTAGTACAACCGTTAAGAGCGCTAGCCTGCCTAGGTGGAATCTTGGCCCCACTGCTCTATGGCTGTTGCCCCTCTGTGACTTTCCTTTATTTTTTGAGACTAATTTCTGTCTTGTTGCCCAGGCTGGAGTGCAGTGGTGCGATCTCCAGCTCACCGCAACCTCCACCTCCCAGGTTCAAGCAATTTTCCTGCCTCAGCCTCCCGAGTAGCTGGAATTACAGGCATGCGCCACCACATCCGGCTAATTTTATATTTTTAGTAGATACAGGGTTTCTCCATGTTGCTCAGGGTGGTCTTGAACTCCCAGCCTCAGGTGATCTGCCCACCTCGGCCTCCCAAAGTGCTGGGATTGCAGGCGTGAGCCACTGCGCCCGGCTGTCCCCTCTGTGACTTTCTTAACTTCCCCCAGCCTTAGTTTTGTCGTCTGTAACAGGGGGTTGATAATGGTGCTTACTGCGCAGTGTCGTTGGGAGAAGGGTCCGAGGTGGGGCCTGCAAAGGCTGGGGACAGCACATGGCTCCAGGAAGCCCTTGCTAGACGCCAGCTGCTGCTGTTGCTAACACAGGCAGCGGTGGGTGCCCTGTGTCTATTTAAGCATTTCCCTGTCAGTGGGCAGCAGGTAGCATTCCATTTCTTACTATGGCAACATGTCCTCTTACATCTTGTGCTAGAGAGAGTCATATTCTGTATCGGCACCTAAATCCATTTACACCATGGTCCTCAATCTGTTCCCAGTGAACAGAGGGCTCTGCCAAATCATTTCAGAGTTCCACAAAGAACAGAATATTCTGCCAAGCAGAGAAGATTGGAACATCGTAAGGAATTCATCCTTCTATGTCGGTGTTTTATTTATGGGCATTCTGAAGATTATTTCATTTGGGAAAAGAATATTGTTACTAAAAATTATTGAAAAATCACTGGTGGTTTGGCCTTGAGAGAAAAGTCAAAGAGTTACAAAACGTTCAGTGATAATTTCAGAACCAGGCATGGTGGCTCATGCCTATAATCCCAGCACTATTTTGGGAGGCTGATGTGGGAGGACAGATCAAGCCCAGGAGTTCAAGATCAGCCTGGGCAACATAGCAAGAACGCATCTCTAAAAAAAAAAAAAATTAAAAAATTAACTGGACATGGTGGCACACACCTATCATCCCAGCTACTTGGGAGGCTGAGGCAGGAGGATCGCTGACCCCAGGAATTTGAGGCTGCAGTGAGTCCTGCTCAGGCCACTGCACTCCAGCCTTGGCTACACAGCAAGACTCTGTCTAAGAAAAAAAAATAATAATAATTTTAGGGATCATTTAATCATGTTTTCTAGTCATGTTTCAGTGCGTTTTTTAATCATGTTTCAGGGCATGCACTGGCAGTGCCCATCTGTTCCTAAGTGTGTGATCAGCAACATTACGTTGGTAACTTAAAATTGGCCATGGTGAAAGTGTTTACACCACAGTCATTGGCAAACCCTAGAAATTGAAGATTCTAAATTCCTGGGAGAACGGCTTATTAAACCTCAACCAGCACACCGCTGCACGTTGTTGGACATTTTACTGGCTATTCCTGCTCAGGTGTGTGTAAGTCTTCTTGCGTTTGGCTCCCCCCGGGCTGAGCGTGGCTGGGCTGGGCTCCCCACTCTGGGTGGGTCCAGGCCTGCTCACTGCATCTCTCATCCTCCCTCTGCAGCCACCTGAGGCCTGTTCTTCTCACGGCGGAGGGCAGGCACTCACAGGGTGAGGCCAGCGGTGCCCATGTATTCCAAGCTACTGCTCACGTCATGTCTGCTAATGTCCCAGTGGTCAAAGCAGGTCACCAGGTGGCCAAGCCTAGTGACAATGGGGGAGGGGATAGCTCCTCCCATGGAGGTCAAGGGGGAAGGAATTTGAGATTTGCTGAACCACCATCAAACCTGGAGACTGAGAATGCATTGGGGAGAGGGGGTCTCCTTCCAGACTGTGCCCATGTGAATTAGGGGCAAATACTGGCCTCCTGGGGCAGGGGACTTGGCGTCTTTGATTCCATGCCCCTGCACCTGGGCCAGGGCTTGACCCATAGGAGCAGCTCTGTAAATATTTGTTGACTGATTAAAAAAGAGGATAATGGCCGGGCGCGGTGGCTCATGCCTGTAATCCCAGCACTCTGGGAGGCCAAGGCGGGCAGATCACGAGGTCAGGAGATCGAGACCATCCTGGCTAACACGGTGAAACCCCGTCTCTACTAAAAATACAAAAAATTAGCCGGGCGTGGTAGCGGGCGCCTGTAGTCCCAGCTACTCGGGAGGCTGAGGCAGGAGAATGGCATGAACCTGGGAGGCGGAGCTTGCAGTGAGCCGAGATCGTGCCACTGCACTCCAGCCTGGGCGACAGAGCGAGACTCCGTCTCAAAAAAAAAAAAAAAAAAAAAAAAAAAAGAGGATAACATTTGTATTACCTCCCATCGGAGCCCTACTGGAATTAGCACAGAACCCACGTTGCTGTGCACCAGGGTCGGCTGTGTGGAGATTGGAAGCCTATTCAGCATCCAGGTGGCGTCGCCTCCGTGCAGGTGGCAATGAGCCCATCCTTTTGTTGAGTGACACACGCTGAGTTCAACGCGGGTGTTTCATTGTTGGTGGGCCTGTTGGTGCAGCTCAGCAAGCAGAACCTAAAATTACCCGCTCTTCCCACATCCTGTGTCTCTGTGAGCCAGGGAAGCCTGCGTCTCCTGTCTAGATGAGCGCCTCCTCTGTGGCATCAGTGGCTTCTGGGTTCTGTCTACATTCAGGTCTGTGCGGCCATGTTAAATGCCCCTCCCACGGCCACTGCCTCTGGTCCCAACAGGAAAAGGAAGAGGCTGCTCTATGGTCAGGCGCGGTGGCTCACTCCTGCAATCCCAGAACTTTGGGAGGCCAAGGCGGGTGGATCACAAGGTCAGGAGATGGAGACCATCCTGGCTAACACGGTGAAACCCCGTCTCTATGAAAAATACACAAAAGTAGCCAGGTGTGGCGGCGCGCGCCTGTAATAGAGCTACTCAGGAGGCTGAGGCAGTAGAATCACTTGAACCTGGGAGGCAGAGGTTGCAGTGAGCTGAGATGGCACCACTGCACTGCAGCCTGGGTGACCGAGCGAGACTCCGTCTCAAAAAAAAAAAAGAAAAAAAAGAAAATAATCCAGATGAGAATACAGAGAAAGAACAGCAACTTCATCACAGCTTTGTTTAATTGCAAGAAGTTGGAAATAACCTAAATATCATCACCAAATAATGGATTTTAAAAATTGTGTCATAACTGTACAATGGAAATGTACCACCATTAAAAAGAATTGTGTATATATATATATTTTTGACAAAATGAGTTCACAATGTTAAATGAAAAAAGGCAACTTACAGGATAATATACACAGTAAAATCCTTGTTCATTAAAATAAAAAATCCTGGCCGGGTTTGGTGGTACACACCTCTAATCTCACACTTTGGGAGACGCCTGCCTCACTTTGGGACAGGCAGGAGAATCGCTTGAGGCCAGGAGTTTGAGACCAGCCTGGGCAACATAGTGAGACCTCGTCTCTACAAAAAATGAAAAAGTTAGCCAGGCACGGTGGTGTTTATCTGTAGTCCAGCTGCTCAGGAGGCTGAGGTGGGAGGATTGCTTCAGCCTAGGGGTTCAAGGCTGCAGTGATTGGCACCACTGCACTCCAGCCTGGGTGGCACAGTGAGACCTGATCTCAAAAAAGCACTATTCCATTTAATCCCTTTTAAGAACTGGTTTAGCTCAGGCCTGTTAAGGTGAGGACAGGAGCCACAGGGCACGCCAGGCCTCTGGGGTGATATCCCCAAGCAAGGGGACTCTGTATTTGGAAGCTGCTCTAAGGTTTCGAGAGCAGGATATCCCAAGGATCCTGTCTCTTAAGGAAAAATAAAAATAAAAGATCCAGCTTTCTCTTCGCATGAGGTTATTGCACAGAGAACAGTTGGGCAGACACACACCAGGGGGTGCAATCATGGGACAGCTGCTTCTTCACTCATAAGTTTTTCTGCATTTTTTTTTTTTTTTTTTTTTTTGAGGCAGAGTCTCTGTCACCCAGGCTGGAGTACAGTGGCGCGATCTTGGCTCACTATCACCTCTGCCTCCTGGGTTCAAGCCATTCTCCTGCCTCAGCCTCCCGAATAGCTGGGATTACAGGCGCCCGCCACCACACCCAGCTGATTTTTACATTTTCAGTAAAGATGGGGTTTTGCCATGTTGGTCAGGCTGGTCTCAAACTCCTGACCTCAGGCGATCTGCCCACCTTGCTTCCGAAAGTGCTGGGATTACAGGCGTGAGCCACTGTTTCTGACCTCTGAACTGTTTTTGATTAATGGCTCTTAACTTTAAAAATGACAAT
The DNA here is from genome assembly GCF_000001405.40 of Homo sapiens. Taxonomy (NCBI): domain Eukaryota; kingdom Metazoa; phylum Chordata; class Mammalia; order Primates; family Hominidae; genus Homo; species Homo sapiens. The sequence continues at coordinate 30,342,547 of NC_000016.10, forward strand.
CAAAGCAGTTTGAAATGAGCCTCGAGGAAGTGGGTAAAGGGGCTGCCACTCTGCTTAATTTTCTCCACACTGGGGTCTCATTTCCTCCTTGCCAGAGGGCTTGGAGAGTGAGACTTCCAAAGCAGCTCCAGTTTCCACAGGACCCACTAGGTGGGATACCTGTGAGTGGGAAGGGAGGTTTCAAGCCCTTCCCGAGAGACAAGAGCCCCACTGCACTCAGCCTGCCTTCCCCACAGGGCCCTCCTCCGCCCACCTGCCCTCCCCAAGGTCTCTCCAGACTTCCTGTGACCACTCTGTGACAAGGGCAACACAAAAGTCAAAAACCCATCAACACAGGCGGCACGGGCCGAGAGGGAGTTGCTTCTGGGTGGGAAAGAAAGTCCCCGAGTGGTGCGGAAAGGAGAGGAGCAGGCGAGTACCCTGTGGACGCGCGTCCAGCTGCGCAGGGGCCCCCACGCACCCGTTTCCCGTGGGTCTGTTTCCCATGAGCCAGTACCTGTGGGGTCTCGTGCGGCCAGGTTTCTGCCCTATCCGTCCAAGACACAGGATGAAGCTCATGCCTCACTCGGGGTCTCCTTCTCTCTCCCTGCAGTGCACCCACTCTGGACGGGCCCGGTCTCCGTGCCAGGGGGCACCCGGCAGTCTCCTATCAACATCCAGTGGAGGGACAGCGTCTATGACCCCTGGCTGAAGCCACTCAGGGTCTCCTATGACGTGGCATCCTGCCTGTACATCTGGAACACTGGCTACCTCTTCCAGGTGGAATTTGACGATGCCACCAAGGCATCAGGTGAGTGCCAGCTGGGGCTCGAGGACTTTCTCCTCTCCGCTCCCTGTTCTGGGAGCAGGGTCAGGGGCTTCGCGGAGAAGGCGGAGGAGAGCTGGAAGGTGCTGCTTTCCTTGTGCTGCTGGCGCGCCACTGCACTTCAGCCTGGGAGACAGAGCGAGACTCCGTCTCAAAAAAAAAAAAAAAAAAAAGAAGAAATAGAAAACTTGAATAGGCCGGGCACAGGGGCTCACACCTGTAATCCCGGCACTTTGTGGTTTTTTTTTTTTTCTCTCTCTCTTTTTGTTTTGTTTTGTTTGAGATGGAGTTTCGCTCTTGTTACCCAGGCTGAAGTACAATTGTGCAATCTCGGCTCACTGCAGCCTCTGCCTCCCAGGTTCAAGCGATTTTCTTGCCTCAGCCTCCCAAGTAGTGGGGATTGCAGGCGCCCACCGCCGCGCCTGGCTAATTTTTTGTATTTTTAGTAGAGACAGGGTTTCACCATGTTGGACAGGCTGGTCTTGAACTCCTGACCTCAGGTGAACCATCCACCTCGGCCTCCCAAAGTGCTAATCCCAGGAGGCCGAGGCAGGTGGATCACATGAGGCCAGCAGTAGTGCAAGACCAACCTGGAAAACAGGACAAGACCCCGTCTCTAGTAAAATTATAAAAATTAGCTGGGTGTGGTGATGTGCGCCTGTAGTCCCAGCTACTGGGTGTGGAGGCTGCAGTGAGCCAAGTTCACACCGGTGCACTCCAGCCTGGGCAACAGAGTGAAATTCTGTCTCAAAAAAAAAAAAAAAAAAGAGAAAAGAAAAGAAAACTTGAATAGCCTTAAATATAATTAATAAGGCTGGGTGCGGTGGCTCACACCTGTAATCCCAGCACTTTGGGAGGCCAAGGCGGGCAGATCACGAGGTCAGGAGTTTCAGACCAGCCTGACCAACATGATGAAACCCCATCTCTACTAAAAATACAAAAATTAGCCAGGCATGGTGTCCGGCACCTGTAATCCCAGCTACTCAGGAGGCTGAGGCGGGAGAATCCCTTGAATCTGGGAGGCGGAGGTTGCAGTAAGCCAAGATCGCCCATTGCACACCAGCCTGGGCAACAAGAGCAAAACTCTGTCTCAAAAAACAAAAAACAAACAAAACAAAACAAGACAAAACACTTTCCTACAAGATTAATTTGAGGTCGGTGCCTAAAGTAAAAGCTTTATCTTTGGAACTAGCACAGCTCTCTAGGCATCAAGAGCAAGGTTTTTCTTTTTCACTCCCAGAAGTGCTCTTTTTAATTTTTTTTTTTTTTTGAAACAGTCTCGCTCTGTTGCCCAGGCTGGAGTGCAGTGACCCAATCTCGACTCACTGCAACCTCTGCCTCCCGGGTTCAAGTGATTCTCCTGTCTCAGCCTCCCCAGTAGCTGGGATTACAGGCATAAGCCACCATACCCAGCTAAGTTTTGTATTTTTAGTAAAGACAGGGTTTCACCATGTTGTTCAGGCTGGTCTCGAACTCCTGACCTCAGGTGATCTGCCCATCTAGGCCTCCCAAAGTGTTGGGATTACAGGCGTGAGCCACCGTGCTTGGCTCTTTTTTTAATTTTTAAAATGCATTTTATTTTGTTTTGTTTTATTTTATTTTATTTATTTAGAGACAAAGTCTTGGTCTGTCACCCAGAATGGAGTGCAGTGGCACAATCATAGCTCACTGCAGCCTCAAACTCCTAGGGTCAAGGGATCCTCCTGCCTCAGCCTCTGGAGTAGCTGGAACTACAGGCTCGAGCCACCATGCCTGGCTAATTTTTTAAATTTTCGTAGAGACAGGGTCTTGCTATGTTGCCTAGGCTGGTCTCCAACTCCTGGACTCAACTGAGCCTCCTGCCTCACCCTCCCAAAATGCTGGAATTACAGGCATGAGCCACTATACCTGGCTCAAAGATTTCTTAAATAGGACACAAAAAGCACAAATGATTTTTTAATCAACAAATTAAGCCAGGTGCGGCGACTCACGCCTGTAATCCCAGCACTTTGGGAGACTGAAGCGGGCCAATCACTTGAGGTCAGGAGTTCGAGACCAGCCTGGCCAACATGGTGGTCTACTAAAAATACAAAAATTAGCTGGGTGTGGCAGCCTGTAGTCCCAGCTACTCAGGAGGCTGAGGCACAAGAATTCCTTGAACCCAGATGGCAGAGGTTGCAGTGAGCCGAGATTGCGCCACTGCACTCCAGCCTAGACCACATAGTGGGACTCTGTCTCAAAAAAAAAAAAAAAAAAAAAAAAAAATGATCAGCCTGGCCAACATGGTGAAACCCCATCTCCCCCATCTCTACTAAAAATACAAAAATTAGCCAGGCATGGTGGTGTGCGCCTCTAACGCCAGCTACTTGGGAAGCTGAGGCAGGAGAATTGCTTGAACCCAGGAGGCGGAGGTTGCACTGAGGTGAGATTGCACCACTGCACCCCAGCCTAGGAGACAGAGCAAGATTCTGTCTCAAAGAAAAGTCAGCAAATTAAATTTTAACCAGATTTAAAACTTTTGTTCTTCAAGATGATGACAGAAAAAAAAAAAAAGACAAGTCATGGATCAAGAAAATATTCACAAAACAGAATCTGACAAAGGACTCATTATCTGGAATATCTAATGATCAAGGTCTCTTACAAGTCAATCAGAAGACAAACAATTCAGTTTTTAAAACAGGCAAAACATATGAGCAAACACTCGACCAAAAATTTTGACAGGACTTTAGAGTCCCACAGACCTCGGTTAAAATCCTGGCTTTACCACCCTCAGGCTATGTGATGTTGAATGTCACCTCTCTGAGCCTCATTTTTCTCATCAGCAAAGTGGGAGAGATACGTAACTAAATAGGTAGTCAAGGAGATTAAACATAATATTCTGAACTTATTTAGGTCCCTAATAAATGCCAGACACCCTCTTCTTCCCCTGTCAAATAGAGGATGTATATATGTATACATACAAATATATATATATATATACACTTTTTGTGTGTGTAGAGATGGAGTCTGGCTATATTGCCCAGCTGGTCTCAAACTCCTTGGCTCAAGCCATCTGCCCACCTCAGCTGAGATTACATGCCTGGCAGAGAACGGGCTTAGTGTGTAAGCCGGGGAAGGCTGGGCCAGGTAAGAGGTCTCAATGTCTGAGGCCAGAGGGCAAATGCCCACATTGTATCCAAAGGAATGTGAAGTGTTCAAGACAGAAAAATGTGTCCCAAAGAGTGCACTGGAGCTACAAGGTCTGAAGCCACCAAGAGCTGCAAGGCAGCTGTATGGGGAGGGAATAGGGATGGGTGGGGTATCAGGAAAGTAAGAGCAAGTACGATGGCATCAGAATGGAGAAACTGGGCTGGGCACGGCAGCTCATGCCTGTAATCCCAACACTTTGGGAGACCCAGGCAGGAGGATCATTTGAGGCCAGGAGTTTGAGATCAGCCTGGTCAACATAGTGAGACCCCACGTCTATAAAAAATAAAAATAAAGGGGCTGAAGTGGGAGGATCACTTGAGCTCAGGAGGTCCAGCCTGCAGTGAGCTATGATCGCACCACTGCACTCCAGCCTGGGCGACACAGCAAGACGCTGTCTCTAAAACTAAATGGCAGAGCGCGGTGGCTCACAACTGTAATCCCAGCACTTTGGGAGGCCAAGGCAGGTGGATCACTTGAGGTCAGGAGCTCAAGACCACCCTGGCCAACATGGCAAAACCCCATCTCTACTAAAACTACAAAAATCTGCTGGGCGTGGTGGCGGGCGCCTGTAATCCCAGTTACTCAGGAGGCTGAAGAAGGAGAATTGCTTGAACCCGGGAGGCGGAGGTTGCAGTGAGCCGAGATCACGCCACTGCACTCCAGCCTGGGCAACAAGAGCGAAACTCAGTCTCAATAAATAAATAAATAAATAAATAAATAAATAAATAAATACAAATAAATAAGAAGAGGGAAACCAGAGGCTGCCAGCGCCTGCTGCTGACTTTTACAGGCAGGTCATGTGCCACGTCTGCATGGGCAGCTGGGAAGCTGGCATCTTACATAAAGGGACAGAGAAGCCTCCTGGGGAACAGGGGCCTAGCGGGGACAGGATTGCAGCCACCTGCAGCGGCCAACTGGAGATGGCAGCGGTGGCCCACCGCAGGGGGTGTAGGTGGTCAGGGGCCACTGAACCCTCCCCTGTGGAGCATACCCCCGAGGGTGCCCGGCAGCTGGGGACTGGGCTCCACAGGGAGTTCAGAGTGGCTGCTGACTCCACGGAGCACTGTTGTTACTTGGGCCCCACACAAAACATCTACCTTGAAATCCATCCTTGGGAGAAACTCCTCTCAGGTCTTGGCATCAGGAGGAGCTGGGCATGTCCAGGTCTCCGGCTTGGTTCCTGCCGGGAGCAGAACGGAAGGCAAGTAGCTCAGCCTGACCCCCTGCCTGGGAGCCTGGGTGAAACGACTAGCAGCACGTCATCAAGCTGGCCGCACTGCCGCTCTAGGGTCTGGGTAACTAGACACTCCTCATGGGAAGGGGTGGCAGATGTGGCAGAGACGTGAAGAGCCCTCATTCCTCCGGCATGAGGAGCCGGAGCCTTCACTTATTTGAACCCTGCTGGACTCCTGTGCAGGCCTTGTCTCTCACAGGGCCACAGCAGCTGCCCAGGACAGAGTCTGACGCCCCAGGCCTCTGTCAGGAGTGCCGAGACTTCCTTCCCCAACTCCTGCTACTTCTCTGAAGAATAACCTGGCCAAGGCAAGAGGCTGCATTCAGGCCTGGGTGCCATGGCTCACGCCTGTAATCCCAGCACTTTAGGAGGCTGAGGTGGGCGGATCACCTGAGGTCAGGAGTTCGAGACCAGCCTGAGCAACATGGTAAAACCCCGTCTCTACAAAAAAAAATTGCAAAAATTTAGCCAGGAATGGCGCCATGCATCTCTTGCTCCAGCTACTAGGGAGGCCGAGGCAGGATTACTTGAACCCAGAAGCCTGAGGCCGCACTGAGCCATGATTGCACCATTGCACTCTACCCGGCTTGACAGAGCAAGACCCGGTCTCAAAAAAAAAAGTTTTAAGTGAAAAGCAAAGAACTTCACCTCTGTGGTCTTCCTCCCTAAACTCCATAAACCAAACCTATTCATGAGAAAAAGGATCAGACAAACCCAAATTTTAGGAATATTCAACTGGGTGTGGAGGCTCACACCTGTAATCTCAGCACTGTAAGAGGCTGAGGCGAGAGGATCACTTGAGCCTGGGAGTTCAAGAACAGCCTGGGCAACATAGTGAGACCTCATCTCTAGAAAAAAAAAAAAAAACATATATATATATAATGCGTATATATAATGCGTATATATATATGCGTGTATATGTGTATATATATATGCATGTATATATATATAATGTGTGTGTATATATATATATATATATATACATTTTAAATTTATAAAGTTGTTTTTAAAAAGAATATTCTGAGGCCAGGTGCGGTGGCACACACCTGTAATCCCAGCACTTTGGGAGGCCGAGGCAGGTAGATCACCTGAGGTCAGGAGTTTGAGACCAGCCTGACCAACGTGGTGAAACCCCATCTCTACTAAAAATACAAAAATTAGCTGGGCATGGTGGCACACGCCTATAATCCCAGTAACTCGGGAGGCTGAGGCAGGAGAATCACTTGAACCGGGGAGGTGGAGGTTGCAGTGAGCAGAGATCACACCATTGCACTCCAGCCTGGGTGACAGAGAGAGACTCCGTCCCCCGCCCCCCGTCCGCCAAAAAAAAAAAGAATATTCTACAAAATACAAACCAGCACTCCTTGAAACTGTCAAGATCAACAAAGGTGAAGCCTGAGAAGCTGTCAGGCTGAGGAAGCTAAGTAGATGTGACAACTAAATATAATGTGGTGTCACAAGGGATCCTGAAGCAGAAAAGGACATTAGGGGAAAACTAGAAAAATAAAAAAAAAGTGTGAAGTTGAATTAGTAAGAAAAATTTTAAAAAAGGGTGAAGTTGAATTAGTATTAATGTACCGTACATCCACACAATACACTGTTATTCAACAATAAACAAAAGGACTGGGCACGGTGGTTCACGCCTGTAATCACAGCACTTTGGGAAGCCAAGGGGAGCGGATCACCTGAGGTCAGGGGTTTGAGACCAGCCTGGCCAACATGGTGAGACCTAGTCTCTACTAAAAATACAAAAACTAGCTAGGTGTGGTAGCACAGGCCTGTAATCCCAGCTACTTGGGAGGCTGAAGCAGAATCGCTTGAACCCAGCAAGCAGAGGTTGCAGTGAGCCAAGATCGTGCCACTGCACTCCAGCCTGGGTGACAGAGCAAGACTCCGTCTCAAAAAAAAAAAAACAATAAACATAGATGAAGATATCCACATGGCTGAACTTGAAAGCATAGGGCCAAGTAGAAGCCAGACCCAGAAGACCACATATATGATTCCATTTATCTTCAATGCCCAGAAGAAGCAAATCTAGAGGCAGGAAGTAGATGGGTGGTTGCCAGGGCTGGGGGGTGAGGAAAGGTGGGGAGTAGTGAGAAGGGGCTACTCATGGGTCAGGTTTCTTTCATGGTAGGAAAAAAAGGTTTTAAAATTAGACTGTGGTGATGGTTGCACAACCCTGTGAATATACAAAAAACCACTGAAGGGTACTGAAGCGTGGTGGCAGGTGCCTGTAGCCCCAGCTACTCGGGAGACTGAGGCAGGACAATCCCTTGAACCCAGGAGGCAGAGGTTGCAGTGAGCTGAGATCGTGCCATTTGCACTCCAGCCCGGCAACAAGAGCGAAACTCCATCTCAAAAAAAAAAAAAAAAAAACTTACTCAAACAAAAAGTTTATATCTATCTATCTATCTATATGTATCTCTTACAAACTGTATACATATAAACTGCATATATACACACACAACTAAAAAAGAAAAGCACACTGGGCACAGTAGCCCACACCTGTAACCCCAGCACTTTGGGAGGCTGATCTGGGAGGATCGGTTGAGTGCAGGAGTTTGAGACTAGCCTGGGCAACATAGCAAGACCCTGCCACTACAAAAAAAAGTTTCTTAATTAGCCAGGTGAAGTGGTGCACTCCTGTAGACCCAGCTACTTAGGAGGCTGAGGTGGGAGGATCACTTGAACCCAGGAGTTCAAGGCTGCATTGAGCTATGATCACACCACTGTACTCCAGTGTAGAGAGATGTTGTCACCCCTACTGGGTGACAGTAACACCCTGTCTCTAAAAACAAAACAAACAAAAAGCCAAGGAGTGCTGTTTCAGATGTGCTATAAAGGCCACCCTAGCAAGAGGCAGCCACATTTATAAGTGCTGACAGGGACCTGAAATAGCAATGTGGTCACAGGAAGGGAGAACTTAGTGAGATCGGGTGGTTCATGAGGTGTCCCCTGGATGCATGAGTAGTTGTTTCCTATTGGGGCTGTTAACAAATTACCACAAACTGAGAGGTTGAAAACCACACCAATTTATTATCTTACAGTTCTAGAGGTCAGGAGTCCAAAATGGTTTTCACCAGGCTGAAGTCTTGTCAGTGCGGCTTTGTTTCTCCACGGAGGCTCTGGGGCAGAATCCAATGCCTTTTCCAGCTCCTCCAGGGGCCACCTCATCGCCTGGCCCCAGGCCTTCTTGCCATCTTCACAGCCAGAAGCTTCCTTGCTTCATGCGCAGACCCTCGTGACTCCCCTTCCCTTATAAGGGCCCCCATGATTACTCAGGGCCCACCTCAACCATCCACGGTCATCTCCCCACCACGAAATCCTGAACTGAAGCACAGGCGCCGGGTCCCTTTTGCCACGCAAGGTAACACTTTCCCACGTCCTGGGGTTCCAAACCTGGACATCTCTGGGGGCTGTTATTCCACCCACCGTCATCAGTGAGGCGCCTTCAGGAGGGGCTGTGAGGTCACGTGAGGTCGGCTTCAGAAGGGCTAGGTTTGAGTGCCTGGAGGACACTGGCAGGAGGCGCCCCTGGGCTCCATCCATTTACCACGCACGCACTCAGCACCCCTGAGACCATCCCTGGGGCCTACAGGAGAACCCTGTACCTCAGCAGCCCTGAAACCTGCTTTCCACTTCCGGACCTTTCTGAAATCAAGACGCATCTTTAGATCAATGGCATCTTACTGTGTCACCGGCAGGCCTCTTCTTTCTTAGTGACGTTTAAAGGAAGGTATCTTACCCCTGATGGCTTCTTGGAGTGAATGAAATTCCGGTGTGAGCAGGCACTAGAAGGGGCCTCACAAGAGTGTCAGGTGACCCCACTCCGCCCTGGCCCCCAAGTCTTTCCTAGTTGCTCATCTGGCCCTTTCTGACCTGGGATCCCAAGTGTCCTGCAGCTCCAGTGCCCAGACCCCCATAACTAACAGACCCCACTAAAGCCACACACATGCTCAGCTCTCCAACCACGGTGGGGTCCAGGAGCCACCCCTCCCGCTAGGTGTGCCTAAACCATGGGGATCTGACTCAGGGGCTCTCTCTCGGCCTGGCTGCAAGCTGAAAACACCTGGGGGCTTCCAAAATGCCCAATGCCTGGGCCACAACCTAGACCAGCTCAATCTGAATCTCCAAAGAGATATTACAGCTCCCCAGGAGACTCCAAGGGGCAGCCAGAGTGCAAAACCGGAAGAAACCATCTAACGTGGGGCAAGGGAGGCGTAAGGCAATGCTGGTGGGGCGTGGAGGTGGAGGGTGCCAGGCCCAGGCTATAGAATTACATCTGTCTATTTCCCATGCCCCTGCCACCAGACTCTGAATTCCTGGAAGGGGACCAACCCAGCTACCTCAGTTTCCTCAAGGCACTAGCCCTGTGCCAGGCACATAGTGGGGTCCAGAGAATGTAGGCCGCAGGGCCTCCAAGGCCAGGCAGCAAAGGCTTTGTGCCAAGAAAGGTCTGGGAAAGGAGCCCACTGGGTCTGGGCCAGCCCTTTGATTCCTGTGATCTCCAGTGAGTCACTGCCCCTCTCTGTGCCAGTACAATGCACACTTGGCCCACACTTGGCCACTGAGTTTGCACTTCACTGAAGGGCTGTGGGAACGACGGCAAGGATAGAGGAAAGCCAGATTAGGGAAGACACTGGCTCTCAGAACCTTAGGGATCTCGGTCTTGGGCCACTCATCCCACTTCTGCCCAGCATCTAAGGAGCTTGAGAGGGTGAAGCGAGAGTAAGAGGGTTCCATGCTCACCCCCAACAGGGTCCCAATGTCTTCTCGATGCCCTGGTCCTTCTGGGCCTAAAACATCCACTTCTGGGGCTCTGTCCTCTGGTGGCTACAAGGATAAAGAATCTGAGGTCCTGAAAGCCAAAGACCTAAGAGGAATCGAACAAGAAACCTGGGAGAGGAGCACAGAGCAGCGCAGTTGGGGGTGTTTACACGGCAAGCAGAGTCCAGGCAGGGAGGCCACAGGATACCTGACAGGCACCTCCAAGAAGGATCTTCATGGGAGTACTCAGGGACCAAGACAAGTCCAAAGGGACTGTGGAGAAGGCCCCTGGCTTCTGGCCATCAGCACAGCCAAGGCCCCAGTACACAACTAAAGGCTTTTATTGGGAAAGGGAAATTGACTGAAAAATGGCCTCCAATTTCCTCGCTGCCTGAGACACTTGGTGCCTCCTCCACAAAGTCCAGGAAAGAAGGGCCCACCAAACTGGGCCCCCAGCAGGCTCAGGTGTAGAGGTCAAAGTCAATGCGTTTGGAGTTGTAGAACTGACCACCAGGGGGGTCCAGCTTCCGGCAATAAACACCGTCCGGGAAGTAGCCTTCACTCACCCAGGTCTGCAAGGAGAGGGCAGAGCTGGGGAACAACTGACAGGAGTGGGGGAAGCAGGGACAAGGCAGGAGGAGGGAGAAAGCAGCTCACCTGCATCTGGGCGCTGGTGAAGGGCCCATACAGCTCGGCATCCCCCGTGTTCTCCCACTTATATTCCCACATCACATCCACCAGACCATCTCCCCGCGACTCTGCTTCTAAAATAACAGGCAAAGCCATTTGGCCTCCAGTGTCTCACTTCCTACCCACTGCCCCCTCCTCTGTCCTCCAAGCTCACCTCCTCTCTGGGTAGGGGTTGGGGTCTCCAGTTCCTCCTCCGCCAACTCCTCAGCGAACATGTCCAGGGAGGGTGGGGGTGTGGGATTGTGGGGTCCTAGGGTCTGACACCCCAAACCCTTCAGACGCATAGCCAACCGTTCCCTTGTTTCCTGGTACACACCAAGGTTGCCCCGGGCCACCATCTGGTCGGCCAACCCGGAGAGCCGGTCCAGGCGCTGAGGGGAACTGGGTTGCCCAGGCCCCTTTCTCCCTTTGCCTCCTCCTCGGGCCCCCAGACGCCTCAGTGCCCCAGCCACTGTCTCTCTAGGCAATAGGAGCTCCAAAAGTCCCTCCAAGAGGGCTTGGGCACTCATTGAGGTCTGGCCCAAGCTGTCCTCCTCCTCCGAGTCTGAGGCCTGGCGCTGGCCAGGTGGCCGCTCCCGGATCTTCACCTGTAATGGGAAGATGGAGTGATTTCCCACCAACTGCCACGGGAGCAGGCCCAGCATCTGCCACTCCCAGGCCCCAGCCACGCCAGCCCCTGGGCCGCACCCAGTCAATGTTGTCCAGCCAGCTGTCTCGGATCTGAGCATCCCGGTTCAGGAAGTAGTTGCCATCGGCATCAAAGTGGCCTTCCTCCATCTCCTCCTGCAGGTTAAAGGGTGTGATCCGAACACCCCCCTCGCTGGGGAGTGTGGCTGCCTCCTGACCTGCACCAAAGACACAGGTGCCCTTTTCCAGGCATGGAAAAAAGAGACCGGAGCCTCCCTCGCTCCACACCACCAGAGGCCCCTACTTGTTTTTCCAGCAGAGTGTATTCTTGGGTACAGCTTACCTTCTACATCCTCTGAGGCCAAGATGTCATATTTGCTGGACCCCCCATCATCATCATCCTCCTCCTCATCGCTATCCAAAGAGTGTTTGCCTTTAAAGCGGCTCCCAGGACCCCCTGACCCAGCCACAGGGTCCACCAGCTGTGAGCAGGAGCCAGAAAGTTGAGAAATGCAGGTTACTGGCTACCTCCCCAAATACTTCCGGATCTGGACCCAAATATTCCCCAAATATTTCAGGATCTCGACTACTTCCCCAAATATTTCAGGAGCCACACTAAAGACGCTCCCAACCCATTCCTCAGAGAACCTGAAAAAACTAGGCTTTTCTCTGCCTGCCCGCCCCGCCCCTCTCCCGCCAGCTTTCTTCCTCTTCAGGCTTCTAGCTCCTCTTTCCCCCACACAAAGCAGTCTGGCCCCCTCACCTTCTTCTTGGGGACAATGATTTCATCCTCATCCTCCTCATCTCCCACGCCTTGGAAGGTCACTTTCCTCTTTGGCATGACGGGGCAAAGAGGTGTTTCTCAAGCTGAGGAAAGGATGCAGAGGAAGGGAACCGGGTGAGGAGGGGACTCGCCAACAGACGCAGCACAGCAAACATTTTTCCTGGTCTGTGACAGGTACAGTTTGGGAGCGGAGGGAGCACAAAAGCAGGGGCCGAAAGGAAGCTGGCAGCCAGGAGGCCTCCAGGACTTGGGTCTAGCATCCGCGAGTTAAACGGGGCGGGGACGGAGGAGCGGACCCTCTGGATCCCCCGACCCTGGCTGAAAGGAGACAGGCTTCACCACGTGACCGCCCCCAACTCCAGCCCCCGCAGTCTGCGCGCCACCGGCTCCACGGGCTGACCCCCGCTCTCTACCCTGGCTCTCTCGGAGCTCGCCGGGCCCCGGCAGACCCAGGACCTGGCGCTCTCGCCACCCCGTTCCTCCCTGCTCCGAACTCCCAATTCCGTGTGGTGAGCCCCAACTGTCCCGGGCTGTGTACAACTTAGAGGGCCACGGGGATTCGGGCGGTCCCACCCTCGCGCACTCACCTGGGAATCCGCGGAAGGCGAGGTGGAAAAAAGAAGAGATGCTTGCGCCAGGGCTACATCCGGGGCACCCGGCCGCCATCACCCGGAAGAGGACTGCGGAAGGCGCCCGGGAAGCCCGGAAGTGGCTTCACTCGGGTTAGGGAACTAACTGGAAGAGCGGGCGGAAGTATGCGATAAGCGAGCGAAGACGCCTCCACCCTCTCTCCCGCCAGAAGTGACGTCAGTCACGTGGGAGGACAATGGTGAGAAGAGGGAACCTAAGAATTCCTGGACTCTGACTGGGCGTGAGAAATGGCCGGAAGTAGCTTCGAGTCCGTCATTCAAGCAGTAGAGGCTCTGGAGAAAAACTGGAGCGCATCTGCTTAAAGGGCCGCCCAGGGTCAGGATGGAGGGGCAAAGTCCGAGCAGGGTCAGTGGGTTGCTGCTCCGTTTTCCTGTCCTGGGTTCAAGTCACCCTTCCCCCAGGGCTAAGGGCTCAGCGCCCCTACCGTCTCGTTAGAAATCCTGCCTTCCCATTCCTATGGTCCAGTGGTCAGCCCTCCTAGCCTGAGAGGTGCAGCCTTGCCTCTCCGAGGGGAAGCCTGACTCTCCCGATGGCCAGCCTGGGGCCCCTGGACGGCTCTCCGGGCACTTTCTGAACACACCTCCCTTTAGGACCCAGGGGAAATAATTTGTCCCACGCCCATACCCTGGGCGAGTTCCTGGTTTCTGAGGTGGGAGAGCCATCACTGGAGAGGTGGCATTGGCGCCAGTACTCAGGCCAGAAGCCCCTTGTGCCCTGCTCTCAGGTAGGCCTGGAAAAGGGCAACAGTGCCTCTCTGCAGCATGAAGCCCCCCTGAGCAAACAGGGCCTAGCAACTCCTGCCCAGGTAGCGGAATGTGGCCCAAGCAGAAGGGGGAATTGGGGAGGTAGCGGGGATCAGCCCCTGTGCTGGGACCCCTAGCTCTTGACACTCGGAGCCTGCATCCCCCTAAGCCAAGACTGTGCGCAGGCAGCACGTGCTGAAGCCAGACGAGGACAGCATGAGAGTTCCCCTACTCTTCCCCCAGGCAACTAGATGGGCCACTTCTCTCTCCCTAGGGGTTTCCTCCCATATTGGATCACGATGAAAACTGCACAGAAAGTCCGTGCTCAGTTTCTTCCATGGTTACAGAACACAGGCCCCAGACCAGGAAGGCATTCTGCTAAAGAAGGGGACCCGAAACCTCAGCTACCAGCGCCGATGGTTCATCCTCCGAGGAAACCTCCTCTTCTACCTAGAACACTAGACCGACCATGCACCCCTGAGCCTCATCCTGTTAGAGAACTGCCAGGTGGAACCACACCTTAAGGCTGCAGAACCCTATGCCTTTACCATCCTGACCCCTGGGGTGGAGGGCACAGGTGGGCGGGCCTACAAGCTGGCTGCAGAAACCCAGGAAGAGCTGGAGACTTGGCTGTGGGCACTGGCTGGCGCGAGCTGGAGGCGGCTGGCTGGGCTGCTGTCCCCCCTCCCCCCCCACCAAAACCCAATACTGGGAGCTGTGCCAGGCAACTGGCCAAGAACCCATCTCATCCCCAGAGGACAGTGGCTTTCTAGCCACTGTGAGTACCCCCTCCAGCTTCCAGGAGTTGCATGAGCACTTTGGGAAGGAGATCCGGGTGCTGCACGTGGTACATAGAGAGCTCCAGGCAGCCAGTGACAATGGAGACAGCAGATCCCAGGCAAAGATGGAGCAGGAGCTCAACCAGTGTCTGATGAGTGACTGAGAGATGGACCCAAAGCTAAGAGGTACCTACTTGCCAAGACAGCAGACTGCTTCAACAGAGACCCAGGTCCTGGCTCTGTCCCTCCCTCCCTCGTCCTTACCCCATCCCCCCCTCATCAAATAACAAGGCAGAAAACAGGCCCAGGTACAACAGCAGGTTCTTTTCCAATTCCTCAAAGCGCTGCATGGGGTGGGGGCAGAGACAGAAGAGAATGTAAACATTGGGTTCCACCCCCTGGAGCTCAAGGGAAGACCCTTACCCAGATAGGGACTAACTGGAGGGGTGGAAGGGAACAAGGTGAAAGGTATGGGTCCTGGTGAGACAAAAGCAGGGGGGCCTGAGAACACAGAGCAAGGTGGGTTTGGAGGGAGCACAGCAGGGTGCAGGAAGGGAGATGGGGGACATTTCCTATTCCAGTGCATGTCCCCTTAAATAAACTGGGTACAGGAGCATTATGGAAGGAGAACCAAAGGACAGAAGACAAAGCGAGCACCCCCACCCCAGGCCAACGCCATCCTCTGTACACAATTACAACACAGGTCCAGAATGAGAGCCCTGGCCAGGAAGTGGGGGAGACAGGGAGGGCTGAAGACAGGGAAAAGGAAGCCAGCTCCACCTCATGGTAAGGGGAGCTATGGAGTGTAAGAATCTGAAACTGCTGACTCCCATCACCAGGAGTCACCCCTGGGATGACAACGGGCCATTCAGGACAGCACCTAGGAGGGGACCCAGAGGGAACTGGGGCAGGAGCGACAGAGACCCCAGCTGAGCCTCATGGGAGATGAGAGGCTCCAGACTCATTTGCAGCTGCCCATCTGTCCTGCCCGTGTAGGGATCAGCAGCTGGCGAGGAGATGGGGAACCAAGCCACTTTCCCCAGCAAGGGACAGCCTGACAAGGTGCTAGGGGGTGGCACCTTGGGCCAGGCCTGTTCTTGGCTGAGGGAAAGAGGGGGGCCATGCAGTCCAGCCCCAGGGCAGAGGTCAGAAGTAAGCGTCCTGCCGGGCCTCGGCTGAGGGCCTGTCCCCACCATCATGGGGGCCTGGGGGCCCATCTGCCTTTCGACGCAGCGAAAGCTTCCGGCCTTGAGCCTTCTTCTCCTGCTTCTGCCGCTCCTTCTCCTGCTTCTCTCGCTCCTTTTCCTGCTTCTCTCGCTCTTTCTCCTGCTTCTGCCGCTCCTTCTCCCGCTCCTTCTCCTGTTTCTGCCGCTCCTTCTCCTGTTTCTGCCGCTCCTTCTCCTGCTTCCGGGTCTCCTTGCTGGAACCCAAGGGGGTGCTATTGCCAGTGGGTGAGGGAAGGGATGGATGCAGTCCCTCAGCAGTGACCACAGGCCCTGGGGCAGGCCCAGCACTGGCTCTGCGGACGGGGGGCGGCGGGGACGGGGCCCCTCCAGCTGCCCGGGAGCCTCGGCTCTTGAGGCCAGGGAGGCTGAGGAGGCTGGAGGAGGGGCCCAGGGGTGGCTGTTGCCGCCGGCGCTCCTCGTGGATGGCCCGGGACCCATGCAGTCGCCGTGAGGGCCGATACTGCAGCTCCCCCCGCGTTTCCCGCCACTTCTTGAGCTGGGCTGCATTCTCCCGCTCAATCAGTGCTTCTGTCACCGGCAGATTGGTCACCTGCACAGAGAGGAAATGCGTACCAGAATGGAGCTGAGGGTGGGAGCGGGCTGAGGCAGGCAGGGGCTGCGTTGAGGGCACAGGCCTACCTCATGCACCAGGAAGTCTTCCTGCATGCACTGCTGGGGCAGGTTACGCAGCTGCTCCATGGTCTCATACATGCCTTGGCAGGAGCGCAGCTTCTCCACTGAGCCCAGCGTGTGGCGCAGCAGGACCAGGGCCACCCGGAAGATGATCTTAACGCCTGCAGGGGTGGAGAGTAGAGAGCATGGGGTGGTCAGACCCAAGATCTCAGCCTGTCCTGATCAGGATAGACTCACAGCCCCCATCCCCATCTACTGCCAATCTCAGATGAGGAAACTGAGGCCCTGTGAAAGTACATGAGCTGCTATCAGTCTCAGGATCTTGGCAGGGAGAGCAGGCTCTGGGTTGGTGGCAGAACTAAAATCAGGCCTGTTTCTCCAGCCCCCAGCTGCTTATGGTGAAACCTCCACCCAACAAGTACCTTTTGTCCATGGACCACCAGAAATATGACAGAACCCCTGGTAGCCACCACAGAAACCCCAGCCCCTCATGGCCTGGAGGGCCACAGAAGTACCTTCACAGAAAAACATGTCCCAGACACGCAGCACCGACGCCCAGGGCAGGGTGCGGGCGAAGATGCACATGAACCACTCCGTCATGTAGAGCACAGGGTCAATGCGCTGCCGCCGCAGGTGGCGATGCGCCAGCGGGGAGGCCCGGCGCAGGAGTGCAAAAAAGATCTCCCCGTCCAGCTGAATGGCCTCCTGCAGGTGGGACAAGCCATGAGAAGAGGGCCAAGTCAGCTGTGCCCCCATCAGGGGAGAACTGGCCGGCCCTGTGGGCAGAAGCCGGGAAGGCCAGGGTGGGGCAAGGCAAGGACCTGCCTGCAGCCTGGAGGAAACGCCACAGCCCCGGATGCACCCAGCCTCCAGACACTCACCAGCCCTGCACTGTAGTAACCTGGGAGGTACTTGTCGCAGATCTGCACCAGGCACCAAAAGGCTTGCTGAGAAGAGCAAGAACAAGGAGGAGGGGTGGGGCCTGAGAAGCAGGGAGCAGGGAGCTCCCCCATCACCACTGTAGGGTGAGATCCCCCCTGCCCCTCCCGGCCCAGGACCAGGGCGCTGACCTCCGCAGGCATGTGCATGAGCAGGACCGCAGCCACGGGGGCCTGGGCCTGGCAGTAACCCTCGTCAGGCCGGTAGATGGTGTAGGCCTTCAGGATTCGGTACAGGTCCTGTTGCCTGTGGGGGTTGGGGAAGACTGTGAGGGCAGTCACGGGCTGAGAGCTCTGTCCCCAAACCCAGTTCCAGATTCGTCCCAGAGTTTATCACCAGGCTCCTCCATCCACCTGCCCAGTCCTGCTGAGCGAGCTTCAGCTAAAGGCTCAGCCCACAGCAGAGCACTCCAGGCCCCGGGGCTCCGCCTTTGGCTACATACTCCACATGCTCCTGGCCATCCCAGCACAGGCTGCACCCTCGCCCTCCTTCCTCAGCCACATCCCAGAAACCTTCCAGGTCATTTTCTCCAGGAAGCTTTCCACAGCTGCAGCATCAGCCCTCCTCTAGCACTAAATGTCTTTGTCACCCCAAAGCAGTAGCTCCCCAGGGCAGGGCCTGCCTTATCGGTCTCACTGGATTTCATGGTTCTTGGGGAAGGCTTGGAAGCCAGCTGTGCCTCAGCCCTTTCTCCTGTCTCTGCATCCAAAAGAATAAAATCTGTACCCTAGATCTGCTCTTCTTGAGGGTGCCCCACTGCCGTGTCCAGGACTTCTATTCACTCAGCCCCACATCAGAAAAGAGCCCCTTACTCCAAGCCTAAGCAGCGCTGCACCCTGAATTCCATTCCTGCCTGCTCCTCTCCACCTCCACAGCCATTCGCAGCTCAGACCTCCATTTCTTGCCCATAAAAAATGACCTCCCAGATCCTCTCCCTGCCTCCAGTCTCACACATCCTCCTCCTGACCACTTCCCAGAATAGCTTTTCCCAAAACTCCAGGCATTCAAGTGTGATCTTCATTTGTATTTTATCTGCATACCACCCTACTATTTAGTTGACATTTTTTCTCCACTTTGCAAAAGCATCCACGAAATGACAGGTTTGATATGGTTATTTTACCTAATGCATATTAAAATAAATATGTAACTTCCACAAGCACCCACACCCATCACCCACCTGCCTGCTTCCGTGTCCCTGCCTTCTCCCTGTTGCTATGGGTGAAGAGTCTGTGATCCTGGCAAGCACTTCCTTTCCACTTGGGCCCAGGATCCCATCCCCTCTCGCGTGTACAGGCCACCACTCCAACAACCCTCCCCTTGCTCCTGCACTATCAATTTCTCTCTCCACCGTTCCCACAAGCATACCCACATGCTGTTATTTGAGTTTAAAAAAAAAAAAAGTCTCTTCACCAGGCGCAGTAGCTCGCGCCTGTAATCCTAGCACTTTGGGAGGCCAAGGTGGGTGGATCACCTGAGGTCAGGAGTTCGAGACCAGCCTGGCCAACATGGCAAAACCCCGTCTCTACCAAAAATACAAAAATTAGCCAGGTGTGGTGGCGGGCACCTGTGATCCCAGGTACTTGGGAGGCTGAGGTGGGAGAATCACTTGAATCTGGGAATCTGGGAGGCAGAGGTTGCAGTGAGCCAAGATCACACCACTGCACTCCAGCCTGGGCGACAGTCAAGCTCTGTCTCAAAACAAACAAAAAAAAGTCTCTTTACCCCTCTCTTCCCTCCAAATACCACACTGTTTCTTTCCTTACCTATAGACTCACTGTCTTCAATTTCTTTTCTCCCATTCTCCAGTTAGGGTTTCACCCACTGCTCCACACAAAACTGTTTTTGTTTGTTTCGAGACAGTTTCACTCTCGTTGCCCAGGCTGCAGTGCAATGGTGCGATCCCAGCTCACGGCAAACTCTGTCTCCCAGGTTCACGCAATTCTCCTGCCTCAGCCTCCCTATAAAATGCCCGGCTAATTTTGTATTTTTAGTAGAGACGGGGTTTCTCCATATTGGTCAGGCTGGTCTCAAACTCCTGACCTCAGGTGATCCGCCTGCCTCAGCCTCCCAAAGTGCTGGGATTACAGGCGTGAGCCACCGCGCCCAGCCACAAAACTGTTTTTTTTTTCCTTTGAGACAGAGTTTCGCTCTTGTTGCCCAGGCTGGAGTGCAATGGCGTGATCTCGGCTCACTGAAACCTCTGCCTCAGCCTCCCGAGTAACTGGGATTACAGGCACCTGCCACCACACCAAGCTAATTTTTTTTTTTTTGAGACAGAATCTCCTCTGTCGCCCAGGCTGGAGTGCAGTGGCGCGATCTCGGCTCACTGCAAGCTCTGCCTCCCGGGTTCACACCATTCTCCTGCCTCAGCCTCCCGAGTAGCTGCAACTACAGGCGCCCGCCACCATGCCTGGCTAATTTTTTGTATTTTTTTAGTAGAGACGGGAGTTTCACCGTGTTAGCCAGGATGGTCTCGAACTCCTGACCTCATGATCTGCCCGCCTCGGCCTCCCAATGTGCTGGGATTACAGGCGTGGGCCACCACGCCTGGCCTTTTAAAAATATTTTTAGTAGAGACGGGGTTTCACCATGTTGGCCAGGCTGGTCTTGAACTCCTGACCTCAGATGATCTGCCCGCCTTGGCCTCCCAAAGTGCTGGGATTACAGGTGTGAGCCACCGCACCCAGCCACAAAACTGTTTTTAACATGGTCACTAATGACTTCTCCAGTGTTCAATCCAGAGGTCAATTTTCAGGCTGGACTTTATTGGACCCTTCAGCAGCATTTCACACAGCTGATGCTTGAAACCCCACTACATTTTGCTCCCAATCACATGCTCCTGGTCCTCCTCCTACCTCTAGCTTCTCATTCCAGTCTCCTTTACCGGCTCTTTCTCATCTTCCCATTCTCAAACTATTGGAGCTGCAGGGCTCAATTGTTGGACATTTCGCATCAATTCCTTTTGTATCTACACTTGTTGCCTTTGTGACTTCATCCAGTCTCGTGGGTAAGATTTAGTCCCTCTATAAGTTGACGACTCTTAATTTCCAATTTATCTCCAGTTTAAACATCTGCCCTGAAATCCAGGTTTGTGTATACTGTACACTGAACTTACATCTCTATCTAGAGGTCCAATAAGCATTTTAAACTTAATGTTCCCTGCCGGGCATGGAGACTCACACCTGTAATCCCAGCACTTTGGAGGCCGAGGTGAGCAGATCACTTGAGGTCAGGAGTTCGAGACCAGCCTGGCCAACATGGCAAAACCCCGTCTCTAATAAAAATACAAAACTTAGCTAGGCATGGTGGCGGGTGCCTGTAATTCCAGCTACTCAGGAGGCTGAGGCAGGAGAATTGCTTGAACCTGGGAGGTGGAGGTTGCAGTGACCCGAGGTGGCGCCACTGCATTCCAGCCTGGGCGACAGAGCGAGACTCCGTCTCAAAAAACAAAAATAAAAAATAAACGTTCCAAAACTGAGCTCCTGATATGCCCCCCACAGCTACCTTTACCCCATCTGTATTAGTAAACAGCAACTCCATTCTTCTCATTTCTCAGGCCAAAAACCCTACTCCCCTCTCTCCTCTCACACTGCATGTCTAATCCATTGGCAAATCCCTTTGACTCGACCTTCAAAATATATCCAGAATCCAACCACTTCTCCCCATACTCCCGCTGCTACCATGCTGGTCTAGCTCTCACCCTCTCCTGGATTACAGGAAGTCTCCTAACTGGTCCGTTTCTGTCCTTGTCTCCCTATAGTCTGTTCTCAGCATGGTAGCCAGAATGACCCTTTTAAAACATAAGCAGGATCAAGTCATTTGTAACCCCATCCCCACTCACATTCTCTATTTCCCTCTTGCTTTAAACTCCTCTTTAGGCCCAGGCACAGTGGCTCACGCCTGTAATCCCAGCACTTAAGGAGGCTAAGGCAGGCGGATCGCTTGAGCCCAGGAGTTCAAGACCAGCCGGGGCAACATGATGAAAACCCATCTCTATCAAAAAACAAATAAAAGTAAAAATAAAAATAACCTCCTCCTTAATGCTTACCATCATTTCACATACAATATACTTTCCTTTCCCTGATTTATTGTTTGTCCCCACTAAAATATAAACACCATGAGAGGAGTTTTTGGTTTTTTGTTCACTGCAATCATTTGTGACTAGACAGTGCCTGGTAGATAGCAGATGCTCAATAAATATTTGCTAAAGGATGAATTATTGATTTAAAAAATTGTCCGGCTGACCGTGTTGGCTCACGCCTATAACGCTAGCACTTTGGGAGGCCAAGGCAGGTGAATCACCTAAGGTCAGGAGTTCGAGACCAGCCTGGCTAACATGGTGAAACCCCCGTCTCTACTAAAAATACAAAAATTAGCCGGGTGTGGTGGCGCGCACCTGTAATGCCAGCTACTTGGGAGACTGAGGCAGGAGAATCACCTGAATCCAGGAGGCAGAGGTTGCAGTGAGCCAAGATCGTGCCACTGTACTCCTGCCTCGGCAACAAGAGCAAAACTCCATCTCAAAAAAAAAAAAAAAGAAAAGAAAGAACAAAAAGTCCATCTGGCCAGGCGCAGTGGCTCACACCTGTAATCCCAGCATTTTGGGAGGTCAAGGCGGGCAGATCACTTGAGGTTGGGAGTTCAAGACCAGTCTGGCCAACACAGTGAAACCCCGTCTCTGCTAAAAACACAAAAATGAGCTGGGCACGATGGTGTGCACCTATAATCCCAGCTACTCAGGAGGCTGAGGCATGAGAATTGCTTGTACCTGGGAGGCAGAGGTTGCAGTGGGCTGAGATCACACCACTGCACTCCAGCCTGGGCAACAAAGGGAGACTCCATCTCAAAAAACAAAACAAAAAAAAGTCCATCAGAGAACTCCCTAAGATGATCATCTTGCATACTACTAGAGAAGAGTATATACTGACATCTGGAGGAAGCTTGGTCTATAGAACAAAATTCCAAATGCTTTGGCATAGCATTTAAGGGTCCCTGGTGATCTTTTCCATAACCCCCAGGCAGGAAAACCCTGCCCCACTGCTGTAGCTCCCACCCCTCCAAAACCCAGCCCAAATGCAAGCTCTTCAAGGAGCCCATGACGTGCCCCCACACACAACCTGAGTCAAGTCTCCTTCCCAGGACAGTTCCTTTGACATGGCTTGACACTTAGTCCATTACAGATAGCTCTTCTACAAGTCCTGAAGGGCAAAAACCACTTTCGACTCAGTCTTGTATCCACCTAGCTAAAAGGTGGATCCTCCAGCCAATGTTTGCTGACTGACCCCCATGGTCCGGCCACCTTACCCATGCCCCCCTCGAGCAGCAAACATCTCGTGGAAAGGGAACTGGCGGTGCAGGTCCTTCTCAATCACATCCAGCCACTTGGGGTCCCCAGGAGCCCGTTCCAGCTCCTGCAGTGGGACAGTGGGGATTACCTCAGCATCTGGGGGAACTGATACCCCTTGCACAGACAGGGCCACATGTCCCCACACCTTGGAGCTGCACGCACCTCAAACTTTCCTGGGTTCTGCTCCAGAAGTTCCTTGCTATTAGACAGGTACTGCCAGGCTTTGGCTCTGAGAGAGGAGGGGATCCCCTTCCGGCAGCGCAGCTTCACCTAAGGCAAAGTGGCAGGAGGGGGACAGCTTCAAGGGCTGGCACAGCCTCCAACCTTTCCCCAGCAGTCCACAAACTCCCTGGATACTCCTCCGACATCCCATAGGCTTGATTCCACTGGACCTGGCCTGGACTTCTATTTTTAAAGCCATTCCCCCGCCAGGGCCCATCTATCCCCAGTGTGGTCCAGAGGGCAGATATTATCGGCTTCCTGGGCTTCCCTGGAGCACATGCTACCCCTCCCAACTTGTGCATTGCCCTGCCCACCATTCAGCCCTCAAACCTTCTGGAATCGCCGTGACAGCCACTTATCCCAGTTACTGAACATGTCCAGCCATTTGAGCTCCCGCTGCCGAGCCACGTCCACGGGAATGGAGCTCTCTCTGCAGGGTCGGGGGAGCACGGAAGGGGTCAGTAGCAATAGTGTAAAACCTGCATTGCAGGGGGAACTGAGGCAAGCCACCTCCCCAAGCTCAAACGAGAAACTGGATAGTCTGTGAGCTGCCAAACATCAGGATGTCTGGCCACTTGGGCATCCCAAGGCACACTGAAAGGGCTTCCTTCCCTGATGGATCTCTATTCAGAGGTCATATTTAAATCTCACTTCTGACACATCCAAATCTGGGGAGAGAGTATGGAGTATTTTAAAGCCACATTTTGCATTAGATCTGGATCCACGTCCTAGCTTTACCATTTATTCATTGTGTGACCTTGGGCAAATCACTTAATTTTGCTAAGCCCAATTTCCTCATCTGTAAGGTGGAGAAAGTAACAATATCTACCCGAAGGGGTTTATACGAAATAACACACAGCGAAGTGCCCATTAAGTAATACCTTACTATCCATAAAATAAAATACCCTAGAGGGCCAGGCATGGTAGCTCATGCCTGTAATCCCAGCACTTTGGGAAGCAGAGGCAAGAGGATCACTTGAGGCCAGGAGTTCAAGGCCAGCCTGGGCAACATAACGAGATTCTGTCTCTACAAAAAATAAAAATAAAATAATAAAATAGGCCGGGCATGGTGGCTCCCACCTGTAATCCCAGCACTTTGGGAGGCCGAGGCAGGCGGATGACTTGAGGTCAGGAGTTTGAGACCAGCCTGGACAACATGGTAAAACCCTGTCTCTACTATAAATACAAAAATTAGCCAGGCATGGTGGCACGTGCTTGAAATCCCAGCTATTCGCGAAGCTGAGGCATGAGAATCGCTTGAACCCGGGAGGCGGAGGGTGCAGTGAGTCAAGATTGTGCCACTGCACTCCAGCCCAGATGACAGAGCGAGACTCCATCAAAAAAAAAAATAATAATAATAAAATAAAATACAGAACAAATGTACTTCTGTCTCTTTAGACGCAACCATCTGAGTTTTGTCCTATCAAATGTTTAAGATCCCTTGGGTCACCTGCAATTTACTCTACCTCCTCCTCCCTGAAATCACCCCAGGCAAATAAAGGACTCCCTGCCCTATTTACTCACTGTTCTGTCAGAGGTTCATACTCATGGTGCCCCATCATTCTTCAAACACTTACTTGTAGGAGCCAGTACTAGGAGGTGAGTAGAACGGAAGAAAGCTTGGGTCTTAAGAATCAAACCTACCTAAGTTCAAATTTCAGTTCTGTCTCTGAGACAATAGGGAGCTTTGTCAAGGGATGACCTGAGTCCCTTCCTCAATTATAAAAAGACACCACCGGGCCGGGCATGGTGGCTCATGCCTGTAATCCCAGCACTTTGGGAGGCGGAGGTGTCAGAAGTGAGAAGCGGATCACCTGAGGTCGAGAGTTCAAGACCAGCCTGGCCAACATGGTGAAACCCTGTCTCTACTAAAAATGCAAACTCAGCCGGGTGTGGTGGCACATGTCTTCAATCCGATACTCGGGAGGCTGAGGCAGGAGAATTGCTTGAACCTGGGAGGCGGAGGTTGCAGTGAGCCAAGATCGCACCATTGCACTCCAGCCTGGGCAACAAGAGCAAAACTCCGTCTCAAAAACAAAACAAAACAAAACAAAACAAAAAAAACACCACCACCACCTACATCACAAAGTTATGAGAAGACTATTGAGAAACTGCATATAAACATCTGTTAAATAGAAGGGGCTCGTTAAATGTTAGTTTCCTTTGTTCTAGAAGCTCCTTAAACAGAGAGACCATCTCTCATTAATTTCTATCATAAGTCGGTTACAAACTCTACCAAGGGCTGGGAAGAGTAAGATACCTTCTGGCCCTCAAGAAGGTTACAGCCTAAGAGGAGCGATAACTGTAATACAGCATGGGAAATGCAATGACAAAGATGCACCAAAGACACATCTAATTGGAGTGGGGGCAGTGGGTATCAGGGAAGCTTCCTGGAGGAGGGGACATCTGAGGTAAGCCATGAAGAAATGAGTAGAACTTAGCAGGCAAAGAAAGGGGAGAAGAGCACCCTTGGCAGGTGCACAGCCTGAATATGAAGGGGAAAGGACTACAACTAGTTCAGCAGGACCACAGCGCAAAGCACCCGGTGAGGAATGGTGGCAAAGGTGACCAGAGAGGCTATGCGCAGGCCAAAGAGCCTGAACTTCATCCTGTGGACAGCAGCGAGCCACTGAACGCTGCGAAAGTAACATGGATTACAGTCAGTCTTGCCCAAGAGGTAGAGTTCTCTGGCATTGAAGCTGATCTTACAGGGACAAAGCTACAAAGCAAAGAAACAGCACCCGGCATAGTGCCTGGCACACAAGAGGGACTCCCCCAAACTAAGTTCAGCCCGAGTTCCTCAGGACAGCCTGCTATTGAGGAGAGAGCCACTGGTCACACAGATCCAGATTATTTGAGGGGGACAATTCACTCAACTGCACTAATTGTTTCTTCATCTATAAACCGAGTCCTTGTGCCTAGAAAGCACCAGGGTCAAACCTCAGTTGCTTTCCCATGTAAGACCCTGAATGTTGGTACCCAATCAAAGGCTTTCTGATTTTGGTTGGCTCATGAACCCTGCCTGGAAAACTCTCCCACAGGGCTTCCCCCGATCCCTGCACACATAGCCAAGACTAAATCAATCCTACTTACTCTCCACGATTCAGAGCAGGTTCAGCTGACTCCCTGCTCTAGGTGCCTCAGGAAACCCTCTGGAGATCTCTAGGCTAAACCCGAGGTCTTCTATTGAAACCAACTGTTTAAGTACTTTTCTTTCTCTCCAGATGATTGGCTCCTTGAAAGGACTATTTTATCCTTAGCACCTGGGGCCTGACACCTGGGGGCCCAGGAGATGCTGTAGGCTGACTGGCCCAGCAGGTCAAAGGGGCACAGGAACAACGGGCAGGATCCAGAGAGGGGGAAGGAAGAAGTCAGAGGCAATCACCCCCTACCTCGGGAGTGACTCAGGCCCCGGAGAGAACTAGGAAAGAGTCAGCCCGGCTGGGGAGATGAGGAAATGGGGAAGAGGCCTCTCCCACCCTTTACTTCAGTGCAGATACAAGACTGCCCTGTTTCACAGCGGGATCCTGACTGCACAGTCTCCCTTCCATCAGCCAGACTTCCCCACCTCTCTACTCCATCCCTGGGACCTAGGGCTATGGGGGAAGGGAGATGCCTGCACCCCTCCCAGGCTATCCACCCTAAGGGACCAAGGGTCTCTACCAGAACCCTCGCCCAACCAACCCTCCAGAATATCCGGCCTGTAGCTGGAGTTCCCCATCAAAGAGCAGGGATGACCTCAGGTATCATCTCATTCAATCCACTTTATAGAGGAAAAAACTGAGGCACGGAAATGGGGAAGCCACTAGCTCAAGGGCACACAACCCATCAAAGGCAAGGCTTAAACCCAGACCTCTTGACCCCTGGTCTGAAACTCCACTAACATGCCAATGTCACAGGCACCTCAGGATGCTCAAGACACGGCAGCTCGCGCTGATCACCCCGTGGATCCTCAGAGGAGGCTGGGCTGCCAGAGTCTGGGCAAAGTGTATCGTTTTCGTTTCGCCCTCCCCCAACCTTTGCTTCCCCGAGGCGGTCCCGCTGGGTGCCCACTGGTACTCACAGGCTGCCCGAGTACTGGCTGCCCCCAAGGAAGCCATACTTGTCCGTCTTGCGCAGGGCCAGCCCGTTTATCTCTGAATCTGAGCCCATGGAGCTCACATCATCCGCCAAGGACTCCAAGGTCCCAGACATGAGGCTCACGGAGTCCAAGTAACTCAGCGTGTCCGGGGCCTGCCCTCGAGGCCCAGAGATGCCAGGTCCCAGGCTGGACGTGGAGCCCAGGTCTTGAGAGTTTTCAGCAGGCTCCGGAGCTGGGGTCACGGTCACGACAGCTACCGGAGCCTCACAAGTCCCAGAGGGGCCTGTGCCAGGGCCTGAGGGGTCCTCAGGAGCCTGTCCTGCTGATGCTGATGTTGCTGCGGCAGCTCCATGCCCACCTGTCACTTGTCCTGATGCACTCCGTGCAGTCACTCCTGAGGCCACTGTGGTTCCCGGCTTGGGGGCAAGCGGGGGTTTGGCGGTCAGGGCACCAGGAGCCGTTCTGGAAGGGGTCCTGGTAGGGGTCCCGGTGGGGGTCCCTGGTCCTGGGGCGGGTGAGGGTCGAGCCTCCTCTGTCTTCGGCGAGTCTGCCCCTGCGGCCAGAGCCCTCGATGTCTCAACTCCAGCCACTGCCGCGGGCTCTGGGGATTCCGGGCCGGAGGGGAGCTGCGGCTTTGGGGCTTCGGGCGAGGCCTCCAGGGTCAGCACCACCACCGTGCTGCCCGTGACAGCCGGGGCTGGGGCCGGGGCTGGGGCCGGGGCCGGAGCAGAGGTCTCGGCCGACCCCGGGACCCAGGCGGGCCGCGCCTCCCCGGGGGCCACCAGGGTGACGGGGGCCGAAGTGGCCGTAGTCACTGGAGGTCCCGGAGCCACCACCACGACGGGCCCGGCCCGGGAACCCCGGGGCGGCGGCGAGGGGGCCGCGGGGGCGCCATGACGGCGCGGCGGGGCCACCAGGGGCGCCGTGCCCGTCTCCATGGCCGCGGGCCGCCCCTCACATCCCCCCGCCGGGGAGGCCGCAGAAGGCGCCGCCCCTCGGGCCTCCCGGCGAGGCCAGCCGAGAAAGGGGAGAGGGCGAAGGGCGCGGCTCGGCGCGCGCCGGGGGCGGAGCGGCCGCTGGGCGCGCAGAGGCGGGGCAGGGGTCGGGGGGCGCCGCGCGCCGGGGTCTCTCTCGAGCCCTCTCACCCCCTCGCGCGCTCTCGCCACCGCCCCCTCCCTCCTGCTTGGGGGCGAGCCGCCGACCTCGCGCCTGCGCACACGCCGCAGAGCCGGCTCCGCGCCAGCGTCTCGGCGTTCCACGCCTGCGCGCGGACTGGCTCATCGCGCTCCTTTTTTCTCCCGCCTAGTCAGAGGATTTGGACGAATAGTGGGAGAGAGAGAACTGGGCTTCTGCCAATCGTTGGAATCGTGGGCGGGGCTGGAGGCGAAAAAGGGGTGGGTCATCTGGAAAGAGGAAACGGAGAAAGCTAGGGCTGTAAGACCAATCAGAGGACGAGGAAAGGCAGGGGGCGATGGGACGAAAGAAATAACCAATAGAAACGCAGGGGTCTGAACCTCCTGGCCAATGAATATGACTGAAGGGTGAATGACCGCGGAAGGGCGGAGGAGGAGGCAGGGCTGTGCGAGTAAGAGGTGGGGCCTGGAGGCTTCTTAACCAATAGGAATGGTAAAAAGGGAGCCAATGAAAAGGGGAGCAGGTGGAGGTCAAATTGACAGGCAGTGATGTCTATTTAGGCGGTGACAGACAGCATCCGCAGTCAATAGGAAGAGCTGAAGAATTCTTTAGGTCTCCCAAAATGGTCAGTAAGGAATGACAGCTGGGAGGAGGCGGGGCAAGCTAGAGATTAATTCGCCCCGTCAGCCAATGATCGTGTTCTCCCACTTTGGCCACAGGACAGGAAAATAGATAGCTGTCTCAGCCAATGGGAGCATCCAAAGGGCAAAGATGCTGCCAGCAGGCGGTGCCAGCCCAGGGATAGTCGGTGACAACCGGAGACAAGCCTTATGGGAGGGTGACAGCTGGGGACAGCACGGAGAAGGGGCGGGGGCATTAGTGCAGCCCTCAACCAATGAGTGCCGCGCTGCCCCCTCTCGAGTCCTTTCCGGTCCCCTATTCTTCGTTCAGCTCCTGAGCCCCACACTCTGGTGGTCTGTGGGACCCTGAGCCCCACCACAGATCCAGTGCCCTGACCCAGTACTCTCATCCTTTACTCTATAATTCTCCGATCTCGGCCCCCAACTAACCCCAACACTCCAGGCCCAGGTGGCAATAGCCAGAGCCCCCAGATCCTATAAGCAACCCATATCTCTGCTTCACCCATTTCCTGCGGGAATCCCAACCTCCAAGTCCCTCTCCTCAGTTCCCATCTATCTGAGCTCCTCCCCAGAACCCAGGCTCCAGTTCCTCAGACCTTATCCCTCTGAGTACCCCCTCCATTTCTTCTAGTGGGGATCTCAAACCCCAAATCCATGAATCCCTAATACCATGAACTCCCCATATGTGTGTTACTATTCTTTTGGGGATCCAAGGCCCCAGTCCCGTCAACCCCTCTCCCCTCACTGCCACATCCCTCTGTGCTCCTCATGTTCCACTGAGAATCCCGACCTCAATCTCATGAGCGCTCCAGGTTGTCCTTAGATCACAAGCATAAAGACCTGACGTTATGAGCTCCAACCTTCCAACTTCTAAACGCCCTCTTCTTTCTCTGACCCCCATATTCTGATTTCCATATAGCATCCACCATCCTGGAATTCCAGTGAGACCTAGCTCCCGACTTCTCAGCTCCTCCTTGGTTTCTGAGTCCTCTAAGGTCCCTCACTCCCAACTCAGCCCCATGTCCTGTCAATTCCCACTCAGTGTCTGATCTCCTTCTCCTCACCTTTCCCATCTCCCGTTTGACCCAAGCTTCCTGAGCTCTCCTCCCATTCCCCTTTTTGGAGTCCTCCTCCTCTCCCAGAACCCAGTAATAAGTGGGCTCCTCCCTGGCCTGGACCCCCGTGGTAACCCTATAAGGCGAGGCAGCTGCTGTCTGAGGCAGGGAGGGGCTGGTGTGGGAGGCTAAGGGCAGCTGCTAAGTTTAGGGTGGCTCCTTCTCTCTTCTTAGAGACAACAGGTGGCTGGGGCCTCAGTGCCCAGAAAAGAAAATGTCTTAGAGGTATCGGCATGGGCCTGGAGGAGGGGGGACAGGGCAGGGGGAGGCATCTTCCTCAGGACATCGGGTCCTAGAGGGAGCGGGAGGAGAAGGAGATGGTTGTCCTTGCCAACTTGGGGCTTCCTCAGCCACTATTTTTCCAGACTTCTGCTGCATGGAGGGGACTGGGTCACTGAGGCCCAGAGGGAGAAGAGAGGGTACATCAAAGTCACACAATCAGCCAAGCTGGCTCTTGGCCAGAATAAAGTGAGCTGCCACTGGCTATCAAGGCACCTCACAGAAAGTGACCAGCTGGCTGTCCTTTTAGGGTCTTTTCCTCCCCTCTTGAGTTCCAGCCTCCACACCAGTACCCAGAGAAAATATTCTAGACTCATACTAGATCACATCCTTCTTCTGCATGAAACCTTTCCAAGGTTCCCCAGGGTCTCCGTCCTGTGCCTGGCAAAGGCCCCTCAGGGGCTGGTCACCAGCCCCATCACAATTCTGGCCACCTGAACACTTCTGATCTTCCGCTCTCCAGGCCTTTGCTCAGGCCATGCCCTCCGCCCAGCACATCTGCTCCTCCACCTGCACCTGACTCCCTGGCCCTCGTGAAGCCACTCCCATACTCCTAGACAGGGCTGCTGCGCCCTCCACTTCTGGGCTCCTGACCAGCTCTGGTATGTCAGTTTCTGCATTCATTCCTGTCTCTATTAGTTATAAGGCAAGTTCTGTGGGATGGGAACTACATCTCCCTTTTACAGAGGGGAAACCAAGGCCCAGCACAAAACCTGAGACCACAAAGCATCTTGCCTCAAAAAATCCCTCTTGGCTCGGCGCGGTGGCTCATGCCTGTAATCCCAGCACTTTGAGCACTTTGGGAGGTCGAGACGGGTGGATCATCTGAAGTCGGAATTCAAGACCAGCCTGGCCAACATGGTGAAACGCCATCTCTACTAAAAATACAAAAAATTAGATGCCGGGCACGGTGGCTCACGCC
Organism: Homo sapiens; assembly: GCF_000001405.40. Lineage (NCBI taxonomy): Eukaryota > Metazoa > Chordata > Mammalia > Primates > Hominidae > Homo > Homo sapiens. Next base: position 30,373,337 of record NC_000016.10, read on the forward strand.
TGTAATCCCAGCACTTTGGGAGGCCGAGGCAGGCAGATCACAAGGTCAGGAGATCGAGATCATCCTGGCTAACGCGGGGAAACCCCGTCTCTACTAAAAATACAAAAAAATTAGGCGGGCGTGGTGACACGCGCCTGTAGTCCCAGCTACTCGGGAGGCTGAAGCAGGAGAATCACTTGAACCCGGGAGGCGGAGGTTACAGTGAGCCAAGATCACGCCACTGCACTCCAGCCCGGATAACAAAACGAGACTTCATCTCAAAAAAAAAAAAAAAAAGTAGCTGGGCATGGTGGCGGGTGCCTGGAATCCCAGCTACTCAGGAGGCTGAGGCAGAAGTATCGCTTGAACCCAGAAGGCGGAGGTTGCAGTAAGCCGAGATCGCACCATTGCACTCCCACCTGGGTGACAAGAGCAAGACTCCATCTCAAAAAAAAAAAAAAAGAAAGAAAAGAAAAAAAAATTCCCCTCTCCTTGAAGGGAGGTAGGAGACCCACCTGATCCCTCAGCTTCCACAGATGGCTCTTTCTCACCACCCTCACACTTACACACACTTGACTATGAACTCCACCATGTGGGGGTGGAGGGATTGTGTCTGCCAAAGTACATCCACAAAGCCCAGCCTAGCACGTGGCACACTGTGTGTGTTCAATACATGTTTACTGGGTTTATTTTATTAATTTAAAATAGAGACGGGGGCCAGGCGCAGTGGCTCACACCTGTAATCCCAGCACTTTGGGAGGCCTAGGTGGATGGATCACCAGGTCAGAAGATTGAGACCACTCTGGCCGACACGGTGAAACCCTGTCTCTACTAAAAATACAGAAAAAAAAAATTAGCCTGGCTTCGTGGCACACCTATAATCCCAGCTACTCGGGAGGCCAAGATAGGAGAATCACTTGAACAGGGGAGGTGGAGGTTGCAGTGAACCGAGATCACACTACTGGCACTCTAGCCTGGGAGACAGAGCGAGACTGTCTAAAAAAAAAAAAAAGGGAGACAGGGGTCTCACTATGTTGCCCAGGCTGGTCCTGAACTCCTGGCCTCAAGCAATCCTCCTGCCTCAGCTTCCCAAAGTGCTGGGATTACAGGTGTGAACCACTGCACCCAGACGTTTACTGGGTTTAAATCTGAGCCCACCCCACTCAGGGGTACAGGATCTGGTTCATTTATCTCCCAGAATGATGCCTTGGGTTGCGTCCCCTCTAAACTCTGGCACATTCCAGCCCCTCTTTGGGAGAAAGAACATCTCTTCTTGCCCAGGCCCTAGTGAGACATGCATCGCAAGACATGCTCCCCCCTTCCTCCCCGCTGGGCTCCAGCTGCTGCCAGCCCTCCAAGAAAGGAGAGGCCCTGAGTTGGGCTATTTTGGTATCTGGGGTGGGCACCCGCAGGGCTAAGGTTACCTTGGTATGTTAAGGGCTCCCTGGGGCAGGACTATATAACCCCAGAGGGACTGCCCCATGCTGACTCCTTGCTTCTTTCCAGCCGGAGCCGCTGCCTTGCCCCCCGGAGACTGAAGACATGGTGAGTGAGAATCCTCCAACCCCTGCCCAGATCCCTTAGACCTCAGGGCAGCCTCACCCTTTGAAAGAAAGTAGCTGGTTCCCAGTCCAACAAAAAGTTAAAAGGATGCTCATCTCTTTCTCGGCATCACTGATGGAAAACAGACTGTGTGATGGCCTAAAGGATCCAATCAATGATAATCCGCCCAGACATTCAACTCACAGGGGCCCAGTCCCTCTCAAAGCCTGATCCATTCATTCCTGTACTCCATCTTCCTAAGGCCCTCTGGCACCAGCCAGGCAATAACTCCCATCCCATTTTACAAATGAGAAAGTAGAGGCTCAGGCCAGGTGCTGTGGTTCACGCCTGTAATCCCAGCACTTTGGGAGGCCAAGGTGGTTGGATCACTTGAAGCCAGGAGTTCGAGACCAGCCTGGCCAACAGGCGAAACCCCGTCTCTACTAAAAATACAAAAATTAACTGGGCGTGGTGGTGCATGCCTGTAATCCCAGCTACTACGGAGGCTGGGGCATAAGAATCGCTTGAACCCGGGAGGCAGAGGTTGCGGTAAGCCGAGATCGCAGCACCGCACTCCAGCCTGGGTGACAGAGCAAGACTCTGTCTCAAAAAAAAAAAAAAAAAGAAAAGAAAAGTAGAGGCTCAAACAGGGCAAATGAGTGGCTGGGGTCACACAGCAAGTCTGAGGCTCAGAGGAGCTAGGCTCAGGACACTGAGAAGATAAGGAAGCTTCCACCCATTGTGGGGGATGGAGAGTTGGAGACCCAGGAGCCACAGACGGGAATTTGGGGAATGCAATCAAAGCAAGCCCCCTCAGCAAAGAGGTCCCAAGGAAGGGGAGACTCAGGCCAAAGGGCTGCTTTAGGAACAGGGACTCGAAGAATTCTGACTCTTAATCCATTGCCCCCAGAGAGGTGGAGGGACTGGTCCATGGGCCCCTTTGTTCAACCCTCACCCTCCAGGCACCCAAGAGGGCCAAGAGAAGGACAGTAGAGGGCGGAAGCTCCAGCGTCTTCTCCATGTTCGACCAGACTCAGATCCAGGAGTTCAAAGAGGTGGGTGAGGGGACGGGGAAACTGGAAGGCTGACCAAAAGCAGCCCTGCTGGCCCTCTCCCTGGAATGTGCACCTGCTTGAAGGAGGGGAAAGGTTTAGAATTCCTTCCTCCCCTCTCTGCTTGGGGTGGAAGAGGACAGTTGGCTGAGAGCCAGCATCTGATCCTCCTGGGGTAGGGATGCTGAGGCTGGGCCATGGGGGACCTAACCCTCCCCACCACGGCCCTCCCCAGGCCTTCACTGTGATCGACCAGAACCGTGATGGTATTATAGACAAGGAGGACCTTCGGGACACCTTCGCAGCCATGGGTGAGCCCCCTACCCCCAGGTGGGAATATTCAAGGCTGCAGAGTCTAGGAAATTCAGTGGCCTTGGGTTCCAGCCCTGTCAGCTCCACCTTGGGCCTCAGTCTACCCAGCTGAAAAATGAATGGGATCAGCTGAATTAGTGGGAAGCGCAGGCCCGGCCCCAGGAGCCTGCTCCAGCCCATGCTTCCCCCAACCCCCTCCAGGCCGCCTCAATGTGAAGAATGAGGAGTTGGATGCCATGATGAAGGAAGCCAGCGGTCCCATCAACTTCACCGTCTTCCTGACCATGTTCGGGGAGAAGCTCAAGGGTGAGTGGAGTGTCCTGGGTCCAAGGCCCCGGCTGCCTTTTCCCAGACCCTTCAGGGACCCATCAGCTTCATGTGCCCTCTGACCCCCACAGGTGCCGACCCTGAGGATGTGATCACCGGAGCCTTCAAGGTCTTGGACCCTGAGGGAAAGGGCACCATCAAGAAGAAGTTGTAAGCATCGGCTCCCCCACCCTTCCGACCCTTCCCCCACTCCACCAGCTGCTCCCACACTGACAGCCTCCTTAAATTTCTACCAAGGCTGGGCCCTGTGGCTCAGGCCTATAATCCCAGTGCTTTGGGAGGCAGAGGCAGGAGGATTTACTTGAGGACAGGAGTTTGAGATCAGCCTGGATAACACAGCATGACCCTGTTTCTAAAAACTTAACTAAAAAATTCGTGGGCTGGCCGGGCACAGTGGCTCATGCCTGTAATCCCAGCACTTTGGGAGGCCAAGGCGGGCGGATCATGTGAGGTCAGGAGTCCAAGAACAGCCTGGCCAACACGGTGAAACCCCGTCTCTACTAAAAATACAAAAATTAGCTGGGCGTGGTGGCGGGCGCCTGTAGTCCCAGCTACTAGGGAGACTGGGACATGAGAATCGCTTGAACCCTGGAGTCGGAGGTTGCAGTGAGCCAAGATCACGCCACTGCCCTCCAACCTGGGCGACAATAGCAAAACTCCGTCTCCAAAAAAAAGAAAAAAAAAAATTCGCGGGAGTGGTGGCAAACACCTATAGTCCCAGCTACTCCGGAGGCTGAGGCAGGAAGATCCCTTGAGCCCAAGAGTTCCAGGTTGCAGTGAGCCGTGATCAAACCACTGCATTCCAGCCTGGGCGACAGGGTGAGACCCTGTCTCAAAACAAACAAAAACCCAAAAATTCCTACGAAGGGTTAGGCACTGCCAGAGGTAAGGGAGTAGTTAAGATTGTGGTAATGGGCGGTAAGATTGCATTTTCACAGCAAATGTGGGCGGAGAGGGCAAAAGCGAGTGTCTGGGAGGCCAATGAAGGAAGTAGAGTGACCTGGGTTTTCAGGGGAGGCTGGGGCTGGCATCGGGGATGAGGTGCGAGGGAGTGGAAAGGAACCAGGAACCCAATCGCAACTCCCCTTGTGTCACCTCTCTCCAGCCTGGAGGAGCTGCTGACCACGCAGTGTGACCGCTTCTCCCAGGAGGAGGTGAGTGGGGACCGGGGCGGGGCCGGA